>NC_000007.14:63112839-63415869 GCF_000001405.40 Homo sapiens
GGGGGCAGGCCTATGATGTGCCTGGGAGCTGTCTGGGGGCCCTCCTGGGGAGCCAGGCTCACACACTGTTGTGTGGGACTCAACGTGGGGCAGTGTCCTGGCCAGGATGAGGAAAGCCATCACCCCGGGGTTTGCGGGAGATACATGCAGGCTAAGATCTCGCCCACCCGGCTCCCCGATCCACTGCAGCCAGAGTCCCTCAGCCTTGGCCAGGACCTGAAGTCCGAGCGCCATCCCTGGGTCTACCCGGCCAGGCGGGCACCCCCCGCTTACAGGTCATCCCCACCCCCTCCATCTGCTTCCGTTAGAGTGACAGCTACCTTGTCCTGGTGCCCTGGTTGAGGGGGGAAGCTGCCCTTGGACCCGCATCGGAGCCGCGCAGCGCCTTCTGTTGGCAGTTGTTGGAAGTGCAGCCTGGCGTGAGCAGTGCCTTTCCCTGTAGATGGGACCCAGGGCAGCACAGCTGGAAATGGGGGATGGTAACTTGTGGAGGTGATCCCCACTGTCCACTGACAGCGGCAGTAGTAGCTGCGGACTATGCAGACTCAAGACAGCCCCAGCCCATGTCAGCACCAGGAGCTAAAACGGAGTCAAGGGTTTGGTGTGGGGACCAGCCGGGGGCAGGCCTGGGGAGCCCATTTGGCAATGCGGGCAGGAAGGCGCCCACTCTGGGACTGTCTGGGCCTGCCGGGGGTCTCCAGCCAGAGAAGGTGGGTGTGATGGGGCGCCCAACCTCGAAGGGCTGAGTGCCAGGCCGGCCCTGGGGGCCCGCGCTGCCCACACGGACTAGATGAAGTCCAGAGGCGCCCACGTCCCACTGGCTCAGGGCGCGGGCCTCAAACAGCTGCTTAATGAGTGCTGACTTCTCCTGCTCCAGCTGCGTGATGCGCTCACTCTTCTCTGTCACCTCCTGGGTGAGGAGTCGGTTCTGCTCATTCAGCATGAGGATGGTCTGCTGCTGCCGGCCCAGGGACGAAGTGGACGTGCGGGCAGGACCGGGTGGGGGGCGGAGGAGGACTTGGACAGGGCCTGGCTGGCACAGGCCGCAGCCAGCAGCTCCCTCAGGCACCAGGCCACCTCCTGTACCTTGGGCAGTAGCCGCCCCAGTGGGCGGGGGCTCCCGCAGCCCCATAGTCGGTGCTGGTGCTCCTGCACTCATTGCAGCTGCTGCTGGTACCAGCCGCGGCCCCGCGCCGTCATCTCCAAAGCCTGCAACTGCACAGCCTTCTCTGCTCCAGCTTCTTTATCTGCTTCAGCAGGCCGCAGTCCATACCGCTGGTGATGGTGTGACTCCGACGTTCCCCTGGGGCACTGGAGGCCCGCCAGGCATCCCCTGAGTCCGCCTCCCTGGCCCTGGGCCCTGCAGGCCACTGCACCTGCGTCTGCACTCCGGCTCGGTTCCAGCGCGGTGCTCTGGGACAGCTCCGGCTCCACGGGGCAGGGCGCCGCCTCGGCCCGGGAGCACAGCTGCTCCGGGCTGCGGGCCGCGCCGCTGGGACGGCCAGATGGCCGCGCACGCCCAGGGGCTGGGGCTTCCTCTCCAGGACCGTCCGCGGCTCTTCAGCGGGCGCTAACACCAGGCGCTGCCGCGGCGGCGGCGGCGGCGGCGGCGGCGGCTGGTCCCTGGTCCCGGCCAGGGCGCATGTGGGGTCCCAGGGGCCGCCATCGGGCTCAGCAGCGTGGTGCGCAAGCCGGCCACGAAGCGCTCGAAGGTCAAGTAGCCGCTGGCCTGGGCCACCTGGCACAAGCCCTCCAGCACCCCGCGTGGCTGCTCCCACGTGTTGGCGCCCTGCCAGCGAGACTGGATCTCGTGCAGGTGCCTGCAGCCGCACCGCCTGTTGTCCAGATGTGGAACAGGGTGTGCAGGCTCTGCAGCAAGGCGCGCGGCAGCCCCTCAGTGCTGGGCGCGGGCGCAGGCACGGGGGTAGGCACGCGGCCCCGCTCGGCCACGGCGGCCATGGCCACAGGTGCCCGGGCTCGGTCCCCTCCTCCACCCGCGTGTGTTCCCGGGCGGCCCCATGGAGGGGCCGGCCCAGAGCGCTCCCAGATTTTTTAAAGCTGAAAAAAATTCATTTATCTCTAAATTTGCCATACAAGTAGTGTTAAAGTCCTTCAGGTTGAAATAAATGAACTTTAGGCAGTAACTATATAAGTAAATAAGCAAGCTATATGAATATATAAAGCTCTTTGGTAAAGGTGAATACTTAAACATAAAAACAGTATTATTATAATTTTGGTTTGTAACTCCGCTTTTTATTTTCTACAGAATTTAAAAGACAAATGCATAAAATATAATTATAAATCTGGTAGGTGGTATACAATGAATAAAGATAATTTGTTAGGTGGTATACAATGAATAAAGATATAATTTGTTACATCAATAACGTAAAAAGAGTAGAGCTATATAGCAGTAGAATTTTGGTATGTGATAAGCTGATATAAATTCAAATTAGAATGTTATAACTCTGGGATGTTGTATGTAATTCTCATAGTGACCAAAAACGAAATATACATCGAATATAAACAAAAGAAAATGAGAATAAAAACAAAACGTGTCACTACAAAAAAAAAACCTAAAGATAAAAGAAGTAAATAATTGAGAAAATTGACTGTCAAAAATCAGTAACTTTGACTTATTAAAACTTTCCATGCTACATAAATCTGAAAACTCTATTTCACATAAAACTGGAGCTGAAAGAGACAAATATTTACTTATACAGTTAAAAGTTACATAGGAAACAAACACTAATTTTTTTTAGAAAAAAATGTGAAAAGAGTAAAAGTATGCCTTATACTATCATATAATTTCATGTTTTATAGCTCTGGGAAAATAGAAAATAAAATGTTCTCTTAGCATGAATCCTTCTGTGCCCCAAAAAAGCCCTATGGATTATACCATTATTACCTAAGAAGTCTATTCTCAAATGCAGCAGAGTGATAATTTTTACAAGGTAGATATTATTTTTAGATATGGAATAATATTGGTGATTTCAATTTTAATAACACTGGATTAAGATGAAATAATGAGAAGATAAAGGTCCCTCAGCAACATGACTCACAAACATTTTCAAAAGCAGTAAGAATTTACATTAATTATCTTTTTAAAGTCAATAATCTACATTTTTAATGTATGCATATAGCATAGCTAATGTACTATTGCTGGGTCCATTTATTCAATGAATAATTGCCGCTATGTATCAGACATTGTTCTAGGCCTAGGAATGGATACATAAGTGAACAAAGCAAAGATTCTGGTTCTTGTAGAGTTTCCATTAAAAGACCATTTAGTAAAATTTTCTTTCCCCCAAGTTTTAAAATCCGTAAGATCAGTTAACAACACGTATAAAAGTCATTGTGGGCCGGGCACGGTGGCTCACTCATACCAGGTGTGGTGACTCATAGTGCTCTGTCACTCAGGCTGGAGTGCAGTGGCACAATCTCTGCTCACTGCAACCTTTGCCTTCTGGGTACAAGTGATTCTCCTGCGTCAGCTTTCCAAGTAGCAGTGACTACAGATGCACACCACCACACCCAGCTAATTTTTGTATTCTTAGTACAGATGGGGTTTTGCCATGTTGTCCAGGCTGGTCTGGAACTCCTGACCTCAAGTGATCCCCCCACCTCAGCTCCCAAAGTGCTGGGATTACAGATGTGAGCCACCACACCCAGCCTTATTTTCTACAACTTTGATAACTTTAGCATATACCCCAAATCTGTAAGACATAATATTATCATTCAAATGCAACTCATGGCTTCTCATTGTACTCTGACTTTCTCTAGCTTTTGAATTCTTGATTCTAATACCAGTTTTAAATCTGACACAAAAGCATGGGAGTTCTAATCAAAATCCAACCTTTTATCATAATAAAAACTATCAAGAAATTATTAGTAGAATTTAAGAAGGAAAATAAGCCTATTAACGTAATATTTTATGCCTATGGTTCCCCAACAAAGCCTCCAGCTTCTATTTAAATACGAAATGTAAAAGTCACTACTGGATCCACAAACAGGTCTATGGTAAAGAAATTTCTCCACCTAAACAGCTCCTTTTACATGATGTTACATGTTTCTATTGTTTTTTTCATTTTGGCAAATATTGATTGAATGTCATCTTTGTGTTTGTCTATGTCCTAAGTGCTGGGATACAGAATCTGAAAAGATGGACACAGCACCTGCGTTCAGGGAGTTCACACTTTTTTTTTTTTTTGAGACAGAGTCTTGCTCTGTCAACCAGGCTGGAGTGCAGTGGCGTGATCTCTGCTCACTGCAAGCTCCACCTCCTGGGTTCACGTCATTCTCCTGCCTCAGCCTCTCAAGTAGCTGGGATTACAGCTGCCAGCCACCGTGCCTGGCTAATTTTTGTATTTTTAGTAGAGACAGGGTTTCACCATGTTGGTCAGGCTGATCTTGAACTCCTGACCTCAGGTGGTCCACCTGCCTCAGCCTCCTAAAGTGCTGGGATTACAGGCATGAGCCATCACACCCCACTAGGTGTTCATGCTTTAATTGGGGAAAATATACAATAAGCAAGTGAATTTTTAAAATGAGAACCACAATCAGAGTTAAATGCTACAAAGACAATCTCACAGGAAGATGGGATGTAGAATATAAGGCTCTCAAACAGAATAATAAGAGAAACTAATATTTCTTATGATCTTTGTCTTTGTATTAGTGCTCAACTGAGTCTGCCGTGCTTCAGAAGCAGCCTTCATTTTATAAAATCTATTATTTCTCCTTCCAGTTTTTTCTCTTCCTCAAGCTTCCTTATCTCCTGCTGTTGAATCATTTTGAGATGCTCGAACTTGTCCTGCAGCTGTGAAACCAATGTGCAGTTGTGACACCAAAGCACGATGTGGCTGAACACCCAAAAGAATAGGCTTTTTTCTGATTATCGAACACACCCAAATCATCACAGTAGAGCATGATCTTAATAACAATCTGAAAAACTCAGGAGTTAAACACTCAGATATGGAATTTTTCTTTTCTTTCGTTTTTCCTTTTTTAAGATGAAGTCTCACTCTGTTGCCCAGGCTGGAGTGCAATGGCATGATCTCAGCTCACTGCAACCTCTATCTCCTGGTTCAAGTGATTCTCCTGCCTCAGCCTCCTGAGTAGCTGGGACTACAGGCATGCACCACCACGCCCAGCTAATTTTTGTATTTTTAGTAGAGACAGGGTTTCACCATGTTGGCCAGTCTGATCTCGAACTCCTGATCTCAGGTGATCCTTCCACTGTGGCCTCCCAAAAACTCTTTTTTTTTTTTAATATAGAGACAAGGTCTCACTATGTTGCCCAGGCCAGTCTCAAACTCCCAAGCTCAAGTGATCCTCCCACCTCAGCTTTCCGAAGTGCTGGGACTAACTGGATGCAGTGGCTCATGCTTGTAATCTCAGCACTTTGGGAGACCAAGGCGGGAGGATACAGATACAAAATTAGCCAGGCGTGGTGATGCATGCCTGTAATCCCAGCTACTTGGGAGGCTGAGGCAGGAGAATCACTTGAACCCAGGAGGCAGAGGTTCTGGTGAGCCAAGATTGCACCACTGCACTACAGCCTGGGCAACAAGAGCGAAACTCTATCTCAAAAAAAAATTGCATATCTTGACACAAATGAAGATAAAAAACAACATATCAATAGTTACGAGATACAGCAAAAGCAGTTTAAGTTCACTCTCAATAAATGCCTACATTAAGAAAAAAGAAAAAGATCAAATAATGTAATTTCACACCTCAAGGAAAGAGAAAAAGAAAAACCAAGTGCAAAGTCAGTAAAAGCAAGAAAATAGTAAAAATTGGGCTAGGCGCGGTGGCTCACACCTGTAATCCCAGCACTTTGGGAGGCCAAGGTGGGCGGATCACCTAAGGTCAGGAGTTCGAGACCAGACTGACCAACATGGAGAAACCCTGTCTCTACTAAAAACACAAAATAAGCCGGGCGTGGTGGTGCATGCCTGTAATCTCAGCTACTTGAGAGGCTGAGGCACGAGAATTGCTTGAACCCGTGAGGCAGAGTTTGTGGTGAGCAGAGATCGTGCCATTGCATTCCAGCCTGGGCAACAAGAGTGAAACGCTGTCTCAAAAAAAAAAGCAAAAATCATAGCAGAAATAAGTAAGCTATACAACAAAAATAAGAGAAACAACAGCAAAAAAATTAGTGAACTAAATCTGTTTTTAAAAGATAAACAACCCTTAGAAAAACTAAGAAAAAAGAGAAAACTCAAACAAATAAAATCAGAAATGAAAGGTGATACATTACTGCTGATACCAAAGAAATACAAATGATGAGACTACTATGAAAAATTATAAGCCAATAAAATTTGATAACCTAACAAAGAAATTGGATAAACTTTGTTAATAAACTCCTATAACCACATAATCTACAAAGATTGCATCATGAAGAAACTGAAAATCTGAAAAGACTACTAATAGGTAAGGAGATTTAATCAGTAACAAAAAATGCTACCAAAGAAAAGGTAGTACTAGGTGACTTTTCTGGGGAAGGCTACAAAACATTTAAAATTGAAATAGTAGGCCAGGTGCAGTGGCTCATGCTTGTAATCCCAGCAGTTTAGGAGGCTGAAGCAGGCAGATCACTTGAGCTCAGGAGTTCAAGACCAGCCTGGACAACATAGTGAGACCCCATCTCTACTAAAAGTACAAAAAAAATCCAGGCAGGGTGGTGCATGCCTGTGGTCCCAGCTACTCAAGAAGCTGAAGTGGGAGGATCACTTGGGCCTGAGAAATGGAGGTTGCAACAAGCTGAGATAGCACCACTTCACTCCAGCCTGGGTGACAGAGTGAAATCTTGTCTTAAATAAATAAATAATATGGAAATAGTACAAAAATACATCCCAAACTCTTCCAAAGAATTGGAGAGTACGCTTCTTCTTTTTCTTCTTATTTTTGTTTTTTTTGAGATGAAATCTCGCTCTGTTTCTAAGGCTGGAGTGCAGTGCAGTGGTGTGATCTCGGCTCACTGCAACTTTCACCTCCTGGGTTCAAGTGATTCTCCTGTCTCAGCCTCCTGAGTAGCTAGGATGACAAGTGTGCACCACCACGCCTGGCTAACTTTTGTATTTTTAGTAGAGATGGGGTTTCATCATGTTGGCCAGGCTGGTCTTGAACTCCTGACCTGAGGTGATCTGCCTGCCTTGGCCTCCCAAAGTGCTGGGATTACAGGCATGAGCCACCATGTCCGGCCAGGATAATACACTTCTAAATGCATTTGAAGAAGACATTATTACTCTGATACTACAGCCAGAAGAGGACACTATGAGAAAAAAAAAATATAGGCCAACATTTGTGATAAGCAAACTAGCAAATCCTCAGCAAAATACTAGCAAACTGAATTAGATCGCACATTAAATACCAGATAGTCCAAGTGGAATTTATTCTTGTAATGCAAGGATGATTCAACTACACAAATCAATAAATGTGACCACATGCAGAAAAACAAAATTAGATCTTTATCTCAAACCATATGCAAATCTCAACTCAAAATGGATGAAAGACTTAACTGCTGTAAGATCTAAAGCTGTACAACTACTTTAAAAACTTAGGGATAAGTTCCTTAACTTGGTCCGAGCAATGATTTTTTGGATACAAACTCCAAAGCATAGACAACATAAGCAAAAACGGACAAATAAAATTATATCAAACTAAAAAGCTCCTGCACAGCCAAAAAAAAAATCAACAGAGTAAAGAAAAGAACCATGAAATGTGAGAAAATATTTGCGAACCATACATCTGATAAGGGGTTAATGCCCAAAATATACAAGAACTCAAACAATTCAATAGTATGAAAACAACCTCATTCCAAAAATGGGCAATGACCCTGTAATTTTTTTTTACTTTTTTTTCTTTTTTTTGAGATGGAGTCTCACTCTGTCACCCAAGCTGGAGTGCAGTGGTGTGATCTGGGCTCACCGTAACTTCCACCTCCCCGGTTCAAGCGATTCTCCTGCCTCAGCCTCCTGAATAGCTGGGACTACAGGTTTGTGCCACCACATCTGGCTAATTTTTGTATGTTTAATAGAGACAGGGTTTCACCATGTTGGTCAGGCTGGTCTTGAACTCCTGACCTCAAATGATCTGCCCACCTCCTGACCTCAAATGATCCGCCCACCTCAGCCTCCCAAAGTGTTGGAATTACAGGCATGAGCCACTGCGCCTGGCTGAATCTGAACATTTTTTAAAAGAAGACATAAAGTCCTTGCCCATGCCTATGTCCTGAATGGTAATGCCTAGGTTTTCTTCAAGGGTTTTTATGGTTTTTGGTCTAACGTTTAAGTCATTAATCCATCTTGAATTGATTTTTGTATAAGGTGTAAGGAAGGGATCCAGTTTCAGCTTTCTACATATGGCTAGCCAGTTTTCCCAGCACCATTTATTAAATAGGGAATCCTTTCCCCATTGCTTGTTTTTCTCAGGTTTGTCAAAGATCAGATAGTTGTAGATATGCGGCATTATTTCTGAGGGCTCTGTTCTGTTCCATTGATCTATATCTCTGTAGTGTGATGCCTCCAGCTTTGTTCTTTTGGCTTAGGATTGACTTGGCAATGCGGGCTCTTTTTTGTTTCCATATGAACTTTAAAGTACTATTTTCCAATTCTGTGAAGAAAGTCATTGTTAGCTTGGTGGGGATGGCATTGAATCTGTAAATTACCTTGGGCAGTATGGCCATCTTCACGATATTGATTCTTCCTACCGATGAGCGTGGAATGTTCTTCCATTTGTTTGTATCCTCTTTTATTTCATTGAGCAGCAGTTTGTAGTTCTCCTTGAAGAGGTCCTTCACATCCCTTGTAAGTTGGATTCCTAGGTATTTTATTCTCTTTGAAGCAATTGTGCATGGGAGTTCACTCATGATTTGGCTCTCTTTTTGTCTGTTGTTGGTGTATAAGAATGCTTGTGATTTTTGTACATTGATTTTGTATCCTGAGACTTTGCTGAAGTTGCTTATCAGCTTAAGGAGATTTTGGGCTGAGACAATGGGGTTTTCTAGATATACGATCATGTCATCTGCAAACACCAAAAGCAATGGCAACAAAAGCCAAATTGACAAATGGGATCTAATTAAACTAAAGAGCTTCTGCACAGCAAAAGAAACTACCATCAGAATGAACAGGCAACCTACAAAATGGGAGAAAATTTTTGCAACCTACTCATCTAACAAAGGGCTAATATCCAGAATCTACAATGAACTCAAACAAATTTACAAGAAAAAAACAAACAACCCCATCAAAAAGTGGGCGAAGGACATGAACAGACACTTCTCAAAAGAAGACATTTATGCAGCCAAAAAACACATGAAAAAATGCTCATCATCACTGGCCATCAGAGAAATGCAAATCAAAACCACAATGAGATACCATCTCACACCAGTTAGAATGGCAATCATTAAAAAGTCAGGAAACAACAGGTGCTGGAGAGGATGTGGAGAAATAGGAACACTTTTACACTGTTGGTGGGACTGTAAACTAGTTCAACCATTGTGGAAGTCAGTGTGGCGATTCCTCAGGGATCTAGAACTAGAAATACCATTTGACCCAGCCATCCCATTACTGGGTATATACCCAAAGGACTATAAATCATGCTGCTATAAAGACACATGCACACGTATGTTTATTGCGGCACTATTCACAATAGCAAAGACTTGGAACCAACCCAAATGTCCAACAATGATAGACTGGATTAAGAAAATGTGGCACATATACACCATGGAATACTACGCAGCCATAAAAAATGATGAGTTCATGTCTTTGTAGGGACATGGATGAAATTGGAAATCATCATTCTCAGTAAACTATCGCAAGAACAAAAAACCAAACACCGCATATTCTCACTCATAGGTGGGAATTGAATAATGAGAACACATGGACACGGGAAGGGGAACATCACACTCTGGGGACTGTTGTGGGGTGTGGGGGGGAGGGATGGCGATGGGAGATATACCTAATGCTAGACGACGAGTTGGTGGGGGCAGCGCACCAGCATGGCACATGTGTACATATGTAACTAACCTGCACATTGTGCACATGTACCCTAAAAAAGTATAATAATAATAAATAAATAAATAAGACATAAAAGGCAAATAGGGACATGAAAAAATATTCAACCTCATTAATCATCAGAGAGATGCTAATTTAAACCACAATTAGATGGCACTTCATATCTGTTAGAATGGCTATTACCAAAAAAAAGAAAGATAAGTGTTTACAATAATGATTTTATAAAATGTTGATGAAAATGTAAATCAGTACAGCTATTATGAAAAACAATATGGGAGTTCATTAAACAATTGAAAATAGAATAACCATATGGTTCAGCAACCCCACTAATAGTTACATATTCAAAGGAAATAAAATCAGTATGTCAAAGAGATATCCACACTTTCATGTTTATTGCAGCATTAATTAACAGTAATCAAGATATGTAATCAATCCTAAGGGACCACATAGTTGAGATATCAAAAAGAAACTAATCCCCAGAAAGAAAGAAAAAAAAGAAGCAGACGTACAGGAATAAGGTTCATAACTAAGGGAAGTGAGGTGGGAGAGAAAGAGAAAATTTAAATGGTTGCTTTGGTTTCTGCTCACTTTCTAGTTTCAGTTTAAGTCTTCATGAGATTCAGCTATGCCTCTTGTTCTTGGATGCCATGACATACCCCTGTATACATCCAGACTTTTCCTTTGTACCTAAGCTAATGGATTTTTTTTTTTTTTTTGAGAAGGAGTCTCACTCTTGCCCAGGCTGGAGTGCAGTGGCACGATCTTGGCTCACTGCAACCTCCACCTCCCAGTTTCAAGCAATTCTCCTGCCTCAGCCTCCCAAGTAGCTGGAATTAAAAGCATGCACCACGAGGCCTGGCTAATTTATGTATTTTTAGTTGAGGCGAGGTTTCATCATGTTGGCCAGGCTGGTCTCAAACTCCTGACCTTAGGTGATCTGCCTGCCTCCGTCTCCCAAAGTGCCGGAATTATAGGTTTGAGCCAGCACACCCGGCCAAAACTTTTATTACTTATAATTCAACTGTCTTTGAGTGAGACATCTGGCCTATAGCGCCTAATTACCAATTTATTTTTATGAAAAAGGAAGTTCATGTTCCAATTTACCTAACAACACTAAATGTTCTTAAACTAAAGCCACCTACACTTGAGAGAAAGAAATTATGGTTTCAAAAATGTCTTCACCAAAAATGTATTTGTGGCAATTAAAACTATATTAATAGCCTTCTTTTCCATTTTATTAGAAATGGCATGGAATAAAATAATTTACCAACTTAAAATTTTCTCATTAATCAAGGCCAGCATTAGTCAACATTTGCTTATTTATAAAAGTGAAGACAATTTTCTAGTGCATTAATAGCATTAGACAGTACAAGACTCTTCTCAAAAGTAAATAGCTTGGGTTTGTCACAAATTAAACTTTGTGCATGAAAATTTAAATTATAAATAAAATAAATAAATTTTTATAAAATGATCTTAAGGGTTATTTAAATGGAAAATTATCTAAGTTCTCTTGAAAAAACACTACAGACTATACTTTTGTAAAGGCTATATTCCAATCTACATGGTAAAAAGTTACTTTTTGAAAAACAGCAAGTATCCTCCAAAAACTAAACTCTTGAGATTAAACCCCCAAATTAATTGGGCACCTAAAAATTAGTGCAAATTATATCCAACTTCAGTACTGACTTCTTTTTTGGCTTCTTTAAATGTTGCTTCTTTCTCCTTGACTCGCTGCATAAATCTCTGTTTCAACTCTTCTTCTTGCCTCTGACATTGATCATAGAACTCTTGTCTTTTGGCTTCAGAGATTTCTTGAAAACTAAAGAGAAATGTTTTCTTAGTCTTATATTAAAATGAGGTAGGAGAATCGCTTGAACCTGGGATGAGGAGGTTGCAGTGAGCCAAAATTGTGCCACTGCACTCCAGCCTGGGAGACTGAGCAAGACTCCATCTCAAAAAAAAAATAATGCTAGTATAAACATGTAAAAAATATGTATTGTATGTAACGTCCTATATAAGGAAATCTGCCAACATTCTCTCATGTTTAGCAGCACAAAATGGAAATTTCCATATCATAAGATGTAAAAACCAAGGCATAATACTTAAGATCAGAGTATATAGAGAGTATATGTAAAGAATACTAGAATTTTCCAACACTTGTATGAGTGAATTCTTATCCCCACCACTTTCCAGCATATCATACTTCTTCACATCTTTTGACAATAAAATTCAGGGAAACCTCTAATGTATGGGACAATTTTCAAAAATAGTCTAAAATAAAGCAAAGAGTCTTTCAAAATATTATTCATTTAAGATAGTCAAATTTTTAGTGTCTGCAGAGAACAACAAATGATATAACTGGATTATATACACTACAGTGCCATATTTTTGCAGCACGAGTCCTACTTGTGTTTTTTTTTTTTTGAGGCAGAGTCTTGCTTTGTTGCCCAGGCTGGAGTGCAGTGGCATGATCTTGGCTCACTGCAACCTCCGCTGACCAGGTTCAAGTGATTCTCCTGCCTCAGCCTCCAAAGTAACTGGGATTACAGGCGCCCGCCACCATGCCCGGATAATTTTTTTTGTATTTTTAGTAGGGACAGGGTTTTACCATGTTGGCCAGGCTGATCTTAAACTCCTGACCTCAGGTGATCTGCCTGCCTCGGCCTCCCAAAGTGCTGGGATTACAGGCAGGAGCCACCGCACCCAGCTGTATTCTTCTTCAAGTTAGAGAAGTACACCTGCTCTCAAACTTTTCTCATTTAACTTCCAGGACACTGCACTACAGCTTTTCAGCTGGTTCCTCCATCAAACTCTTCTTAATATCTTTTGTCAAACTTTACTAATATTTTTCTACCTTTTTCTTTATCTTTTTTTTATTTTGAGATGAAGTCTAGCTCTGTCACCCAAGCTGGAGTGCAGTGATGCAATCTCGGCTCACTGCAAACTCCACCTCCTGGGTTCAAGTGATTCTCCAGCCTCAGACTCCCGAGTAGCTGGGATTACAGGCGCACACCACCATGCCCAGCTAATTTTTGTATTTTTAGTAGAGACGGGGTTTCACCATGTTAGCTAAGCTGGTCTTGAACTCCTGACCTCAGATGATCCGCACGCCTCGGCCTCCCAAATTGTTGGGGTTACAGGCATGAGCCACTGTGCCCAGCCTATCCTGTCTTTCATATAATAAATATACCTTTCATATAAATACAAAAAATAGAATACTAGGTTTTTTCTTTGATACACATTTCAGCTTATATACATATTGTATACACATATTTCAGCATAAAAATGAGATCTCACATTGTGTTTTTCCTACTAACTATCTCTATCTTCATCAAAAGATGATAAAAACACCTAACATTCAAGATGTTTTCTTTAGGATGGTTCAAGATGGGAGAAGTATAATTATTCTCATGCCCAAATTATTGTACCTTGTGTTTGTAGGGGACTCCTAAATTATCCATTTGGTTGTGTTAGCAATATTTTACTCACCTAACTGGCTGGTTCCCACATCTGCAAAGCCCATTTTCTGCAGTTTTTGGTACCTATAACATTCATAGTGCTGAGTGTGGGTTTTTTCTTTTAGATTTTCCATATTGGTACAAAGAAGCGTATCTCAGAGCTTAATGAAGTCACAGTGATTTTCATTTTCCACTAGTAAAAAAATAATAATGAATCAACCACACTCATTATCAATCCCTGACAATCATGAATGAATGAAATCATGAAATAATGAATGAATACATGAGTAAAAAACACATTTAAAACAACACACAACTGAACAATTTGATTAATAGCTATAATTCTTTAAACCATGTAAGTGTGGTTGTACTACACATACCAACTATAGGCAGAGATTATTTATAGGTTAGCAAATTTGCTTTAAAGTTATTACCTGAAGAATAAGCAGGAAAGAGTGAAATATTTTATATGTATATATGCTACAGGTTTTGGTTAACAATTGTGTTGTATGTTATAAACTACCTCTGGGTATTTTGGAGTGCTAACAGAATATGTAATATAACATCACTAGTGTAAATAATTTTATCAAAGTAAATTCTGCTAGCAAAAAGGCCTTACAATTATACATACTTTAGTTGGAAAGATATTCCATGCAATTAGAAACTAAAAGAGGGAGCACAGAGAGCTATATTCCCATCACAGAAGATAGACTTTAAGTCGAAAACTGTAAAGTGATATGAAGAAGGTCATATAATGATGAAGAGGTCAGTTCATTAAAAAAAATTGTAAATATATATGGACCCAATATCAGAGCTTCTAAATATATAAGGCAAATATTAACAGACCTGAGGGGGAGATAGACTATATTACAATAATAGTAAGAAACTTACATACCCTACTTTCAGAACTGGATAGATTATCCAGCCAGAAAATCAGTAAAAAAAAAATGTGAGATTTAAACTACACTTTAGACCAAACAGACCTAATGGACATATGTGGAATATTTCATCTGACAGCAATGTAATACACATACTTCTCAAACAAACCCAAGACATTCTTCAGGACAGATTATATGTTAGGCCACAAAATAAGTCTTAATATATTTTAAAAGACTGAAATAAAAATGTGAGTGCAGATGTCTTTTGACAGATCAATTTCATTCCACTAGGGTACATACCCAGAAGTGGTACTGCTGGATCATACAGTAATACTATTTTTAGTTTTTGAGGGAACGTTTATATTATTTCCCAAAATGGCTGTACCAACTTAAATTCCCACCAATGATGTTTAAGAATTCCCTTTTCTCTTGGGAATGTATATAAACTGCTGGTGGGAATATAAATTAGTTCAGCCATTATGAAAAGTAGTTTGATAATTTCTTTCTTTCTTTTTTTTTTTTTTTGAGACAGAGTTTCACTCTTGTCACCCAGGCTGGAGTGTAGTGGTACGATCTCAGCTCACTGCAACCTCTGTCCTCCTCTTGGGTTCAAGCGATTCTCCTGCCTCAGCTTCTCGAGTAGCTGGGATTACAGATATCCACCACCACGCCCAGCTAATTTTTGTATTTTTAGTAGAGACGGAGTTTCACCATGTTGACTAGGCTGGTTTCAAACTCCTGATCTCAGGTGACCCGCCCTTTTCAGCCTCCCAAAGTGCTGGGATTACAGGCATGAGCCACCGTGCCCAGCCTGACAATTTCTTAATGAAGTTAAAACAGAACTACCATTTGACCCAGCAATCCCATTACTGGGTTTATACCCAAAGGAATATATATTGTTCTACCATAAAGACATAGGCATGTGTATCACAGCACTATTCACAATAACAAAGACATAGAATCAACCTAAATGCCCATCAGTGGTAGACTGGATAGAGAAAACATACATATACACCATGGAATACTGCACAGCCATAAAAAAAAAGAACAAGATCGTGTCCTTTGCAGCAACATGAATGAAGCTGAAGCCATTATCCTAAGTGATGTAATGCAGGAACAGAAAACCAAATATCACATACTCTCTTTTATAAGTGGGAGATAAATATTGAGAACACATGAACACAAACAGAGGAACAACAGACACTGAGGCCTCCTTGAGGGTGGGAGGAGAGTGAGGATAGAAAAACTACTATGTTTTTCCTTTTTTTTTTTTTTTTTTTTTTTAGTATACGTGCTGCCGAAGCGAGCATTTTTTTTTTGTTTTTGAGATGGAGTCTCGCTCTGTTGCCGAGGCTGGAGTGCAATGGCACAATCTCGGCTCACTGTAAACTTGTAACCTCCGCCTCCCAGGTTCAAGAAATTCTCCTTCCTCAGTCTCTTAAGTAGCTGGGATTACAGGCGCACGCCACCATGCCCGGCTAATTTTTGTATTTTTTAGTAGAGATGGGGTTTTGCCATGTTGGTTAGGCTCAGGTGATCCACACGCCTCGGCCTGCCAAAGTACTGGGATTACAGACTCGAGCCACTGCGTCCAGCCAGTACTATGCTTATTATGTGTGATGAAGTAATCTGTACACCAAACTCCCATGACATGGAATTTGCCTACATAACAAACTTGCACATGTACCCCTGAACATAAATACAAATTTTTTTAAAAAAGAATTCTCTTTTCTCCATATGCTTGCCAGCACTTGTTATCGTTTGTCTTTTTGATAATAGTCATTCTAACAGACATGAGATGATACTTCATCATGTGTTTAATTCACATTTTCCTGATGATTAGAGATGCTATTTTTTTCATATTTCTTTTGGCCATTTGTGTTTCTTCTTTTGAGAAATGCCTATTCAGATCCTTTGCCCATTTTTCCTTGTGTTGTTTTCTTGCTATTGAGTTGTTAGAGTCACAGCAAAAGTATTGTATATTTTGGACATTAACCCCTTATCAGATGTATAATTTGAAAATATTTTTGCCAATCTCTGGGTTATATCTTCATGCTATTAATTGTTTCCTTTTGTTTTGTTGCTGGTGCTTTTGAAGTTCTTTTTTCAATTTTATTTTATTTGAGGCAGAGTCTCGCTCTGTCACCCAGGCTGGAGTTCAGCGGCATGATCTCAGCTCACTGCAACCTCTGCCTCTCAGATTCAAGCGATTCTCCTGCCTCAGCCTCCAGAGTAGCTGGGATTACCGGCACCCACCACCACACCGAGCTAATTTTTGTATTTTTAGTAGACGGGGTTTCACCATGTTGGTCAGGCTGGTCTGAAACTCCTGACCTTAGGTGATCCACCTGCCTCAGCCTCCCAAAGTGCTGAGATTACAGGCGTGAGTCACTGCACCCTGCCAGCTTTTGGAGTTCTATTCAAGAAATAATTGTCATGACCAATGTCATGGAGGTTTTCCCCTATGTTTTGTTCTAATAGCTTTACAATTTTAAGTATTGAGTTTAAGACTTTTATGCATTTTGAGTTGATTTTTGTGCATGCTGTGAGATAAGAGTCCAATTTTATTCTTCTGTGTGTGAATATCCAGTTTTATCAATACTATTTATTGAAGAGACCATACTGTGCCCAGTATATGTTCTTGGCACCTTGGTCAAAAATCAATTGACTATACTTAAGTTTATTTATGGGCGTTCTATCCTGTTATGTTGATTAATGTGTCTGTTTTTATGCCAGTGCCATGCTGTTTGGATTACAATTGCTTTATAATATATCTTGAAATCAAGGAGTACAATACTTTCAGCTGTGCTGTTTTCTGCCAAAATTGTTTTGACTATGCAGGGTTTCTTCTAGTTTTGTATAATTTTAGGATTTTTTTCTACTTCTGTGAAAAATGGCTTAGGAATTTTGATAGGAATGGTATTAAATCTGTAGAGCACTTGTGTAGTATGGACATTTTAACAATATTATTTCTTCTAATCATGAACATGGGGTAACTTTCTATTTATTTGTGTCTTCTCCAATTTTTTTTAAACACAAAACCAGCATGTATTGAAAGCAGGTATCAGCTCTGATTACAACAAATCAGCTTAGAGATACCATTACTCAGAAGAAAAATATATACAAAATATATATGTGTGTGTGTGTGTGTGTATAATATATACAATATACACAAAAATCTCAAAGAAAGGAGAACAAAAGAACTTAAAATAATTAAACTTGAAAGGTACTGTATTACTAAAATGGTCTTGTTGTAAAGTAATAACAAATACCACAATGAGCCCTACTTGAGAAAACCATGTGCCCTCAAGCCTGGGGGTGAGGACTCTAGTTCTCAAATTCTTAGAACACAGCACAGGATTCTCTGGGGCAGAGAGGCTGGCTGCAGCATGAGGGCCTCACTGTTGACTCCATTTAACAAAGTCCATGCCCCAGACACAGGCTAAACACAGGGAATGAGGCCACCAGGCAAATCACACCTGCCCCTGCCCCCATGAGCCCCATAAAAGAGAAGTGGTTTCTGAAATCTACAGACTTGGCAGGGACCACTGGGCCATAGATAGCTTAGAGAGAATTATTTTGTGATCAGTCACATAAAAACCCTAGAATCTAAGCCCTACAATTCCCTTATCCAAATTCCCACTGACTAGGGAGGTAGAAGAGTAAGACGTGGAAGCTGTCACCAAACCAGTATTTGGTCTTCTGTAAACAGGGATAAACATAAAACACTGTTTCAGCCAGGCACAGAGGCTCATGCCTGTAATCCTGGCACTACAGAAGGCCGAGACAGGTGGATCACTTAAGGTCAGAAGTTCAAGAACAGCCTGGCCAACATGGTGAAACATCGTCTCTAGTAAAAATACAAAAATTCACCAGGCGTAGTGGCACGTGCCTGTAATCCCAGCTACTTGGGAGGCTGAAGCAGGAGAATTTCTTGAATCTGGGAGACGGAAGTTGCAGTGAGCCAAGATCATGCCATTGCACTCCAGCCTGGGTGACACAGCAAGACTCTATTTCAAAAAAAAACCCAAAGAACAAAAAAACAAACACTGTTTCACAAGTGGGCTTCAAAGAACTACTGGACACAGCAGGTGAAAGATCCCAAAGTCCCATTGAGCACCTCCCACAGGAGGAGGAGGAGGAAAAGGAGGGGGAGGGGGAGGAGAGATGAGTGCCAGAGGGGAGATGTGCTTGTTCCCTGCTGAGGTTACTGCTGGGAACAGTGTACTGCTGGGAACTCTGTCTCAAAACAAACAAAAAAAACAAAACAAAAAAAAAAAAAAAAGAAAGAGGAACTGTGTTTTTTGCCATTACTTTTAATGCCATAACTTCTAATAGCAAAAACTGCAACTATTTTTGCACCAACCTAATAGTAAGTATACAGATACACATGGAATGTTATAACAAGCTTATTGTAGTGGGTAAAGCACTCATATCTGTAGTAGAAATACTAAAATGTAAACCTATCAAAAATGATAACTACAACTTTTCAAGACATAGACAGTATAAGATAGAAATAGAAAATTTTTAAACGTTAAAAAAGTGGAGGGATGAAGTTAAAGTGTAAAGTTTTTATTAGTTTTTTGCTCATTCATTAGTTTCTTTGTTCATTTATGCAATCAGTGATAAGTTGTCATCAGTTTAAAATAATGGGTTATAAGGTGCTATATGCAAGCCTCACGGTAATCTCAAAAAAAAATACAATAGATACACAAAAAATAGAAAGCAAGAAATTAAAGTATACCATCAGAGAAAATCACCTGGACTAAAAGGAAGACAAGAAGGTAGGAAAGAAAGAAGACAAGACCACAAAGTCACCAGAAAACAAATAACAAAATGATAAGAGTAAGTCCTTACTTATCAATAATAACCTTGAATGTGAGTAAATGGACTAAACTCTCCAATCAAGAAACACAGAGTGATTAGCTGGGCATGGTGGTGGGCATCTATAATCCCAGCTACTCGGGAGGCTGAGGCAGGAGAATCGCTTGAACCCTAGAGGTGGAGGTTGCAGTGAGCCGAGATTGTGCCATTGCACTCCAGCCTGGGTGACAGAGCAAGACTCTGTCTCAAAAAAAAACCAAAAACCAAAAAACAACAACAAAAAAAACAAGACCCAATGATCCGTTGCCTACAAGAACACACTTAAAAAGACACAAATAGACTGAAAATAAAGGGATGGGAAAAGATAATTCCATGCAAATGGAAACAAAAACAGAACACGAAAATGTATACTTATATAAGATAAAATACATTTCAAGACAAAAACTGTAAAAACAGACAAGGAAGGTTCATTACTTATGAATAAAGGGATCAATTCAGCAAGAGGCCATAACAACTATAAATATGTACGTACCCAACATTGGAGCACTTAGATATATAAAGGAAATATTATTAGAGCTAAAGAAAAAGAAAGATTCCAATACAATAATAGCTGGAGACTTCAACACTCCACTTTCGGCATTGGACAGATCATCCAGACAGAAAATCAGCAAAAAAATCCTGACTTAATCTGCAGTATGGACCAAATGAACCTAAAAGATAGTTACAGGACATTTCATCCAATGGCTACAGAATGCGCATTCTTCTCCTCTGCATGTAGCATATTCTCAAGGATAGAGCATATGTTAGGCCACAAAACAAGTCTTAAACAATGCAAAATATGAAATCATCAAGTATTATCCCTGACTACAATGGAATAAAAGTGTAGATCAATAACAAGAGGAACTTTGGAAACTACACAAACACATGGAAATTAAGCAATATGTTCCTGAATGACCAGTGGGTCAATGAGGAAATAAAGAAGGTAATTTTAAAATTTATTGAAACAAATGAAAATGGAAATATAACATACCAAAACCTATGGGACACAGCAAAAGCAGTACCAAGAACAAAGTTTATAGCAATAAGTGCCTACATCAAAAAAAGTAGAAAAACATCAAATAAACAATCTAACAATGCATCTTAAAGAACTAGAAAAGCAAGAGCAAACTAAACCCAAAATTAGTATAAGAAATAATAAAAATCAGAGCAGAAAGAAATGAAATTAAAATGAAAAAAATACCAGAGATCAATGAAATGAAAAGTTTATTTTTTGAAAATATAAACAAAATCTGCAAACCTTTAGCCAGACTGAGAAAGAAAAAGAGTAGATCCAAATAAATAAAATCAGAGATGAAAAAGGAGACATAATGGCCAGGTGCAGTGGCTCATGCCTGTAATCCCAGCACTTTGGGAGGCTGAGGCAGGAGGATTGCTTGAGCCAGGAGTTTGAGACCATCCTGGGCAACATAGTGAGACCCCATCTCTAAAAATAAAAAAAGAGAAAGAAAGAAAAAGGAGACATTACAACTGAGGCTGCAGAAATCCAAAGGCTCATTAGAGGCCACTGTGAGCCACTATATGCCAATAAATTTAAAAACATAGAAGAAATTGATGAATTCCTAGACATATACATACTATCAAGATTGAACCATGAAGAAATTGTAAACCTGAAGGACAAGTAACAAGTAATGAGACCAAAATCATAATAAGAAGTCTCCCAGCAAAGACAAGTCCAGGATCTGATGGCTTCACTGCTGAATTTCAGCAAACATTTAAAGAACCAATACTAATTCTACTCAAACTATTCTAAAACATATAGGAGAAGGGAATAAATCAGATCTCATTCAACAAGGCCAGTATTACCCTGATACCAAAACCATAGAAAGACACATCAAAACAAGAAAACTCCAGGCCAATATCTCTGAGGAACATTGATGAAAAACCCCTCAAAAAATACTAGCAAACTGAATTCAACAACACATTAAAAATCCTTCACCACAACTAAGTGGGATTTATCCCAGGGATGCAAAGATGCTTCAGCACACACAAATCAATCAATATGGTACATCATATCAGTATGGTATCATAATGAAGGACAAAAACCATATGATCATTTCAATTGATGCTGAAAGGGCATTTGATAAAATTCAATATCCCTTCATCATAAAAAAATTCAAAAAACTGTGGATAGAAGCAACATACCTCAACATAATAAAAGCCATGTATGGCAGACTCTCAGCTAGTATCATACTGAATGGGAAAAAACTTAAAGCTTTTCCTCTAAGATCTGGAAAATGACAAGGATGCCCACTTTCACCACTGTTATTCAACTGGAAGTCCTAGCTAGAGCAATAAGACCAGAGAAAGATATAAGGGGGTTCCAAATTGGAAAGGAAGAAGTCAAATTATCCTTGTTTGCAGATGATATGATCTCCTATGCAGAAAAACCTAAAGACTCCACCAAAATAAAACTATTAGAACTGATAAACAAAATTAATAAAGTTACAACATACAAAATCAACCTACAAAAATCAGTAGCATTATTATATGCCAACAGTGAAAAATCTGAAAAAAACTAATCCAATTTACAATAGCTATAAATAAAATAAAATACCTAGAAATAAACATGACCAAAGAAATGAAAAATCCCTACAATGAAAACTATAAATACTGATGTAAGAAATTGAAAAGGATGCAAAATAATGAGAACATAGTTCATGTTCATGGATTGGAAGAATCAATAATATTGTTAAAATGTCCATACTACCCAAAGCAATCTATAATAGATTCAATGCAATACCTGTCAAAATATCAGTGACATTCTTCAAAGAAAAAGAAAAAACAATCCTAAGATGTATATGGAACCAAAAAAATACTTAAAGCAATTCTGGGCAAAAATAACAACACTGGAGGAATCGCATTACCTGACTTCAAATTATACTACAAAGCCATTAGTGAAACAGCATGGTACCAGCATAAAAACAGACACACAGACCAATGGAACAGAATAGAGAACCCAGGAATAAATCCATACAGCCACAGAGAACTCATTTTCAACAAAGGTGCCAAGCACATACACTGGGGAAAGGATAAGCTCTTCAATAAATGGTGTTGGGAAAACTGGATATCCATATGCAGAAGAAATAAACTATTATCTTTCACCACATACAAAAATCAAATCAAAATGGATTAAAGACTTAAATGTAAGACCTCAAACTATGAAACTACTATAAAAAACATTGGGGAAACTCTTCAGGATGTTTATTGAGTAATACCCCACAAGCACAGGCAATCAAAGCAAAAATAGACAAATGGGATCATCTCAAATTAAAAACCTTCTGCAAAACAAAGGAAACAATCAACAAAGTGAAGAGACAACCTACACAATGAGAAAATATTTACAAACTATTTATCTGACAAGAGATTAATAACCAGAATATATTTAAGTAACTCAAACAACTCAATAGGAAAAAATCTAATAATCCAATTTAAAATGGGCAAAAGATCTGAATAGACATTTCTCCAAAGAAGACATAAAAATGTCTTCTTTTGTCTTATTGATAATAGCCGTTTTAACATGTGTGAAGTAACTGCTCATTGTGGGTGTTTTAAAATGCCGAACAAGCAAATGAAAAGGTACTCAACATCACTGATTACCAGAGAAAGGCAAATAAAAACTACAATGAGGTATCATCTCACCCCAGTTAAAAAAGCTTTTATCCAAAAGACAGGCAATAACAAATGCTGGTGAAGGTGTGGAGAAAAAGGAATCCTTGTACACTGTTGGCAGGAATGTCAATCAGTACAGTCTTTACGGAAAAAAGTATGGAGTTTCCTCAAAAAAACTAAAAATAGAACTACCATATGATCCAGCAATCCCACTAGTGGGTATATACCCAGAAAAAAGGAAAGTAGTATATTAAAGAGATAGCTCCACTCCCATGTTTGTTACAGCAGTATTCACAATAGCCAAAATTTGAAAGCAACCTAAGTATCCATCACCAGATGAATGAATAAAGTAAATGTGGTACATATACATGATAGAGTACTGTTCAGCCTTAAAAAATAATGAGATCCCGTCATTTGCAACAACATGAATGGAACCGAGGATATTATGTTAAGTGAAATAAGACACGGGAAGACAAATTTCACATGTTCTCACTCATTTGTGGAGCTAAAAATTAAAACAATTGAACCCATGGGGATAAAGAGAGGAATGTTTATTACCAGAAACTAGGAAAGGACTGGGGAGGAAGAGACGTGGGGATGGTTGATGGTACAAGTAAATAGTTACATAGAATGAATAAGATCTAGTATTTGATAGCACAGAAGGTGACTACAGTCAACAATAATTTATTGTACATTTTAGAATAACTAAAAGAGTATACTTGGATTGTTTGTGACACAAAGAAAGGATAAATGCTTGAGTTGATGGGTACTCTATTTACCCTGATGTGATTACTACACACTGAATGCCAGTATCAAATATCTCATGTGCCCTATAAATACTTACACCTACTATGTATCCATAAAAATTAAAAATTAAAAAACAAAGGCCTGGTGTGGTGGCTCATGCCTGTAATCCTAGCAGTTTGGGAGGCTGAGGCAGGCATATCACCTGCGGTCAGGAGTTTGAGACTAGTCTGCCTAACATGCCAAAACCCCATCTCTACTAAAAATACAAAAAAAAAATTACCTGGGTATGGTGGCATGTGCCTGTAATCCCAGCTACTAGGGAGGCTGAGGAAGGAGAATTGCTTGAACCCAGGAGGCAGAGGTTGCAGTGAGCCGAGATCACACTATTGCACTCCAGCTTGGGCAACAAGAGCTAAACTCCATCTCAAAAAAAGAAAAAAATTAAAACACAATAAGCTGTTACTTCACCCATGCTAAAATGACTATTATCAATAAGACAAACAAGTGCTGGTAAGGATGTGGAAAAAAGGGAACCCTTGTACACTGTTGGTGGCAATGTAAATTAGGACAGCCATTATGAAAAACAGTATGGAGCTTCTTCAAAAAATTAAAAATAAAACAACTACCATATGATCCAGCAATCACACTACTGGATATATATACCTCCCCAAAATGAAGTCAGTATGTCAGAGAGATACCTACACTACCATTACTCACAAGAGCCAAGATATGGAAGCAATCTAAGTGTCCATGAATGGATGCATGAAGAAAAAATGTGTGGTATATATATGCAATGGAATACTATTCAGCCTTACAAATCAGGAAATCCTATCATTTGCAGCAACATAGATGGAACTAGAGGACTTTACACTAAGTGAATATGCCAAGCACAGAAAGACAAATAGTAAATGATCTCACTAACATATCAAATTTTTAAAAGTTAAACTTATAGAAACAGAGAGTAGAATGCTGGTTACATGAGTTAGGTAGAGGGTATAGTAGGAGAGATGTTAGTCAAAGGATACAAACTTTTAGTTAGATAAGAACAAGTTAAAGAGATCTATTGCACAACATAGTGACTGTGTTAATAACAATATTTTATACTCTTGAAAATTGCTAAGATAGATGTTAAGCTTTCATCACAAAAATAATTGAGATAACACATGTTAATTATATCAATTTAGCCATTCCACAATGTATATGTATTTCAAAACATCATGTTGTACATGATAAGTACATACAATTTTATTTGTCAATTAAGATTAATTAATGAAAAATAATTTGTATGGCTCTCTCCTGTGTTTATCATGTCCAGAAGATTGATAATATATGGTTTATTGTGATTAATACTATGACCAAATTTTATACATCAACATATAGTACAGATATATATTTTATAACACATACTAATATATAATACAACATAATATATATTAAAACATTAAGTTTATATATTAAAACATTAAGTTAAACAAAAGTTTAACAAATTTTAAAATTTTTAATATGTCATTTTTTGAAAAACATCATTTGGGGCTGGGCATGGTGGCTCATGCCTATAATCCCAGCACTTTTAGAGGCCAAGGCAAGTGGATCACCTGAGGTCGGGAGTTTGAGATCAGCCTAATATGGTGAAACCCTGTCTCTACTAAAAATACAAAAATTAGCCAGGTGTGGTGGCAGGCACATGTAATCCCAGCTACTCAGAAGGCTGAGGCAGGAGAATCACTTGAACCTGGGAGGCGGAGGTTGCGGCGAGCCAAGATCGTGGCACTTGCACTCCAGCCTGGGTGACAAGAGAAAAATCTGTCTCAAAAAACAAACAAAAAAACCAAAAATATCATTTGGAAACCAGTACAAGTAGAAATCTTCCATTCCCCAATAATTAGTACCATAACTATATGAACAAGATAATAAATTACTGCTTACTACACTATTCTAACTCATTATGATGCTAAATAATAATATAAATGTCAAAGGTATAATCTTTAGCCAAAGGTAAATTGTACTTTGTTTTAAAAAGTTTATCACTCTTTTTTCTAGTGACCAGTTTAAAATGGTTTCTACATTAGCTAGCAATGAGTTTATGCAACACATCTACACACTAGTATTTTTGCTTCCATTTTGTTTAAAGTGCTTTCCAGCATTCTCAATGTCATAATTTATACAAAGACAGATAATATGCACGTGGCACATTGGGAGCATTGGGATAAACAAAGAGGTTCTTCCCAGCCTCTGGAGATTTTGGCTTAAAGCAGCGTTCAGCAGACTTCTATGAGAATGAGTCATTGTCACAGTAAGCATTAATTTACATAAAACAGAGTTTGCATTCCTCATTAGTAATTGTTAACTTACAGATTAGCAAGAGTTACCAATATTAGCTCAATTTAAAATGTTACTTTGAGACTACAAATGATACACATATATTTAACTTAATCATTCCAGAGTCTGCCCTCCTTCATATTTACCTTGCAAAACTCCCCAAGGGTAGTAACAGCCTCTGACCACCCTTTTTCCAACTTTCACTTCAACCATACTCCCTACCACAGCAAACGGTAACAGTCCCTAGAAAACAAGAATGATATGAATTGAATTCTCTAGCACCAATAAAGCTTACTATATTACTCTCACTCCTGTTATAAAAATGACAGCGATGACAATATTGTAATAAATTTAATTAGGGATCTACCCTGTGTCTCATTTTAAGACTTGACAGTATGCGCTAATTGGTTTCTGTCAGCATCAGTCTCAGGCTGTGCACACAATTGGAAACTGTCTACTAAGCAGAGCCTAAAGCAAGGTATCCTGCTGTAGGAAACACAAAGAAAAAGGATTTTTAGTAGACATCATTTTTCTCACACTATCTTTACCCTGAACCATCTTCACCCTGAACCATCTTTACCCTGAATGTTGAAGAAATAACATGCAAGTAACTTTTAACTCTGGTATAAAAGTTAAAAGACAAAATATTAAAAATCACTACCACTATTATAATAATTGATGGATACAATATAAAATGTATTAATAAGCAATACTCTATATGTCTCAATAAATTATGTTTATTTTTTGAGACAGAGTCTGACCCTGTCACCCAGGCTGGAGTGCAGTGGCATGAGCTTGGCTCACTGCAACCTCCACCTTCCAGGTTTGAGTGATTCTCTTGCCTCAGCCTCCGGAGTAGCTAGGATTACAGGCGCCCGCCACCACAACTAGCTAATTTTTGTATTGTTTAGTAGAGATCGAGTTTCATCATGTTGGCCAGGTTGGTCTTGAACTCCTGACCTCAGGTGATCCGCCCACCTTGGCCTCCCAAAGTGCTGGGATTACAGGTGTGAGCCACATGCCCAGCCAAAAGAATTTTTTAAATTTTACAGTACTTAGCATTTAAATTCAGAAATCTATTTAGTGTTTGAGGTATCTTAAAATAAAGGTGGTGTAAATCATAGGAAAAGAGAAATGGAAGAAATGGAATTAACAGTTAGTTACAGTTACCTGTTACATTCTAGACTCCGTGTGTCAGATCCTGACACTTACACTTCAAGAAAAAAAAACCCTTAATAGAGATGTCATTGATCCCATAGCATAGATAAGTTAACAGTCTCAGGGAAGATGAGTGAATTGTTCAGGATCTTTTGGCTTTTAAGCAGAGAAGCTAGGATGGAAATCTAAATCTATATATATATACTTTCAAAATTTATCATCTTTTGGCTGGGCATGATGTCTCATGCCTATAATCCCAGCACTTTGGGAGGCCAAGGTGGGTGGATCACCTGAGGTCAGGAGTTCAAGACCAGCCTTGCCAACATGATGAAACCCCATCTCTACTAAAAATACAGAAATTAGTTGGGCGTGGTGGTGGGCACCTGTAATCCCAGCTACTCAGGAGGCTGAGGCAGGAGAATTGCTTGAATCCAGGAGGCAGAGGTTGCAGTGAGCTAAGATTGCACCATTGCACTCCAGCCTGAGCAACAAGAGTGAGACTCCATCTCAAAAAAAAATCATCTTTCAAATTTTAAGCTAATATTTTAGGCATTTACTAGCATAAAATATTTACACAAATAAAGAGTTTAGTCATCTTTACTACTGCCCTGATTCTAAAACCAGAGACAATACAGCATTCTGCATCCAAGCCCCATCTACTGTTTTTGAGGCTAAGTCCTTGGCAAGTGCATTTGAGAGTTGGAGGCTCCCTTTTACCACTCAAGACCTACTTGTGAAATAGGGGCCCTTCCTTGTATGCAGAAAACAGAGAAGATGGGGGCCCTGACCAACCTTGCCTAGTTCATGAGGCAGTGGCTCATTGTGTGGGGAAGCAATCCAAAGAACCTCAGACTGCTGCTCCTCCACAATGAGCTCTCAGTTGCCAGAAGTGCCTGAAGCTTCAGGGTCGGGGGGTAACCTGCCATTGTTTCCACCCACAATTCCAGAACCCTGTCTCAGAGATTTTGGCTTGGAGAGGAAACAGGCCAAGAAACAGAGAAAACCCATCCAAAAATTTAAATGTAATCCCAAGGGACCTGAATAGCCAAAAAAATATTGAAAGACCAAAGTTAGAGATCTCACACTTCTAGAATTCAAAACACATTACAAAGGTACAGTAATCAAAATAGTTTGGGAGTAGCATAAAGACAGACATGTAGACCAATGGAATCAAATACAGAGTCCAGGGTTAAACCTCCCTTACCTATTCTTCTGTTGATGGACATTTGGGTTGCTTCCATCTCTCAGCTACTGTGAATAATAATGTGATTTATATGCTTTACAAATATCTAAGTAAGTCTCTACTTTCGATTCTTTCAGATATATACCCAGAAAGAGGATTGTTAGATCATATGGTAATTTTATTTTCAATTTTGGAGAAACCACCTGTATTAGTCTATTTTCATGCTGCTGATCAAGATATACCTGAGACTGGGAAGAAAAAGAGGTTTCATTGGACTTACAGTTCCACGTGGCTGGGGAGGCCTTAAAAGCGTCATGGGAGGTGAATGGCACTTCTTACATGGCAGCGGCAAGAGAAAATTGGAAGAAGCAAAAGCAGAAACCCCTGATACATACATCAGATCTCATGAGACTTATTCACTATCATGAGAATAGCACGGGAAAGACCTGCCCCCCACGTTTTAATTATCTTCCACTGGGTCCCTCCAAAAATACGTGGGAATTCTGGGAGATACAATTCAAGTTGAGATTTGGGTGCAGACACAGCCAAACCATATCACCACCTTACTGTTTTTCATAGTGGTTCTAGATGAGAAAAACTGTAAAACACTATTGAAAAAATCAGGGACAGGCCTGGTGCGGTGGCTCATGCCTGTAATCCTAGCACTTTGGGAGGCTGAGGCAGGTGGATCACCTGAGGTCTGGAGTTCAAAACCAGCCTGGCCAACATGGCGAAACACCATCTCTACTAAAAATACAAAAAAAAAAAAAGGAAACCCTCAGGGACTATCTAAATAAATGGAAAGACATTCCATGTACATGGATAGAAAGACTCAATATTGTCAAGATGACAATTTTCCATAACTTAACCTATGGATTCACCACAATCCCAGTCAAAATTTCACCAAATTATTTTGTGAATAACAAATAATAAATAATATGTAATAACAAACAAATAATAACAAACTAACTCCAAAATTTATATGAAAAGGCAAAAGAACTAGAATAGCCAACACAATACTGAAGAACAACAATTTACTACAAAGCCATAGTAATTAAAACAGCATGGCATGGACAAAATAACAGACAAACAGATCAATGGAACAGAGTAGAGAGCCCAGAAATATGCCTACACAAATAGAGTCAATTGATATTTGACAAAGAAGCAATGGGAATTCAATGGAGAAAAGATATTCTTTTCAACAAATGGTGCTGGAACAGGATATTCACATGCAAAAATAAGAATCTATAAACAGACCTTACGTATTTCACAAAATTAACTCAAATTGGATCATAGACCTAAATGTATAGCATAAAATGATAAAATTCTTACAAGATAATGTAGAGTCCCAATTAGGGAAGGGGAGTCAGGCTTGTGGGAGCAGAGGAAAGAAAAAAAAAAAGCAGATAAGCTACAAGTATGCCTTTCTTCATAATCCAGAACACACAGCCCTCCTGCACAAATAACTCACAATCTTCCTGTGTCTAGGTATCAGTAGACCCTTGGCTGATACAAAAAGTTGCAAGTTAAGTCACTGCCACTGATAGTGGCAGGAGGTGGACAAATGCCTAGGCAGATAGGGGCAAGTTCCCAGGGAAATCCCACCTCCAAGCCAAAGACAGTTTAAAGCCTGAAAGCCAAGCTACAAGTCAAATCCATGGACTGGATTGAGAACCTGTCTTCCTGCTTGGTGCACTTTCCTCAGACTGATCCCCACCCTTCAGCTGTTTTACATATACCTATGCTTCCTAATTTTTTTTTTTTTTACATAGTTGTGCCCACCTTTGGGTGGTGCCTTTGTTTTAACCTTTTTGCATACTCACAAACCAATCAGCACGCACTCCCCTATTCTGAGTCCACAAAAGCCCTGGGCTTAGCCACACAAGGAGAGAAACCACCCCCAGGTCCCCTCTCCACTGAAAGCTGTTCCATCACTCAATAAAATTCCTCTCTGCTTTCCTCATCCTTCAATTGTCAGGGTATCCTCATTCTTCTTGGATGTGGGAAAAAAGCTCATGAATCGCCGATCTCAGGTAGAAGCTATAACACAGGCAGGCTAGGGCATGATAGCCCAGCCGGAGGCTGAGCCACTGTGCAAGCCAGACTGGGCCAAGTGGACGGGGAGCCTCCTGTGTGGCAGGTAGCATGCCCAAGCAAGGCCCAGGTGGGGATGTCACTGGCCAGACGTCCCTGGCTGAGAATGACTGAGGAATCCTGCATCACAACCTTGGCATTATCAGCACCATACAAAGCCCTCTTCAGCATACAGCCTAAGAACTATCCTATACAATCTCCAGCAATCCTTTGTTGGTTTGCAGTCAGCTTCTTTCTTGCAAGCTGCCCATTGCCTCCCTAGCAATGTATGTTTCTACTTTCTTTAATAAATCTACCTTCCTTACCTACAACAAGGTAAATTCTTTCTTTCTTTCTTTCTTTTTTTTTTAAGAGAAAATCTCACTCTGTCACCCAGGCTGGAGTGCAGTTGTGCAATCTTGGCTCATTGCAACCTCTGCCTCAACAAGGTAAATTCTTTTATGCCTGTGCCACCAGTCCAGGTAGTCATCACTACCTCACAACAGATAACATAAAAGGAAATATAGGAGACTTTGGGTTTAGCAATGACTTCATTGATGTAACACTGAAAACATGATCGATGAATAGAAAGAATAGATGAGTTGGACTTCATTAAAACTAAAACTTCTGGGCTGGGTGTGGTGGCTCATGCCTGTAATCCCAGCACTTTGGGAGGCTGAGGCAGGTGGATCACGAGGTTAGGAGTTCGAGACCAGCCTGGCCAACATAGTGAAACCTCGTCTCTATTAAAAATACAAAAATTAGCCAGGCATGGTGATGGGCACCTGTAATTCCAGCTACTCAGGAGGCTGAGGCAGAAGAATTGCTTGAACCTGGGAGGGGGAGGTTGCAGTGAGCCAAGATCACACCATTGCACTCCAGCCTGGGCGACAGAATGAGACTCCATCTCAGAAAAAAACAAAACAAAACACTAAAACTTCTGGTAGTCAAAGACACTGTTAAAGATAACAAGATAAGCCGCAGACTGAGAGAAAATCTCTGTAAAACACACACTTGATAAAGGACTGATGTCCAAAATATACAAAGAACTCTTAGAACTCAACAACAAGAAAATGAACAACCCGATTAAAAATGGGCACAAGATCCAAATAGCCACCTCAACAAAAAAGATATTCAGATAACAAATTAAGATGTAAAAAAGGTCCCAGCTACTCGGAGAGGCTGAGGCAGGAGAATGGCGTGAACCCGGGAGGCAGAGCTTGAAGTGAGCCGAGATCGAGCCACTGCACTCCAGCCTGGGTGACAGAGTGAGACTCTGTCTCAAAAAAAAAAAATACTGGTGGACAGTGGTGAATAATAGTTTTATATTCCTTTAAAAAATAAGAAAATGGTTGAACTAGTTTACAGTCCCACCAACAGTGTAAAAGTGTTCCTGTTTCTCCACATCCTCTCCAGCACCTGTTGTTTCCTGACTTTTTAATGATTGCCATTCTAACTGGTGTGAGATGGTATCTCATGTGGTTTTGATTTGCATTTCTCTGATGGCCAGTGATGGTGAGCATTTTTTCATGTACAAAAAAACAAACACCGCATATTCTCACTCATAGGTGGGAATTGAACAATGAGAACACATGGACACAGCAGGGGAACATCACAGTCTGGGGACTGTTGTGGGGTGGGGGGTGGGGGGAGGGGGGAGGGATAGCATTGGGAGATATGCCTAATGCTAGATGACGAGTTAGTGGGTGCAGCACACCAGCATGGCACATGTATACGTATGTAACTAACCTGCACATTGTGCACATGTACCCTAAAACTTAAAGTGTAATAATAATTAATTAATTAAAAAAATAAGAAAATGGATAAATTCCTGGAAACATAAAACCTCTTAAGACTGAACCAGGAAAAAATAGATACCCAAAATAAACCAATAACAAGCAATAAAATTGACTGAGTAATAACGTAATTTCAAACAAAAAAAAAAAAAAAACAAGAACAGATGGGTTTACAGCCAAATTTTGCCAGAAGTACAACGAAGAGCTGGTATCAATCTTACTGAAACTGTTCCAAAAATTTATGGAATTTTTGGATTGGAAGATAAATATCATTACAAAGACCTTACTAACCAAAGCAATCTACAGATTCAACACAATTCCTATCAAATTACCAACATCATTTTTCATAGGACTAGAAAAAGCGATCCTAAATATCATATGAAACCAAAAAAGCATCTAAATAGCCAAAGTAATCCTAAGCAAAAAGAACCAAGTCAGGGGCATCATGTGTCTGACTTCAAATTATACTATAGTGCTAATGCTATATACTAAATAAAACAGTATGGCATTGGTACAAAAATAGATAGATTAATGGAACGGAATAGAGAGTTCATTGTTAGGAAGGATACAGCTAAAAAAAGGACAAAAAATTGTGAAAGAAAAGAGAATAAAGAACCAGTAATAAAGCCACATGCCTACAACCAAGTGATCTTTGACAAAGTTGGCAAAAATAAACCATGGGGAAAGGGCATTCTATTCAATCAATGGTGCTGGGAAAATTGGCTACCCATAGGCAAAAGAATGAAACTGAATCCCCATCTCTTATCATACACAAACTTTAACTCAAGATGCATTAACGACTTAAATGAAAGACCAGAAGCTATAAAAATCCTAGAAGAAAATTTAGGAAAAACTCTTCTAGATATTGGCCTAGACAAATAATTCATAAATTAGACCTGAAAAGCAAATGCAACAAAACCAAATATACACAAATGGGACTTAAACTAAAGAGCACAGCAAAAGAAATAATCAACAGAGTAAACAGATAACCTACACAATAGGAACAAAATATTTGCATCTGACAAAGGACTAATATCCAGAATCTACAAAGAACACAAACAACTCAACATCAACAAAGAATAAATAACCCCATTAAAAAGACTGCAAAGGATATAAACAGACATTTCTCAAAAGAAGACATACAAGTGGCCACCAAACATATGAAAAATTGCTCAACATCACCAATCATCAGAGAAATGCAAATTAAAACCACAATAAAGGCCGGGCACAGTGACTCATACCTGTAGTCCCGGCACTTTGGGAGGCCAAGGTGAGTGGATCACCTGAGGTCAGGAGCTCAAGACCAGCCTGACCAATATGGTTAAACCCCATCTCTACTAAAAATACAAAAATTAGTTGGGCGTGATGGTGGGTGCCTGTAATCCCAGCTACTTGGGAAGCTGAGGCAGGAGAATCCCTTGAACCCAGGAGGTGGAGGTTGCAGTGAGCCAAGATCACACCACTGAACTCCAGCCTGAGTGACAGAGTGAGACTCTGACTCAAACACACACACACACACACACACACACACACACACACACACAATAAGATATCATCTTACATAGTCAGAATGGCTATTATTACAAACACAACAGATGTTGGTGTGGATGCAGAGAATAATGAATGCTTATTCACTGCTGGTGGGACTATAAATTTGCACAACCTCTATGAAAAACAATATAGAGATTTCTCAAAGCACTAAAAATAGAGCTACCATTTGACACAGTGATTATACTACTAGGCATCTACCTGAAAGAAAATATTATATAAAAAAGTCACTTTCACTCATATGTGTATTACATTCCTACTCATAATAGTAAAGTCATGGAATTAACCTAAATGTCCATTAACAGTGGACTGGATTTTTTAAATGTGGTATATATATACCATGGAATACCACACAGCCATTAAAAAAAATGAAATCATGCTCTGTGCAGTAACATGGATGGAGCTGGGGGCCATTATCCTAAGTGAAAATAACTCAGAAACAGAAAATCAAATACCACATGTTCTCACTTATAAGCAGGAGCTAAACAATGAGTACACAAGGACATAAAGATGGAAACAGTAGATAGTGAGACTCCAAAAGGGAGAGATTGGGAGGGGGCTGATGGTCAAAAAATTATCTATTAATAGTGAGATGTGATCACACCACTGCACACCAGCCAGGGCAACAGAGCAAGACTGTATCTCAAAAAAAAAAAAAAAAAGATCTGTTGGGTAAAATGTTTTACTATCTCAGGGATAGGTACACTAGACACCAAACCTCACCATTATGCAATATATCTATTTGATAAATGTGCACATACACCCTCTGAATCCAAAATAAAAAAACAAAGGAAGTTTATAGTAGCAAACACTTACATCCTTTTTAAAAAGATCTTGCCCACAAGTGGTGGCTCACACCTGTAATCCCAGCATTTTGGGAGGCTGAGGCAGGCGGATTGGCTGAGGTCAGGAGTTTGAGACCAGGCTGGCTAACATGGTGAAATCCCATCTCTACTAAAAATACAAAAAAAATTAGCAGGGTATGGTGGCGCACACCTGTAGTCGCAGCTACTCGGGAGGCTGACAGAGGAGAATCACTCTAACCTGGGAGGCGGAGGTTGCAGTGAGCCAAGATTGCACCACTGCACTCCAGCCTGGTGACAGAGGGAGACTTCATCTCAAAAAAAAGATCTCAAATAAACAACCTAACTTTACACATCAAAAAAAAACCTTAAACCAAAAATTAGTAGAAGGAAAGAAATAACAAAGATTGAGCATAAATAAATGAAATAGAGAATAAAAATTTTTTTTTAATCAGCCGGGCACAGTGGCTCACACCTGTAATCCCAGTGGATCTCTTGAAGTCAGGAGTTTGAGACCAGCCTGGTCAACATGGTGAAACCCTGTCTGTACTAAAAATACAAAAATTAGCCAGGCGTGGGGGCATGCTCCTGTAATCCCAGCTACTTGCAAGGCTGAGGCAGGAGAATCGCTTGAACCCTGGAGATGGATATGCAGTGAGCCAAGATCGTGCCACTGCACTCCAGCCTAGGCAACAGAGTGAGACTCTGTCTCAAAAAAAAAATTAATCAATGAAGCTAAGAGTTGATATGGAAAAATAAATCAAAATCAAAGCCATTACCTAGACTAAGAACAAAAAGAGAGAATATGTTAATAAAATAAGAAATGAAAGAGAAGACATTACAATTTATTACAGAAGTTTATTTCTTACAGAAATAAACAGAATTATAAGGGACTACTATGAACAATTATACACTAACCAATTTGACAACTTAGAAGAAATGGTGAAATTACTAGAAATACATAACCTACCAACACTGAATGGAGAATAGAGAGCTTAAAGAGACCGATAACAAATAGAGAATCTAAAGAAGTAATTTTCCAAAACTCCAAAACATAGCCTAGGACCAGATTACTTCATGAGTGAATTCTATCAAACTTTAAAAGAAAATTTAATATAAAACATCCTCAAATTCTTTGAAAAAATAGAAAAAGGAGGTAACACCTTCAGAGTCATTCTATGAGGCAAGCATCCCCCTGATATCCAAGAAAGAAAATATACTTCCAAGAAGAAAATTATAAGCCAATATCCTTGAGGAACACGGTGTATGAATTAAATCTAAATAAATCTGTTTACAAAGAATCAATTCTCAAAAGAAGTTTTTCAAAATAAAAAAATTAAAAAATTTTCACACTGGATTCTGGATAAAAACTCATTTATAGCCTCTTTGTCAGATATTGTTACTGAAACTTACATTAATTGAGGAGTTCGCTTGAGCAGCAGTTTCTTCATCTGCTGGGAGCTGATATATCTGGAGGCCACTGCTAATCAATTCACTCATTATCTTACTCTTTTTTTTTTTTAATGTTTTTTTTTTTTATTATACTCTAAGTTTTAGGGTACATGTGCACATTGTGCAGGTTAGTTACATATGTATACATGTGCCATGCTGGTGCGCTGCACCCACTAACGTGTCATCTAGCATTAGGTATATCTCCCAATGCTATCCCTCCCCCCTCCCCCGACCCCACCACAGTCCCCAGAGTGTGATATTCCCCTTCCTGTGTCCATGTGATCTCGTTGTTCAATTCCCACCTATGAGTGAGAATATGCGGTGTTTGGTTTTTTGTTCTTGCGATAGTTTACTGAGAATGATGGTTTCCAATTTCATCCATGTCCCTACAAAGGACATGAACTCATCATTTTTTATGGCTGCATAGTATTCCATGGTGTATATGTGCCACATTTTCTTAATCCAGTCTATCATTGTTGGACATTTGGGTTGGTTCCAAGTCTTTGCTATTGTGAATAGTGCTGCAATAAACATACGTGTGCATGTGTCTTTATAGCAGCATGATTTATAGTCCTTTGGGTATATACCCAGTAATGGGATGGCTGGGTCAAATGGTATTTCTAGTTCTAGATCCCTGAGGAATCGCCACACTGACTTCCACAATGGTTGAACTGGTTTACAGTCCCACCAACAGTGTAAAAGTGTTCCTATTTCTCCACATCCTCTCCAGCACCTGTTGTTTCCTGACTTTTTAATGATTGCCATTCTAACTGGTGTGAGATGATATCTCATAGTGGTTTTGATTTGCATTTCTCTGATGGCCAGTGATGATGAGCATTTCTTCATGTGTTTTTTGGCTGCATAAATGTCTTCTTTTGAGAAGTGTCTGTTCATGTCCTTCGCCCACTTTTTGATGGGGTGGTTTGTTTTTTTCTTGTAAATTTGTTTGAGTTCATTGTAGATTCTGGATATTAGCCCTTTGTCAGATGAGTAGGTTGCGAAAATTTTCTCCCATGTTGTAGGTTGCCTGTTCACTCTGATGGTAGTTTCTTTTGCTGTGCAGAAGCTCTTTAGTTTAATTAGATCCCATTTGTCAATTTTGGCTTTTGTTGCCATTGCTTTTGGTGTTTTGGACATGAAGTCCTTGCCCACGCCTATGTCCTGAATGGTAATGCCTAGGTTTTCTTCTAGGGTTTTTATGGTTTTACGTCTAACGTTTAAATCTTTAATCCATCTTGAATTGATTTTTGTATAAGGTGTAAGGAAGGGATCCAGTTTCAGCTTTCTACATATGGCTAGCCAGTTTTCCCAGCACCATTTATTAAATAGGGAATCCTTTCCCCATTGCTTGTTTTTCTCAGGTTTGTCAAAGATCAGATAGTTGTAGATATGTGGCATTATTTCTGAGGGCTCTGTTCTGTTCCATTGATCTATATCTCTGTTTTGGTACCAGTACCATGCTGTTTTGGTTACTGTAGCCTTGTAGCATAGTTTGAAGTCAGGTAGTGTGATGCCTCCAGCTTTGTTCTTTTGGCTTAGGATTGACTTGGCGATGCGGGCTCTTTTTTGGTTCCATATGAACTTTAAAGTAGTTTTTTCCAATTCTGTGAAGAAAGTCATTGGTAGCTTGATGGGGATGGCATTGAATCTGTAGATTACCTTGGGCAGTATGGCCATTTTCACGATATTGATTCTTCCTACCCATGAGCATGGAATGTTCTTCCATTTGTTTGTGTCCTCTTTTATTTCCTTGAGCAGCAGTTTGTAGTTCTCCTTGAAGAGGTCCTTCACATCCCTTGTAAGTTGGATTCCTAGGTATTTTATTCTCTTTGAGGCAATTGTGAATGGGAGTTCACTCATGATTTGGCTCTCTGTTTGTCTGTTGTTGGTGTATAAGAATGCTTGTGATTTTTGTACATTGATTTTGTATCCTGAGACTTTGCTGAAGTTGCTTATCAGCTTAAGGAGATTTTGGGCTGAGACGATGGGGTTTTCTAGATATACAATCATGTCTGCAAACAGGGACAATTTGACTTCCTCTTTTCCTAATTGAATACCCTTTATTTCCTTCTCCTGCCTGATTGCCCTGGCCAGAACTTCCAACACTATGTTGAATAGGAGCGGTGAGAGAGGGCATCCCTGTCTTGTGCCAGTTTTCAAAGGGAATGCTTCCAGTTTTTGCCCATTCAGTATGATATTGGCTGTGGGTTTGTCATAGATAGCTCTTATTATTTTGAAATACGTCCCATCAATACCTAATTTATTGAGAGTTTTTAGCATGAAGGGTTGTTGAATTTTGTCAAAGGCTTTTTCTGCATCTATTGAGATAATCATGTGGTTTTTGTCTTTGGCTCTGTTTATATGCTGGATTACATTTATTGATTTGCGTATATTGAACCAGCCTTGCATCCCAGGGATGAAGCCCACTTGATCATGGTGGATAAGCTTTTTGATGTGCTGCTGGATTCGGTTTGCCAGTATTTTATTGAGGATTTTTGCATCAATGTTCATCAAGGATATTGGTCTAAAATTCTCTTTTTTGGTTGTGTCTCTGCCCGGCTTTGGTATCAGAATGATGCTGGCCTCATAAAATGAGTTAGGGAGGATTCCCTCTTTTTCTATTGATTGGAATAGTTTCAGAAGGAATGGTACCAGTTCCTCCTTGTACCTCTGGTAGAATTCGGCTGTGAATCCATCTGGTCCTGGACTCTTTTTGGTTGGTAAACTATTGATTATTGCCACAATTTCAGAGCCTGTTATTGGTCTGTTCAGAGATTCAACTTCTTCCTGGTTTAGTCTTGGGAGAGTGTATGTGTCGAGGAATGTATCCATTTCTTCTAGATTTTCTAGTTTATTTGCGTAGAGGTGTTTGCAGTATTCTCTGATGGTAGTTTGTATTTCTGTGGGATCGGTGGTGATATCCCCTTTATCATTTTTTATTGTGTCTATTTGATTCTTCTCTCTTTTTTTCTTTATTAGTCTTGCTAGCGGTCTATCAATTTTGTTGATCCTTTCAAAAAACCAGCTCCTGGATTCATTGATTTTTTGAAGGGTTTTTTGTGTCTCTATTTCCTTCAGTTCTGCTCTGATTTTAGTTATTTCTTGCCTTCTGCCAGCTTTTGAATGTGTTTGCTCTTGCTTTTCTAGTTCTTTTAATTGTGATGTTAGGGTGTCAATTTTGGATCTTTCCTGCTTTCTCTTGTAGGCGTTTAGTGCTATAAATTTCCCTCTACACACTGCTTTGAATGCATCCCAGAGATTCTGGTATGTGGTGTCTTTGTTCTCGTTGGTTTCAAAGAACATCTTTATTTCTGCCTTCATTTCGTTATGTACCCAGTAGTCATTCAGGAGCAGGTTGTTCAGTTTCCATGTAGTTGAGCGGCTTTGAGTGAGATTCTTAATCCTGAGTTCTAGTTTGATTGCACTGTGGTCTGAGAGATAGTTTGTTATAATTTCTGTTCTTTTACATTTGCTGAGGAGAGCTTTACTTCCAACTATGTGGTCAATTTTGGAATAGGTGTGGTGTGGTGCTGAAAAAAATGTATATTCTGTTGATTTGGGGTGGAGAGTTCTGTAGATGTCTATTAGGTCTGCTTGGTGCAGAGCTGAGTTCAATTCCTGGGTATCCTTGTTGACTTTCTGTCTCGTTGATCTGTCTAATGTTGACAGTGGGGTGTTAAAGTCTCCCATTATTAATGTGTGGGAGTCTAAGTCTCTTTGTAGGTCACTCAGGACTTGCTTTATGAATCTGGGTGCTCCTGTATTGGGTGCATAAATATTTAGGATAGTTAGCTCCTCTTGTTGAATTGATCCCTTTACCATTATGTAATGGCCTTCTTTGTCTCTTTTGATCTTTGTTGGTTTAAAGTCTGTTTTATCAGAGACTAGGATTGCAACCCCTGCCTTTTTTTGTTTTCCATTGGCTTGGTAGATCTTCCTCCATCCTTTTATTTTGAGCCTATGTGTGTCTCTGCACATGAGATGGGTTTCCTGAATACAGCACACTGATGGGTCTTGACTCTTTATCCAACTTGCCAGTCTGTGTCTTTTAATTGCAGAATTTAGTCCATTTATATTTAAAGTTAATATTGTTATGTGTGAATTTGATCCTGTCATTATGATGTTAGCTGGTGATTTTGCTCATTAGTTGATGCAGTTTCTTCCTAGACTCGATGGTCTTTACATTTTGGCATGATTTTGCAGCGGCTGGTACCGGTTGTTCCTTTCCATGTTTAGCGCTTCCTTCAGGAGCTCTTTTAGGGCAGGCCTGGTGGTGACAAAATCTCTCAGCATTTGCTTGTCTGTAAAGTATTTTATTTCTCCTTCACTTATGAAGCTTAGTTTGGCTGGATATGAAATTCTGGGTTGAAAATTCTTTTCTTTAAGAATGTTGAATATTGGCCCCCACTCTCTTCTGGCTTGTAGGGTTTCTGCCGAGAGATCCGCTGTTAGTCTGATGGGCTTTCCTTTGAGGGTAACCCGACCTTTCTCTCTGGCTGCCCCTAACATTTTTTCCTTCATTTCAACTTTGGTGAATCTGACAATTATGTGTCTTGGAGTTGCTCTTCTCGAGGAGTATCTTTGTGGCGTTCTCTGTATTTCCTGAATCTGAACATTGGCCTGCCTTGCTAGATTGGGGAAGTTCTCCTGGATAATATCCTGCAGAGTGTTTTCCAACTTGGTTCCATTCTCCACATCACTTTCAGGTACACCAATCAGACGTAGATTTGGTCTTTTCACATAGTCCCATATTTCTTGGAGGCTTTGCTCATTTCTTTTTATTCTTTTTTCTCTAAACTTCCCTTCTCGCTTCATTTCATTCATTTCATCTTCCATTGCTGATACCCTTTCTTCCAGTTGATCGCATCGGCTCCTGAGGCTTCTGCATTCTTCACGTAGTTCTCGAGCCTTGGTTTTCAGCTCCATCAGCTCCTTTAAGCACTTCTCTGTATTGGTTATTCTAGTTATACATTCTTCTAAATTTTTTTCAAAGTTTTCAACTTCTTTGCCTTTGGTTTGAATGTCCTCCCGTAGCTCAGAGTAATTTGATCGTCTGAAGCCTTCTTCTCTCAGCTCGTCAAAATCATTCTCCATCCAGCTTTGTTCCGTTGCTGGTGAGGAACTGCGTTCCTTTGGAGGAGGAGAGGCGCTCTGCGTTTTAGAGTTTCCAGGTTTTCTGTTCTGTTTTTTCCCCATCTTTGTGGTTTTATCTACTTTTGGTCTTTGATGATGGTGATGTACAGATGGGTTTTCGGTGTAGATGTCCTTTCTGGTTGTTAGTTTTCCTTCTAACAGACAGGACCCTCAGCTGCAGGTCTGTTGGAATACCCTGCCGTGTGAGGTGTCAGTGTGCCCCTGCTGGGGGGTGCCTCCCAGTTAGGCTGCTCGGGGGTCAGGGTTCAGGGACCCACTTGAGGAGGCAGTCTGCCCGTTCTCAGATCTCCAGCTGCGTGCTGGGAGAACCACTGCTCTCTTCAAAGCTGTCAGACAGGGACACTTAAGTCTGCAGAGGTTACTGCTGTCTTTTTGTTTGTCTGTGCCCTGCCCCCAGAGGTGGAGCCTAGAGAGGCAGGCAGGCCTCCTTGAGTTGTGGTGGGCTCCACCCAGTTCGAGCTTCCTGGCTGCTTTGTTTACCTAAGCAAGCCTGGGCAATGGCGGGCGCCCCTCCCCCAGCCTCGTTGCCGCCTTGCAGTTTGATCTCAGACTGCTGTGCTAGCAATCAGCGAGATTCCGTGGGCGTAGGACCCTCTGAGCCAGGTGTGGGATATAGTCTCGTGGTGCGCCGTTTCTTAAGCCGGTCTGAAAAGCGCAATATTCGGGTGGGAGTGACCCGATTTTCCAGGTGCGTCTGTCACCCCTTTCTTTGACTCGGAAAGGGAACTCCCTGACCCCTTGCGCTTCCCAGGTGAGGCAATGCCTCGCCCTGCTTCGGCTCGCGCACGGTGCGCGCACACACTGGCCTGCGCCCACTGTCTGGCACTCCCTAGTGAGATGAACCCGGTACCTCAGATGGAAATGCAGAAATCACCCGTCTTCTGCGTCGCTCACGCTGGGAGCTGTAGACCGGAGCTGTTCCTATTCGGCCATCTTGGCTCCTCCCCCCATCTTACTCTTAAAAGTCTGTAAATCATTTTTAGAAATTGTGTCTGCTTTGGCAATCAGCGGTATAATGTTCACCTATTAAGACAAAAGACAAAATCTCAGCATCAAGGATTCCTTGTTCATCCTATAGTTTTTATAGTAAAGCCTTCACAAACTCTGACAACAAATTGTGAAACTAGATAATCACTGGCTGTCATGCCTTTCTTAAAAATTATTTTCCAAAGTTATCAATACTTTTGAAGATTCATCTTCTATCTAAATTCAGGTTTACAAGTCTCAACCTTGTTGCTCTTTTAAAAATCCCTTACACCTCTACACATATGGAGTTAGTAAAATGTAAATAGTAGGACAATGTAAATTATTTATTTTCAACTTTCTTATTAAGCTGAGTGATTAAAGACAAATTGAATGACATTTCATCAAAATTATGGAAGAGATTTTGTCTTTCTACTTTTTCCATCACTTTTTCCATCAATTAATCTTAATTAATGTCCCATTTTCACACACTCTTGCCCCACCTAGATGTGTTTGCAGATAGATTTGATTTTGTTTTCCAAAGGCCACCTAAAAAGAATTTTTTTTTTTTGAGACGGAGTCTTGCTCTGTCACCCAGGCTGGAGTGCAATGGCATGATCTTGGCTCACTGCAACATCCACCTTCCAGGTTTAAGCGAGTCTCTGCCTCAGCCTCCCGAGTAGCTGAGATTACAGGGGCATGCCACCACACCCTGTTGATTTTTGTATTTTTAGTAGAGATGGGGTTTCTCCATGTTGGCCAGGCTGGTCTCGAACCCCTGACCTCAGGTGATCTGCCCACCTCGGCCTCCCAAAGTGCTGGGATTATGGGTATGAGCCACCGCACCCAGCCTGATTACCACAGTCTAAAGGCTGTGTGTGTGTGTATGTGTGTATGTGTGTGTAAGAGCACTTTGCAAACAAATATACTCATTCTTTTGTAAAAAGATGTAATTTCCACATTGGAAGTTGAATAGTTGCATATTTGAGGTTGAATTTTTACCCACAACATTTTTTCCTAGTGCTTCAACATGATCACTGCTGTGTTTTGCATTTGCACTTAAATAAACTTTTTAGAAAATAACAATATACAAAATTATAAAATGTTTTATTACTGTTAAAACATCTTATTAAATTATAGCTCCACAAAATCAGTATCTGTAATACAGTACAAATATATAAATATAAATTTTAGGCAGACTGCTTTTGTTTTAGATTGCTCAAAGCATATTTTTCAAAAAATCCATGGACAAGCCAGGCACAGTGGCTCACGCCTGTAACCCAGCACTTTGGCAGCCCGAGGCGGGTGGATCACCTGAGGTCAGGAGTTTGAGACGAGCTTCGCCAACGTGGTGAAGCCCTGTCTCTACTAAAAATGCAAAAATTAGCTGGGCATGGTAGTGGGCACCTGTAGTCCCAGCTACTCAGGAGGTTGAGGCAGGAGAATCACTTAAACCCGGGAGGCGGAGGTTGCAGTGAGCCAAGTTCATGCCATTGCACTCCAGCCTGGGCAACAAGAGCAAAACTCCATCTAAAAAAAAAACATTAGCCAGGTGTGTTGGCAGCACCTGTAGCCCCAGCTGCTCAGGTGGCTAGGGTGGGAGGATCACTTCAGCCCAGGAAGTTGAGGCTGCAGTGAGCCGTGATCTGACAAAAAACAAAAACAAAGAAACAAAAAACAAACAAAAACAAAAACTCCATAACCTGACCTCCTCGCTATGAACAAAGCTAGATAGGACATCTCTTTTCTCCCACTGTCCATCACGAGGACTGCCACAGCACTCTGTAAGCTCCCTCATAAAGGCTTTGGACTGATCACCCTGGCATTTTAGTAGTTCGCCCTGTGGAATTCAGCCCTATCTCCGGACCATTTGGGGTACTCCTTTGTGGGAATTCCCCTGCACCACTTTTGGGGCAGCTCTAGCCAGCCTTGAATTTGACATGACATAACACAGTGATGGTAAATCATTAACATAAAGAAATGGAAACTTTTGGCTGGGCACGGTGGCTCAGGCCTGTAATCCCAACACTGGGAGGCTGAGGCGGGTGGATCACCTGAGGTCATGAGTTCGAGACCAGCCTGGCCAACAGGGTGGAACCCCATCTCTACTAAAAATACAAAAATTAGCCAGGCATGGTGGTAGGTGCCTGTAATCCTAGCTACTTGGGAGACTGAGGGAGGAGAATCCCTTGAACCCGGGAGGTGGAGGTGGCAATGAGCCAAGATGGTGCCACTGCACTTCAGCCTGGGCCACAGAGTGAGACTTTGTCTTGAAAAAAAAAAGAGAGAGAGAGAGAGAAAGAAAGAAAGAAATGGAAACTTTCTATGTCAATAATTCCTCAGGTGTTCAGATTTAAGAGGAAAGGCATTCATTGCAAGGAGAACAGACCAACTTGAAAAAGAAGACAAGCAGGGCATGGTGGCTCACACCTGCAATCCCAGCACTTTGGGAGGCTGAGACCAGCAGATTGCTTGAGCCCAGGAGTTTCAGACCCATCTGGACAATATGGCAAGACCCCTCTCTCTCCAAAAAATTAAAAATTAGCCAGGCGTGCAGGCACACGCCTGTGGTCCCAGCTACTTGAGGCTGAGGTGGGAGAACTCCTTGAGCCTGGACGATCAAGGCTGCCATGAGCCTGGTTCATGTCACTGCACTCCTGCCTGGGCAACAGAGTGAGATCTTGTCTCAAAGAAAGAGAAAAGAAAAAGACAGTAGCCATATACTCTTGCCTATCCCTTTATATAATGGTTTTGTGAAAATTAGAGATTTTATATTCTGGAAAATGGTTTGATGATAACAGATGAACATGAAATTAAAAGTGTGTATCCCAGTTGAGTGTGGTGGCTCATGCCTGTAATCCCAGCACTTTGGGAGGCTGAAGTGGGCAGGTCACCTGAGTTCAGGAGCTCGAGATCAGCATGAACAACATGGAGAAACCCTGTCTCTACTAAAAGTAAAAATAAAAAAGTAGCCGGGTGTGGTGGTGCAAGCCTGTGTCCCAGCTTCTTGGGAGGCTGAGGCAGGCCAGGCGTGGCGGCACAAGCCTGTAATCCCAGCTACTTGGGAGGCTGAGGCAGGAGAATCGCTTGAACCTGGGAGGTGGAGGTTGCAGTGGGCCGAGACTGTGCCACTGCACTCCAGCCTGATCAACAGAGTGAGACTCCATCTCGAAAAAAAAAAAAGTCCTATGCAGTATGAATCCACGTTATATGTATTATACAATATGTAATAAATATTATATATGCATATATAATATAGTACATGGTACGTATACTCTATCATTTACATATATGTGTATAAATATTTATATATCTATACAACCACATAAAAGGATAAACATTATATCCTGTCATATAAAGAATAAACATTTATCCACATAAAAGGATAAACATAATACCAAGTAGTATTGAACTCTTAATACGTTCCTTAATATACTCACATACTCTCCTACTCTATGTTCTATATGCCATTTAAGTCTTAAATTTATTTTATACAAAATCATATACGCAAAAGTGTGGATCTAACATGTGTACAATGCAGACAATAAAAATAAATAGGGCCAGGCATAGTGGCTCATGTGTGTAATCCTAGCACTTTGGGAGGCCAAAGCAGGAGGATAACTTTAGGTCAGGAGTTTAAGACTAGCCTGGGCAACATAGGGAGATACCATCTTTATCAAAAATAAAATAAAGGCCAAGCGTGGTGGCTCATGCCTGTAATCCCAGAACTTTGGGAGGCCAAGGCAGGCGGATCACCCGAGGTCGGGAGTTCGAGACTAGCCTGACCAACATGGAGAAACCCCATCTCTACTAAAAAATACAAAATTAGCCGGGCATGGTGGCACATGCCTGTAATCCCAGCTACTAGGGGGGCTGAGGCAGGAGACTTGCTTGAACCCAGAAGGCAGAGGTTGCAGTGAGCCAAGATCGCGCCATTGCACTCCAGCCTGGGCAACAAGAGTGAAACTGCGTCTCAAAAAAATAAAAATAAAAATAAAATAAAATAAAATAAAATAAAAAGTTAGCAGGCTAGGTGCCGTGGCTCAGGCCTGTAATCCCAGAATTTTGGGAGACTGAGGCAGGTGGATCACCTGAGGCAGGAGTTCGAAACCAGCCTGGCCAACATGGTGAAACCCCCTCTCTGCTAAAAATACAAAAATTAGCCAGGCATATTGGCACATGTCTGCAATCCCAGCTACTCAGCAGGCTGAGGCAGGAGAATGGCTTGAACCTGGGAGGCAGAGATTGCAGTGAGCCAAGATTATGCCACTGTACTCCAACCTGGGTGACAAGAGTGAAACTCCACCTCACAAAAACAAACAAACGAAAAACATTAGCCAGGCATGGTGACACATGCCTGTGGTCCCAGCTGCCATGGGGGCTGAGGTAAGAGGATTGCTTGAGCCTGGGAGGTCAAGGCTGCAGTCAGCTATGATTGTGCATCACTACGCTCCAGCCTGGGTGACAGAGTGAGACACTGTCTAAAAAAAAAAAAAGAAAAGAAAAGAAAAATTAAAATAAAAAGAACTTTCATGTACCCATTTCTCAGCTTTGGCTAGAACACAAACAAGACCTTTATGCTTTCCTTGATTGCAGGTCACCATACCCGCTTGGAAGTCTCTGCTATACTGAAATTTGCATTAACTCTCTTGCTTATGTTTATTCATTTTCTATGGTGGTTACTAAAACACGTAACATAAGGGCTATCCTCTTAAATTTGTAAGTGTACATTACAATATTTTTAACTATAAGCACAGTGTTGCACAGCAGACCTCTGGAACTTTTCAATCTTGCATAATTTAAACTTTATACTCATTGAACAGCAACTTCATTTTCCTCCACCCACCCCCAGCCCCTGGTAACCAGCATTCTACTTTCTACTTCAATGGGTTTGGCAACCTTAGATACCTCGGATTGGTGGAATTAGGCTATGTTTGTTTTTTCTGACTGGCTCATTCATTCACTTTGCATAATGTCCTCAAGGTTCATGCACGTCATTGCAAATGACAGGATTTCTCTCTTTTTATAAGGCTAATTAATATTCCATTTATGTATATGCCATATTTTCTCTATCCATTTATCAGTCGTTGGACATTTACATTACTTCCATGTATTGGCTATTGCAAATAATGCTTCCAAGGACGTGGGAATAAAAATATCTCTTCAGCATCCTGATTTCAATTTTTTGGAATAAATACTCAGAATCTGGGTTGCTGGATCTTATGACATGTTTTTTGAGACAGGATCTCATTCTGTTGGCTGAGTGCAGTTGTGTGATTATGGCTAACTGTGGCCTTGAATGTCTGGGCTCAAGCAATCCTTCTGCCTCAGCCTTCCCAGTAGTTGAGACTACAGGCATGTGCCACCATGCCTGGCTAATTTTTTTTTTTTTTTTTGGAGAGATTGGGTCTTGTTCTATTGCCCAGGCTGGTCTGGAACTCCTAGCCTCAAGTGTCTTTCTGCCTTGGCCTCCCAAATGCTAGGATTACAGGTGTGAAGCATTGCACCCATCCAAGAATTCTTGGATCATGAAATCAACCTAATTTATTTGAGATGTGTGGCCACTTTTAATACATTGCTGGTATCAATTTGCTATTATTTTGATTAATCTTTTTGCATCTATGCAAGTTCCTCATTTGATTCTTGCATGGTGTTGCATCAAGTTTATGCTAGATTCATAAAATAAATTGTAGAGTGCTGCTCTTTTTCCTTGTCCCTAAAATAGTTTGGATAATATTAGAATTATTTCTTTCTTGAATATTTTTAAACTTCGTGAATAAAACTTTCTCAGCTTAGTGCTATCTTTGTGAAAGTTCTTAAACTGTAATTTTCATTTTGTAAAAAGTTATTGGTTCATTTTGATTTTCTATTATTTCTAAAATATGTACGTTTCAAGTTTTCTCTTAGGTATTTGCTCATTTCACTAAGTTTTAATCCATTACTTTTTTCAAAAAAAGTTTTTACATTTTATTTGTGCTCTTCTTCTGGGACTCTAAGAACACAGATGTTAGAACTTTTGTTATTATTCCATGGGTCTCTGACACTGTCTTAATTTTTTTAAATTATTATTTTTGTTTATTCTCTTCTGTTCAGATTAATTTCTCATTATCTTTTTCCACGATCATCAATTTTTCTTTGTCTTCTTTATCTTGCTCCTGAGCCCCTTCAGTAATTTTTAGAGAATTTTGGTAGTTGCATAAAATTTTGATTCCATTCTTTTAAAATACCTTCTATTTTTCTGGTGAAACTTTCTCAATTTCATTCTATTTCAACAGTGTTCAATCTTACTTCTTGAAGTATAGTTATAACAGCTGCTCCAAAGTCTTTGATAATCCCACCTTCTGTGTCAACTTGGTATTCGTGTCTGTTGGTTGTCTTTTTAGCTTTGTGAGATGTTCAGATTTTTCTAATTATAAAAAATTAGAGGCCAGGTGTGTTGGCTCACACCTTTTATCCCAGCACTTTGGGAGGCCGAGGCAGGTGGATCACCTGAGGTAAGGAGTTTGAGACCAGCCTGGCCAATGCGGTGAAACCCCATCTCTTCTAAAAATACAAAAAATTAGCAAGGCCTGGTGGTGGAGGCCTGTAATCCCAGCTACTTGAGAGGCTGAAGCAGGAGAATTGCTTGAACCCAGGAGGCAGAGGGTTTAGTCAGCCAAGATTACACCACTGCACTGCAGCCTGGGCAACAAGAGTGACACTCCATCTCAAAAAAAAAAAATTAGAAATTTTAAAAGTTTTCTAATTTTCTAATTCTTAATGTGTTGAGTAATTTTTTATTGTATTCTGGACATCTTACACACTATGCTCTGTGAATCTGAGTCTTGATAAAATGCTATAGAGTTTTTTTTTATTTAACAGGTAGTAACCTTGCTAGAGTCAGCCACAAATTCCTACCGACCTTCTGTTTGCATTGGTTCATTCTAGTGCCAATTCTGTTTACAAGGCCCTTATAAGAGGTATTGAGATGTGTCCCACTGGTGCACCACCTAAGGGCCAGTTTGGGATTATGGGATTATGGGATCTGGGTAGAGTTCTAACCCATCCTTCAGTTCTCAAAAACTACAGTTTAGCATCAGATTTTATATATATATATATATATATATATATATATATATATATATATATATATATATATATATATTTTCTATCTATATATATAATAATAAATATATTCTATCTATATATAATAATATATATATTCAGTTTTCCCCTCCAATTTTAATACTTTCAAATTCTAGTGGTTCATTGAGATCTTTTTCAAATCTTCCTGATTATCTGTACATTCTCTTGTTTATCATTTTCAATCCACTTTTATTATTTTGATATATTCATTTTTATAGCGTTGCTCATAATCCTAGTATCTATAGTCTTTGTAGATCTGACTTTATACTTTGTTGTTTCTGTTGGCCGTTGTTCATAGTGACTTGTTTTCTTCAGAGATGTGTTTGTTTATTCCGGGTTCCAAGAGAATATACCTATGTGAGTTTGCTTTAACCTAACATTTTGAGTTGAAGTTTTCCAGGACATATATGTGGTATGAATTCTGGCCCAACTTTTCATTATATATTTGTCATCAGGGATTCTCAGAGGCTATGTTCTTTTTTCAGTCATTCAACACAGACCTAAGAAAAAAACCAATGAATTTGTCAACATTCATCTCTAGAGAACAGGATTTTCATTTAATGTATCCAGTGAGGGTTTCATTGCTCTAGGCCCCCTTCTCTATGACGAGGCTTCTGACCTGTCCTTCTGTTATGTTGGGACTTCAGACTTTGTTTACATTTTTGTGTGTATGTTTCTCTAACACCCATGATAGACAAACAGTCATCCTCAGGGAAAAAGCCAGCTTCAAAAACTGCTTATCATTCTTGTATCAATCTTTATTATTTTTTTTAATTTTTTTTTTTGAGACGGAGTCTCACTCTGTCACCCAGGCTGGAGTGCGGTGGTGCAACCTCAGCTGACTGCAACCTCCACTTCCCCGGTTCAAGTGATTCTTCTGCCTCAGCCTCCTGAGTAGCTGGGATTACAGGTGCATGCCACCATGTCCAGCTAATTTTTGCATTTTTAGTAGAGACGGGGTTTCATCACGTTGGTCAGGATGGTCATGAACTCCTGACCTCATGATCCACCTGCTTTGGCCTCCCAAAGTGCTGGGATTACAGGCATGAGCCACTGTGCCCAGCATCATTCTTTATTATTGTTTTTCACTTCCAACTTCTATTTAAGCTCAGCATACTTAAAATATGCTTTAGATATGTTGTTGAGCATTTTTAGGTGTTCTATATTAGGAGGTGCTTGTGTGTGTGTGTGTGTGTGTGTGTGTGTGTGCGCGCGCGCGCGCATGCTTGGTCTGATATATAGCTTTAAGTAAAAGTTTGTTCATAATTTTTTCCTAAATTCACTATAAAATAATGCTAATAAGCACACCAAATATCAGCAGTGGTTTAATTTTGAAAGTACTTATGAGTTATTTTTTCTTTAAGTTCTTTTAAATTTTCAGAAATTTAAAGAGGATCATTTGTTATTTTTATAATTAGAAAAAAGTTATGAAAGAAACATTATCACAAGGAATTACATGGTGTAAAGGCAGCAAAACAGGAAGTTAGCAATAAATAAAAGAATGAGATGAGAGAATTCTTCAAAAGAAGGAAATTGTTGAGCTGATTATAAAACTAGTACTCGAATTCTGTTAAGTACACAATGAAATTTCCAATAAATTACATCGCAAAGAAGTATATGTTAATTTTTTTTGTTAAAAGTAATTTGAAGTGTACTTCCCATACTTGTCCTGAATATAACCTTGACTAAATCTGACTTCATATAATTTTTGCAAAACTTAAATGAGATAATAGTTGAAAAATGCTAGCTCAGATGAAACACCCAGTTTTGAAAATTTTAGTAGCATTATATTATGGCAATAAGACTTAAGTAATGAAATGATAAAGCTTCTGGTTATTAAGCTGCTGATTGTATCAGAGTCAAATGGCATATACTTGTGTTTGAAATTCAGGTGCAGACTTTCAATATAAGAGAGTTCACTTTCCTATATTCCAGTAAACAGTATCCTAATCACCATCAATAGCATTTGTCAAGCACATGATATGGGTGTCAGTGTTTGCTAAGAGAGGGAAAGGTTATATAAGGAAGTATTTACCCTTGAATTTCAAATAATTGTTATGGGGATATGAAAACATAGACAATTCCCTTATGCAGCTCAGAATTTATTAGAGGCCAAACAATATAGACACAAGTGAAAAACAGAGTTGAGCTACATAATCTTTAAATATCTTGTAACTAGGCCAGGCGCGGTGGCTCACGCCTGTCATCCCAGCACTTCGGGAGGCCAAGGCGGGCGGATCACAAGGTCAGGAGATCGAGATCATCCTGGCTAACACAGTGAAACCCTGTCTCTACTAAAAATACAAAAAATTAGCCGGGCGTGGTGGCGGGTACCTGTAATCCCAGCTACTCAGGAAACTGAGGCAGGAGAATCACTTGAACCTGGGAGGTGGAGGTTGCAGTGAGCCGAGATCGCGCCACTGCACTCCAGCCTGGGTGACAAAGTGAGACTCCATCTCCAAAAAACAAACAAAAAGAATGAGAGAGAAAGCAGTTTCAGGGTTAATATGGCTAGGAAGCAGTCATCAGAGAGCTTAAAGTATTCTGTAGCAGTAGTTCTCAAACTTTATCACCTGTAAGGCTTGTTAAACCACAGATTGCACGGTTTTAGTCTCAGCATTCCTAATCTAGAAGGGCATGGGCAGGGTATAAGAATTTACATTCTAGGGCCGGGCACAGTGGCTCATGCCTGTAATCCCAGCACTTTGGGAGGCTTAGGTGGGTGGATTACTTAAGGTCAGGAGTTCAAGACCAGCCTGGCCAACACAGTGAAACCCCATCTCTACTTAAAATAAAATAAAATAAAAAGCTGGGTGTGGTAGCACGTGCCTGTAATCCCAGCTACTCGGGAAGCTGAGGCATGAGAATTACTTGAACCTGGGAGGGGAGGTTGCAGTGAGCCAAGACTGCACCACTGCTCTCAAACCTGGGTGACAGAGCAAGACTCTGTAAAAAAAAAAAAAATAGGTTTTACATTTTAACAGGTTTCCAAGTGATGCTGATGCTGATATTTCTGGTTCTGGGGCTGCACTTTGAGAACCTCTGCTCTTTAAAAAAAAAAAAAAAAAAAAAAAAAGGATGCCCTTTTGTGTAAATGGGTCTCTACCCTCACACCAATAGTCCCAGAACCATATCCAGAACGAGCTTATCTAGAACTAACTACCTATTGCAATTTGAAAACAAAGATCCCTACTCTCACTTCAAATAAATTAATCACATGTTACTCTTATTGGGTGATGGGGAGAGTAAGGAAGAGGAGAGTCCAGGACATAATTTGGGAGATGGAGTAATAGAGCCCAGGGAAGTCAAGAGACTTGTTCAAGCTCCACAGCTCATGGCCAATAGATAGTCTGTCAAATTTTCACTATATAAAATTGGCACAAAATGTGCCAAATCTGCATTTAGAACATTCGTTTCTGATTGCCATAGAGAAGACAGAACTAAATTCCAAGTAGAAATGATACTTAAGAGATCTAAATGCCAAAGGAACATTGGCGGTTTTTTTTGTTTTTGTTTTTGTTTTTTTTTTTGAGACGGAGTCTCGGTCTGTCGCCCAGGCTGGAGTGCAGTGGCGCGATCTCGGCTCACTGCAAGCTCCGCCTCCTGGGTTTACACCATTCTCCTGCCTCAGCCTCCCGAGTAGCTGGGACCACAGGCGCCCGCCACGACGCCCAGCTAATTTTTTGTATTTTTTAGTAGAGACGGAGTTTCACCGTGTTAGCCAGGATGGTCTCGATCTCCTGACCTTGTGATCCACCCACCTCGGCCTCCCAAAGTGCTGGGATTACAGGCGTGAGCCACCACGCCTGGCCTTTTTTTTTTTATTTTTTATTTTTTACATTATTGTTTTTCTGAAAGCAAGATATACTACTGAGCAATGGAGAAAAAAATTAGAAACAATAAAAGTGTTTATGATAATGGGAGAGAAACCCATTAAGAATTTTATTGGATAAGGATGACAAAATTAACTTTCCCTGTTTTCATTTTAGAATCACTGAACATTTGTGTTTCCATAATAAAAATAGCAATGAAAAGAAAATTGGACACAGCATTACCCTTTTCTCTCTGTGGGGTGGAGGAGGATGATTTGTCCTTCCTTGAAAGATGAGGAAGGCCTACCATGGGTTTAATTAAGGAGGACGTTGTATGCAGAAAAAGAGCAAGGCTTAAGGTATCACCCTGCAACTGAGTTCCCCATGTTGCATAGTAGTTATGCGCTTGGGCTCTGCACTTGGACTCTGCACTTGGACTATGTGATTTTGAATATTGCCATGGGGGCCCTCCATTTCAGAGCCCCTGTACCACCTCATCAACTCTTTCTCACGGTTGGAATAGCTCTGACTTTCTCTTTGCCTACTCTTTTAAATGAGTTTAAATGGTACGTGTGATTAGATTGTGCCCACCTGGGGAAACCTCCCTTTTGCTTAATTCAAAGTCAACTGTCTAGTGCAATAATTTGGTAGGGTGCCATCACAAAATACCAGAAACTGGGTGGTTTAAACAACAGAAATGTATCATCTCAGCAGTTCTGGAGGCTGAAAGTCTGAAATAGAGGCATCTGGTGGGTTGGAACCTTCTGAAGACTGTGAGGGAGAATCCATTCCATGCCTCTCTCCTAGGTTCTCCCAGCCTTATGCACTGACTTGTAGACAGCCTTCTCCCTGTGTCTTTACATTGTCTTCCCCTTACTAGTATCTGTCTGTATACAAATTTCTCCCCCTTTTAAAAATCAGGACATAAGTCATAATGGATTAGGGCCCACCCTAGTGACTTACCCCATCTTCCTATCTTAACTTGAACATCTGTCAAGACCCTATTTCTTTTCTTTTTCTTTCCTCCTTTTTTTTTTTTTGAGACAGAGTCTTAATCTGTCACCCAAGCTGGAGCACAATGGTGCCATCATGGCTCACAGCAGAAGTTCCAGGGTTCAAGTGATTCTCCTGCCTCAGCCTCCCGAGTAGCAGGGATTACAGGTGTGTGCCTAATTTTTGTATTTTTAGTAGAGAGAGGATTTTACCACGTTGGTCAGGCTGGTCTCGAACTCCTGACCTCAAGTGATCCACCTGCCTCGGCCTCCCAAAGTGCTGGTATTACAGACATGAGCCATTGTGCCCAGCCCATATTTCTAAATAAGGTCACATTCACAGGGACTGGGAGTTAGGAACTCAGCATCCTTTAAAACCCATAAGAATTAGTAACCTGAATTAATCTGCAAAATAAATGAGGAAACAGAGGCCAAAGAGGATAAACCACTATCAGATAGACTAGAACCCAGGCACGAGGGCTCGTTACTTCAGCCCTTCATCCTCTGCGTGTGTTCACAATCTCCATTTAAATATATATGTTGTATTAAGGACTACAGTAGTAATTTGGAGTTTGGGAAAATTTCATATCCTGCTTTGATGGACTGGAAGATGAGACGTGCTTTACGCAGAGCCTCTTCATCAATAGGTGAGTGGCTATGAAATGGGGGTAGGAACCCATAGGGAAGAAACTAGATGATCTGCTGAAAATGAGAAGAAAAATGAGCTACTGGACCTGCCAGCTGGCACCACTGCTCAAGTGGATTATGAACTGAATATAGAAAATATTAGGGAACAAAGAGTTACATGAATGTTCACAGCTGCTCTCCTCAAGTGCGTGACCTCTTCCCAAACACATTTTCTGAACGAATCACTCTCAGCAGGAAAGTGGTCTCTCTACTAGGAATAACAAACAAGACAGTCTCTACAGCTACTTGGGCAAAGAAGAGCTTTTCCATGGAGGGGTCTGCTCTTACCTATGTTTTGCAGAATGCTCTGCAGAGAAATACTCACTTTGTTCATGACTTGTCTAATTCCTGGAAAACATCAGCACTGTAATTTAGGATTAGAATCTGTTGAAAAGATGTGCCAGCATTAAAAAAAATTAAGAAACAATGCTGTGAACTTCAGACTTTCTGAGAAAGTCAGAATTATCTGGAATAATTTGGCCCACACATTTCCTCTCAATTGAGAACACAAGGTTTGGAATCAGGCCAGGTGACCTAGGTTATAGCTCTGGCTCTAACTAGATGACCTTGTCCAAGTTACTTAATGTTCATAAACCTCCATTTATCTATCAATAAACAGGCCCAATAATACATACATACCTCATGAGGATGCTGTGAAGATGAGATGAAATCCATCATCAAGGGATGTTAGCCAGAATCAGAATCCTCATCACCACTACATTCTCAAAGTCTCTTTTGATCCAAATTGAACATTTTCAGGAATAATTTTTAAAAATAAAATCTATCTTTTCTTTGTAAATTTGCTTTTTACTTTAATGCTTAATGTTTTGGTCAGTTGAATGAACTCTTTCAGCATCCTAAAATTATGTTAATATTCAGGAAAATATTGCTTACTAAATTTTTTTGGATTAGAAAATAGTGCATGAATGCAGTAAATTCTCTTGTCAGGACTGCAAGCTCACTCAATTGAAGGAATAGTGTTTTATTTTTCTTATTTATTTATTTATTTAGACAGAGTCTCTGTAGCCCAGGCTGGAGTGCAGTGGTGTGATCATAGCTCACTGCAGCCCTGAATATCAGGGTTCAAGTAATCCTCCCAGCTCAGCCTCCCAAGTAGCTGGAACCACAGATGTGTGCTACCATGCCTGGCTAATTTTAAATTTTTTGTAGAGATGGTGTCTTGCTATGTTGCCCAGGCTGGTCTCAAACTCCTGAACTTAAGTTATCCCCCAACCTTCACCTCCCAAAGTGTTGGAATTACAGGCGTGAGCCACCACGCCTAGCCAGGGAAAAGAATACTAAATGTGAACATCAAGAACCTTGATGTTATTTAACAACCTTGTCACTAGCCAGGGAGATGTCCTCCAGTGCCTTAAATCTTGGCTTCCTTATTCATCAGATTTAGTGACTAATGAGGCATAACGGAGTAAGCAACAAAGGACTCATAAAAGAAAAGGTCTCCATTTGGACAATTGCAAGAATGATAATATTTCTACATTGAAATATGGAATTTAGAAGAAAAAATGGCTTATGTAAAAGAAAAACTTTTTTTAGACATCGAGTTCAAGAACGAGTTTAAGAACAGAAATTTCTAGAAATTAGTTGGCAATCTACAACTGGATTTCAGCAGTAAAGACTGAAAACAAAATTAGGATAATCGCTTGGACAGAACATTTGACGTTATTAGAGTGAATGGTAAGTTTGATAAATTTATCGATATGAAAAGAACTAGATGGCCATAAATTATCTTTGGGAAGAAGAGTGGGAACTAGAGGAAGAGAGGTCAGGGGAGATTCACAATAGCCTATGCATCATTATAAATGTGCACATGTCCTGTGGTCAGGCAGTAATGTGTGAAGATACAAGTGAGTGCATGCAATGAAGAAATACAACTTTTGCTAAAACAACATGCTGATCAAAAAGAAAAATAAAAAGAAGGCTAGTTGCGGTGGCTCACATCTGTAATCCCAGCACTTTGGGAGGCCGAGGTGGGTGATCACCTGAGGTCAGGAGTTCAGGACCAGCCTGGCCAACATGGTGAAACCCTGTCTCTGCTAAAAATAAAAAAAATTAGCTGGGCATTAGTGGCACGTGCCTGTAATCCCAGCTACTGGGGGGCTGAGGCAGAAGATCACTTGAACCTGGGAGGCAGAGGTTGCAGTGAGCCGAGATCGTGCCACTGCACTCCAGCCTGGGCAACAGAGCAAGTCTCCATCTCAAAAAAAATAAATAAATAAAAGAAGAAGAAAAAGAAAAGAAAGACAAGAGAAAACCGTCTTTGGGCCTAACAAAGCACTGAGTAGGCATGAGGTTGGGGAGTCAATGTCCATTGAATTTAACCCTTAAGAAAATTTTTTGTGGCTTTCAACACTGCTGGTTCATTAGAGGAGCAGACAGGTTACAAACCATCTTGCTGGGAATCAATAGGAAAGTAAATGATGGGAAAGTAGAGAGAAATTCTATGAGTTTAGGTGTGAAAAGAAGGAAAGACTCCATATGGTAGCCAAAAGGAATGAGGAGGGGAAGGGAAGAGAAATATGGAATCTGCAGGGCTAGAGGGAAGGAAGCATATTATCAGGGAACGGTTTAGGTGAGATCACAGGGCACTCACATAGTCAAGTGGAGTTAAGCTTTGAAATGTTAGCCTAAAATAGTAATAATCTTTAAATATTTACTTATTTGGCAGAATGATTAGCTTAGAAGCAAACTCTTTGTTAAAAGCAACTTCTCTGTTTCTGGAATTCATCCTTATTATTCTAAATAAAGGTAGAGTGTAACTAGACTAAGTTATAATGTGTTGGTCTTAAAAGGTGTGATATTACCTTATTAATTTGAATGACTGGTGCTGATTTCCTCCAATTTAAAAATTTTGTTTAGCTAGTTCTAACAATCCCCAGGGAGTCTTGTTTTGCTTGATAGCTGCCTCTGATGCTGGCGCACAGTCACCTCTTTCCAACCTTCTGCATCCAGCCTTTATTTTTTTTATTTTATTTATTTTATTTTATTTTATTTTTGAGACAGAGTCTCGCTCTGTCGCCCAGGCTGGAGTGCAATGGCGCGATCTCGGCTCACTGCAAGCTCCGCCTCCCGGGTTCGCGACATTCTCCTGCCTCAGCCTCCCGAGTAGCTGGGACTACAGGCACCTGCCACCATGCCCGGCTAATTTTTTGTAATTTTTAGTAGAGACGGGGTTTCACTGTGTTAGCCAGTATGGTCTTGATCTCCTGACCTCGTGATCTGCCCACCTCGGCCTCCCAAAGTGCTGGGATTACAGGCGTGAGCCACTGCACCCGGCCAGCATCCAGCCGTTATGAGAAGGGGAGCTAACAAACTAATTAGACTGGTAGTTTAAAAAAATATCAATCTTGGTACATACCCAGGCCAAAAAGTCTTACATTTACCGAAACAGAACATTTGCGTCTGCCCAACTATCCAAGACTGTTAACCTCAGGCTTTTATCTCACACTTAAAAACTGGTTTTATTTTGCACTTTGGCATACTGTATAGAAGTTTGACACATTTGCAAGATAAGAACTACATTCGAAATGATGAGATCTACATTGGGAAAATTATGTGTGAACAAATTTGGAGACATAACTGAACAGTTTGTCATTGATGGAAATGTGCAAGCTCTGCCTCCCAACTTCAAGTGATTCTCCTGCCTCAGCCTCCTGAGTAGCTGGGACTACAGGTGTCCACCACCATGCCTGGCTAATTTTTGTATTTTTAGTAGAGATGGGGTTTCTCCATGTTGGCCAGCCTGGTCTCGAACTCCTGGCCTCATGCAATCTGCCCGCCTTGGTGTCCCAGAGTGTTGGGATTACAGCCATGAACCACTGCACCTGCCCAAAAAGGGGTTAATTTCTTGTACTGCTTAAAGAAAAAAATTTAAAAATTAAAAATAAAATAAAATAAAAACATGTATTAATAGTTGGCTTGTGAAATATGGTATTTTTTGCCCAGCTCCTGGTAAAATTGTTTTTACTGAACATGACTATCATGTCAGTAGGGTTTTAGTTATCAGTGCCAGAAAGGAAGTCAAAGATAAGACACAATATTTCTCAATCCACTGGCCACCTGCATCAGAATTACTTAAGGTGTTGTTTTAAAAAATGCAGCTTCTGGCCGAGCATGGTGGCTCACGCTTGTAATCCCAGCACTCTGGGAGGCCAAGGTGGGTGGATCACGAGGTCAGGAATTCGAGACCAGCCTGGCCAATATGGTGAAACCCCATCTCTACTAAAAATACAAAAATTAACTGGGTGTGGCGGTGGGCGCCTGTAGTCCCAGCTGCTCAGGAGGCTGAGGCAGGAGAATGGATTGAACTCGGGAGGCAGAGGTTGCAGTGAGCCGAGATGGTGCCACTGCACTCCAGCCTGGGCAACAGAGCAAGACTCCGTCTCAAAAAACAAAAAATTGCAGATTCCAAGTTTTCATACTGGATCTACTGAATCTCTGCAGGAGAGTCCTGCTAATTTACTATTTTAATAAGGTCTTAGGTGGTTCTTATGAAAACCGAAGTTTGAGAACTAGATTTTGAAACATACAACTATACTTAGATTCAGCACTGTTCAGAGGGAGCAAAAATTGTCGTATCCTTTATAATGTGCCAATTTTTCATGCAATCTCTTTACCAGAATTTAAAATGTACACATCCTTTGACACAGCCATTCCATTTCTAGGAATTTATCTGACAGAATAATTGAATAAATGTGCAAGGATATATGTTAAAAAAAAACCATCCATTACAAAATTGTCTATTGTAGGAGAAAAGTCTTAATAACTTAAATGCCTATCAAGGAATGTTACATATCAGGTACTGTTCTAAGCACTTCAAAAGCAGTTAAGTCATTTCATCCTCATAACATTATATAGTAATAGAATATAAAATATATATTAAAATATAATCTTAATAATATTATTATCCCTCATTTTACAGATGACAAAGCTGAGGCACAGAACAGTTAAGCACTTGTCCAAAATCACACTGCTGGTACGTGGCACAGCCAGGTCACAAAGCCAGGTTGTCTGGTTCTAGAGTCTGTGGGCTTAATCCTGCACTATTTGCCTCTCTCAACATTCTGCTGCCTTCACATAATCATTATATAAATTTTTTAATTTACAAAAATTAAATTTAAAACATGAGCGAGCTAGTATAGGTGGCTTTCTTTTTCTTTTTATTTATTTATTATCCTTTAAGTCCTGGGATACATGTGCAGAACATGCAGGTTTGTTACATAGGTATACATGTGCCGTGGTGGTTTGCTGCACGCATCAAAGTGTCATCTACATTAGGTATTTCTCCTAATGCTATCCCTCCCCTAGCCCTCCACCCTGTGAAAGGCCCCAGTGTGTGATGTTCCCCTCCCTGTGTCCATGTGTTCTCACTGTTCAACTCCCACTTATGAGTGAGAACATTTGGTATTTAGTTTTCTGTTCCTGTGATAGTTTGCTGAGAATGATGGTTTCCAGCTTCATCCACGTCCCTGCAAAGGACATGAACTCATACGTTTTTATGGCTGCATAGTATTCCATGGTGTATATGTGCCACATTTTCTTTATCCAGTGTATCAATGATGGGCATTTGCATTGGTTCCAGGTCTTTGCTATTGTGAACAGTGCCACAATAAACATACGTGTGCATGTGTCTTTATAGTAGAACGATTTATAATCTTTTGGGTATATACACAGTAATGGGATTCGTGGGTCAAATGGTATTTCTGGTTCTAGATCCTTGAGGAATCGCCACAGTGTCTTCCGCAATGGTTGAACTAGTTTACACTCCCACCAACAGTGTAAAAGTGTTCCTATTTCTCCACATCCTCTCCAGCATCTATTGTTTCCTAACTTTTTAATGATCACCACTCTAACTGGTATGAGATGGTATCTTATTGTGGTTTTGATTTGCATTTCTCTAATGACCAGTGATGATGAGCTTTTTTTCACATATTTGTTGGCCGCATAAATGTCTTTTTTTGAAAAGTGTCCGTTCATATCCTTTGCCCACTTTTGAATGGAGTTGTTTTTTTTTTTTTCTTGTAAATTGGTTTAAGTTCTTTGTAGATTCTGGATATTAGCCCTTTGTCAGATGGATAGATTGCAAAAATTTTCTCCCATTCTGTAGGTTGCCTTTCGCTCTGATGATAGTTTCTTTTGCTGTGCAGAAGCTCTTGAGTTTAATTAGATCCCATTTGTGGATTTTGGCTTTTGTTGCCATTGCTTTTGGTGTTTTAGTCATGAAGTCTTTGTCCATGCCTATGTCCTGAATGGTATTGCCTAGGTGTTCTTCTAGGGTTTTTATGGTTATAGGTTTTACATTTAAGTGTTTAATCCATCTTGAGTTAATTTTTGTATAAGGTGTAAGGAAAGGGTCGAGTTTCAATTTTCTGCATACGGCTAGCCAGTTTTCCCAACACCATTTATTAAATAGGGAATCCTTTTCCCATTGCTTGTTTTTGTCTGCTTTGGCAAATATCAGATAGTTGTAGATGTGTGGCATTATTTCTGAGGCTTCTGTTCTGTTCCATTGATCTATGTATCTGTTTTGGTACCAGTATCATGCTGTTTTGGTTACTATAGCCTTGCAGTATAGTTTGAAGTCAGGTAGCATGATGACTCTAGCTTTTTTCTTTTTGCTTAGGATTGTCTTGCTATATGGGCTCTTTTTTGGTTCCATATAAAATTTAAAGTAATTTTTTCTAATTCTGTACAGAAAGTCTATGGTAGCTTGATGGGGATAGCATTGAGTCTACAAATTACTTTGGGCAGTATGGCCATTTTCATGATATTGATTCTTCCTATCCATGAGCATGGGATGTTTTTCCATTTGTTTGTGTCCTCTTTTATTTCATGGAGCAGTGGTTTGTAGTTCTCCTTGAAGAGGTCCTTCACATCCCTTGTAAGTTGTATTCCTAGGTATTTTATTCTCTTAGTAGCAATTGTGAATGGGAGTTCACTTATGATTTGGCTCTCTGTTTGTCTATTATTGGTGTCTAGGAATGCTTGTGGTTTTTGCACATTGATTTTGTATCCTGAGATTTTGCTGAAATTGCTTATCAGCATAAGGAGATTTTGGGCTGAGGTGATGGGGTTTTCTAAATATACAATCATGTCATCTGCAAACAGAGACAGTTTGACTTCCTCTCTTCCTTTTATTTGTAAGCCCCTGACTGGGGCTGCTGCCTTTCTTTCAGAGATGCCCTGCCCAGAGAGGAGGAATCTCTAGAGGCAGTTTGGCTGCAGCAGCTTTGCTGAGCTGCAGTGGGCTCTGCCCAGTTCGAACTTCCTGGTAGCTTTGTTTACACTGTGAGGGGAAAACCGCCTACTGAAGCCTCAGCAATGGTAAATGCCCCTCCCCCCACCAAGCTTGAGCATCCCAGGTCAACTTCAGACTGCTGTGCTGGCAGTGAGGATTTCAAGCCAGTGGATCTTGGCTTGCTGGGCTCCATGGGGGTGGGATTCTCTGAGCTAGATCACTTGTCTCCCTGGCTTCAGCCCCCTTTCCATGGGAGTGAATGGTTCTGTCTTGCTGGTGTCCCAGGTGCCACTGGGGTATGAAAAAAACTCCTGCAGCTAGCTCAGTGTCTGCCCAAATGGCCGCCCAGTTTTGTGCTTGAAATCTAGGGCCCTGGTGGCATAGGCACCTGAGGGAATCTCCTGGTTTGCGGGTTGTGAAGACTATGGGAAAATCATAGTATCTGGGCCAGAATGCACTGTTCCTCACGGCACAGTCCCTCACTGCTTCCCTTGGCTAGGGGAGGGAGTTCTCTGACCCCTTGTGCTTCCTGGGTGAGGCAACACCCCAACCTGCTTCGGCTCCCCCTCCATAGGCTGCACCCACTGTTTAACCAGGCCCGATGAGATGAGCCAGGTACCTCAGTTGGAAATGCAGAAATCACCTGTCTTCTGCGTTAATCTCGCTGGGAGGTGCAGACTGGAGCTGTTCCTATTTGGCCATCTTGCCAGCCACCTAGACCTGTTTTTCTGAATTAGAAATTTTATTTTCTATTCAATCTTTCTTTTACTCTACCACAAAGAAATAAGTTTTCTCTTTTGAAATAAATAACATTTGAAAAAATATGTTTGATATGATCATGTTCATGTGGAAATGCATATTTATGTATGCATTTTAAAATTAAAGAATTTTTAAGAAAAGGATAGGCCTTAGAAGTGGGCACACAAAGTTGAAGACAGTGGTCTGTGAGTGAAGTTCTGAGTGTTTTCTATTTTCTGCCTTTTGCTTGTCTATGGTTCCTTTTCATTTTCCCACTAATTAACATACTTTGTTCTTGTAAAATGAAAAACACAACAGCAATATGTGAATGTGCCTACCATGCAAATATGTATAAAGTTTATGCTTTTGTAAGAGTGGCTTTTAAGGATAAATAGATGAAATTACAAATAGAGATGAGGGAAAATATATCTTCTTACACTGTTTTATAGTTTTGCTTCTTAAAACTGTAGAGCTCATGCATCAAGTAGACTGGAAGGTCTTCTGATGCTCAAACTTGCTTATTTTCATCATCGATCCACTTCAGTAAGAGCAGATCTCAGAGAACAAATAAACTTTTCTATTCCCATATTCTCCTTCCTGCATACTAGTCCACTGTGTTTCTTGCCTGCCACTCTTCTCAGCTAGGTTTCTTTTTCATGAGCAAACAAGTATAGGTGGCTTTCCTTTTTCTTAATTAGCAATTTTATTTTCTATTCAATCTTTCTTTTTCTCTACCACAAAAGAATAAGATTTCTCTTTTGAAATAAATAACTTTCTTTGCCTCATCTATTAACTGGATGTGATACATTTATTTCATGAAGTTATCTTGGGTCCTTCAGGGAAGCCAGCTTTATTCAGAACAATCTGAATTATATGCATTGATAAACCAATCAGTTGTGATTCATCCAAGGTGACAGAATTTACGAGGGCTTCAAAGTGGCTATCACACTAAACTCTGGGCAATATTAATGTTGGGCTAACTGAAAATTATAACTAGGACATTTCTTGAACTTATTTTCCTTTAGTACAGGCAGGTAAAATTGGTTCTCTTCGTTTTATAAATGTCATTCTTCAAAAAGAATCTGGTAGTACAAGATGACTTGCTTGCTTTCTGAATATTTTAATTATGGATTGTCGCTGGTAAGTTATTTAAGTTATTTTAATTGATCATATTGCTTTTAAAAATGAGACTTTAAAAATATTTTTAATTTGTTCTCAATTTGGGGGGTACATACACAGGTTTGTTTCAAGGGTATGTTGTGTGATGCTGAGGTTTGGGCTTCACCCAGATAGTGAACCAAGTGCCAAATGGGAAGTTTTTAAAGCCTTGCCCCTCTCCCTTCCTCTCTCCTTTTAGAGTCCTCAGTGTCGATTGTTCCCATCTTTATGTATGTGTATAACCAAGATATAGCGCCCACTTATAAGTGAGAATGTGTGATATTTGATTTTCTATTTCTGTATTAATTCGCTTAGGATAATGACTTCTAGGTGCATCTGTGTTGCTGCAAAGGACATGATATCATTCTTTTTTATGGCTGTGTAGTATTCCATGATGTATAAATACCACATTTTCTTTATCCAGTCCACTGTTGATGGGCACCTACATTGATTCTCTGTCTTTGCTATTGTGAACAGTGCTGTAGTGAACATACAGTGCATGTGTCTTTTTGGTGGAATAATTTATATTCTGTTGGGTATGTAACCATAATGGGATTACTGAATTAAATGGTAGTTCTATTTTTAGTTCTTTGAGAAATCTTCAAACTGCCTTCCACAGTGGCTGAACTAATTTACATTCCCACCAGCAGTGTATAGGCATTCCCTTTTCTCCATAGCCTTGCCAACATCTGTTAGTTTTTGACTTTTTAGTAATAGCCATTCTGACTGATGTGAGCTGCTATCTCACTGTGGTTTTAATTTGCATCTGTCTGATAATTAGTGATGTTGAGCATTTTTTCATGTTAGTTGGCTCCTTATATGTCTTCTTTTAAGGAGTGTCTGTTTATGTCTCTTGCCCACTTTTTAAATGAAGTGTTTTTTTTATTCTCATTGAGTTTAAGTTCCTTATAGATTCTGGATATTTGTCCTTTGTTGTACGCATAGTTTGTAAATATTTTCTCCCATTCTGTAGGTTGTCTGTTTACTCTGTTGATAGTTTCTTTTGCTGTGCAGAAGCTCTTTAGTTCAATTAGGTCCCGCTTGTCAAATTTTGCTTTTGTTGCAACTGCTTTTGGAGACTTTGTCATGAAATCTTTGCTAAGGCTTATGTCTAGAAAGGTATTTCTTAGATTTTTTCCTAGGGCTTATATAGTTTTAGGTCTTACATTTAAGTCTTTATTCCATTTTGAGTTATTTTTGTATATTACGAAAGAAGGGGTCCAGTTTCAATCTTCTGCAACGTTCTGTATATGGCTAGCCACTTATCCCAACACCATTTATCAAATAGGGTCTTCTTTTTCTATTGTATGTTATGTTCGACTTTGTTGAAGATCAGATGGTTTTAGGTGTGCAGCTTTATTTCTGGATTCTCTAGGTCTATGTGTCTCTTTTTGTACCAGCACCATGCTGTTCCGGCTACTGTAGCCTTGTAGTATAGTTTGAAATTGGGTAGTGTGATGCCGCTGTTCTTTTAGCTTAGGATTCCTTTGGCTATTCAGGCTCTTTGTTGGTTCCATATGAATTTTAGAATAGTTTTTTCTAATTCTGTGCAAAATGACAGTGGTAGTTTGATTGTAATAGCATTGAATCTGTAAATTGGTTTGGGCAGTATGGCCTATATAACGATATTGATTCTTCTTATCTATGAGCATGGAATGTTTTTCTGTTTGTTTGTGTCATTTCTGATTTCTTTCAGCAGTGTTTTGTAATTCTTACTGCAGATCATTTACTTCCCCAGTTAGCTATATTCCTAGTTATTTTAATCTTTTTATGGGTTACCAATTTTCTAGCAAAATGTTAAATATTAACTAATGAACATTAATCCTTTTTGAAAGATATTTTTTCTAAAATATATTACTACGTATTTTACATTTTCCTACCATTGTAATTTTGATAATTTTGTCTGTTTCCTTTTTAAATCAAACATATAAATTAACTTTATTGTTAAATATAGAAAATTCCTTATTGAATGACTATAATGATTATAAGCACACACGTAATTATGTTCTCTGAAACATTCTGCATAATTTACAATGAACAATAACTCTTTAAAAAGTATTTCAGGTGATTGTATATAGGATCAAAGTCTTCTGCATTTACATAATGTCAAGGAGAAGTAGTTATTGGACATGTTCCAAAGAGCTAAACAGGTGGGTAATTGAACTATAACTGGTAAAGTATATTGCTTGGTCTTTTATGATACAAGTCCTTTCCATTCTGAGTTTTTAAATCCACCCTCACCCCAAATTTTAGATATTAAAAAATTATTTCTACTATTGCCGTTTCACCTGCCATAAAAAATGCTCATTCTTAGCAATAGGTAAGTATATAATATCTAAATAATTGAAAAAAAAGACTCAAATATTTTAATTGAGTCTATTCGCTATAGGTAGTCCATTCAGTGGTATAACTGAGAGGAACTCAGGATTTATTGCTCTGGGTAAGTAGGAAAAACTCTGAAAAATGTGGCTAATATTGAGTTTCAAATGGCTCTTGAAATTGCTCGTGATTATCCACAAAAGCATACACTGAGTTGATGTACGCTAAGGTAACAAGGTAAAGCGTTAAGGCAATGCTTTTTGAGTTGGTGTATCTGTTTGATTCTCATTTTTCCATATCCTCATATATAAAACGAGACAATAATAATGATCTATCAAGATTACTGGAAGGTGGTAAATAATGCATAGGAAACTGCCTGCCACATAACTCACAATTAGTATTAGCCTCTTCCCCTTGCATGATAAATATCAGTGGAATATCTACAGACTTTTTAATATGATGGAATTATTTTTCATTCATTCTGCAAATCTTTATTGAACAAGTCAGTCAGGGATTAGGCATGAAAGCAGAAGCCTCTCAATATATTCCAAGTATGAATATTTTCAATGCAGGGAATTAGAGGCTTACCCAGTTGTTAGAAGGCTGCAGAAACCAACGTGAAGAAGGCTGTCAGCAACAATCTCAGCCTTTGCACTATGAGGTTCTCAAGAGCTTGCACAAAAGACCCCTGAAAGAACCTCTGGGAGATTCCCTCTGACCTCTCAGTCTGCAGGAGTGATGCAGGTGATTTTCAGGAAGCTCACCTGGAAACTGCCTCAAATCTTGTATCTTGGTCATGTGGCTGCAGCCGCTTCCAGAAAATAATGACCCCTTTCTCTTCCAAATCTTGTGCACGTGCTTCCCATTGCAATGGGTTTTTGGGAAATGTCATTCTCAGCTTCTCCTGCAGTGGAGACCTTAGAGAGGGGTAGCAGTGATGCCAAGTTGACCCTAGGTAATCCAGCACACCAACTAAGTGCAGAGCCCTGTGCTCAATGTTGTGAGGAATACAATGGTAACTCATATGTGGATCTTGTTTCCATCCTGCTCCCAATGGGAAAGGGAGGATAAGACATGTAAATAAAACCAGTAGTCCAAGGCAGAAGACTCAGGTGGAGGCAGAGGCAGGAACAACGCTGGGCAAATTGGTGAAAGAAAGATGTTTTTCAGTCAGGGAAGGGAGAATCAGGGAAGGCTTCATGGAATAGGTGGACTGTGGATTCAACTTGGAAGAACCAGTAAGTTTGGGGTATAAGTAAATATGGAAAAGCAGGGAATTCCAGGAACATGAAAACATTACGAAGAGAAACACAGAAATAGAAAAGAGTGTAGTGGGTTTTGAGAATATTATTAAATGGAAGAAAAGTATTATTGAAAAGGAATAAAATGGAGGGGATATCCCGAAAAGTAGTTATTATTTAATCAGAAGATACTATTGCCAAATATGAGTTTGAAATCTCTTTAATAGGAAATGGGGAGGAATTTAAGGTTTTGAGAGTATCATGATTCACTTGTCCCATGAGGATGACTCCTTACCACAATTCTATTATGCCTGTATTACTCCTGCAATACCTCCACTAGACGCTACTACATATTCTGGATGTGTGCAAATTCAGTACGCACAACTATACTTAGGCACCCTCTTAATCCTCCATTTAATAGGTTGATAGAAGAAATTGAAGCTCAGAAAAATAATGGAACTTCCCACGACCACACAGTTGATGGAACTGGAATTTGAGGCTAGTACTTTCTGATTCCAAAGCTAAAATTATTTCCACTACAAGTTTCTATACCAAACCTTCCCCCATCCTACCACCGGCAGCCCCACCAAATTAAAATAAAAATCCCCTCAGCTGCTTTTTACTCCCTTTTTCTAACTGTATAGATCTTATTCTGAATCCTGAGAAATAGTCAGGGGGTAGTAAGTTTGATCTCCAGTTGAAGATCAAACTTACAATCTTGGTTTCTCTTCATATACATATTACAGTACAAATATTATGAAGTTTTACATAATAAGAGAAGATTCTGAAAGTTGTTTTTCATCCAACCTAATTTCAAGGAAACTCAGTCAGCAAATGTTCTGATAATGCAAATACTCTCAACCCATGTCCTTCAGGCATGAAAATGGTTCTGGGTTAAAGGTGACTATTCTGCTTAGTAGATCATATAACAAATCTTAAAAAAATCACTTCGTCTTTACTTATACATGCATTACAATACAATCATCATGTTTAAGATGAACTCATGTCTTGTCTTGTCAAAGTTTACAATTTCAAACTGTGACCCCAAACATACCCAGCCCATGTTTCTGACCTTACTCATCAATATTTGCATTCTTATTCTTGGCTGTTTCAACTCTGTGCCACGGGTTTCTCTGCCTAAAATTCTCATCTCCATATATCCAAATTCTACTCATTCTTTAAACCCCAATATAAATTCCATTTTCTGATGAAGTCTTTGTTCATCAGTCGCCCATTATTACCCCGCTAAATTTTCTTTCCTCTGACAATCCCATAACACTTTATCTGAATCACTCCTAGTGATGTCGAGTCACATTTTAATTAGTTATTTTCATTTTTTATTTGTATACATTTGAGGAGTACAAGTGCAATTTTGTTACATGGTGTATTAGTCAGGGTTCTCTAGAAGGACAGAACTAATAGGACAGATGTCTATATAAAAGGGAATTTATTAAGGAGTATTGACTCACGCCATCACAAGGTGAGGTCCCACAATAGACTGTCTGCAAGCTGAGGAGCAAGGAAGCCAGTCCGAGTCCCAAAGCTGAAGAACTTGGAGTCTGATGTTCAAGGGCAAGAAGCATCCAGAGTGGGAGAAAGTTGTAGGCTTGGAAACTAAGCCAGTCTAGTCTTTTCACGTTCTTCTGCCTGCTTGTATTCTGGTCATGCTGGCAGCTGATTAGTTGGTGCCCATCCAGATTGAGGGTGGGTCTGCTTTTCCCAGTTCACTGACTCAAATGTTAATCTCCTTTGGCAACACCCTCACAGACACACCCGGGAACAATACTTTGCACCCTTCAATCCAATCAAGTTGACACTTAATATTAACCATCACGCATGGATATATTGCTCAGTGAAGTCTGGGTTTTTAGTGGGTCCATCACCTGAATAATGCACATTGTATCCAAAAGGTGATTTCTCATCTCCCACCCTCCCCGAACCTCCCACCCTTCTGAGTCGCCAATGACTATTATTCCACACTGTGTGTCCATGTGTACACATTAGTTTACATTTTAATTATTAATGTATAGTCATGCACCACATGATGCTTCCATCAACAATGAACCTCGTATACCATGGTCCTAATAGTCCTGAGGTACTGCACTGTCCCTTATGGTTATTTTTTACACACAGATCAGGGCTGTGGTGCAGGTATAAATAAGGGACTTAGTGTGAAGGTGTTTATGGATAAGAGTTTGAAACAGAGTTTGATAGAACAGAAATTGATCAGAGCCTTTTATTTTTCATAACTAAGGTTAAACTCCCTAAGGGAATTACCACATATGTCATAAAGCTTTAAATTTGCTGCCTAACGTTAGCAGTATACCATGAATTCTTGTAAAGAATAAAATTATGCTTGCTTCTTTAATTCCATTCTGTAACTCAGACTCTTACTTTGTCAGTCTACACATGCCTACAATTAGAATGAATAAATAATAAAAATAGTAAACATTCAACATAGCACTGTATTATGCACCAGGCTCTGGTCTGAGCATTTTACTAAACAATGCAATTAATACAGCAACACTGAGAGGTAGGTACTATTTTTTCTTTTTTATTTTTTCTTTTTTTTTTTTGAGATGGAGTTTTGATCTTGGTGCCCAGGCTGGAGTGCAATGGCACCATCTTGGCTCACCACAACCTCCACCTCCCGGGTTCAAGCGATTCTCCTGCCTCAGCTTCCTGAGTAGCTGGGATTACAGGCATGTGCCACCACGCCCGGCTAATTTTGTAATTTTAGTAGAGATGGGGTTTCTCCATGTTGGTCAGGCTGGTCTGGAACTCCCGATCTCAGGTGATCTGCCCGCCTCGGCCTCCCAAAGTGCTGGGCTTACAGGCGTGAGCCACCGTGCCTGTCCAAGGTAGGTACTATTATCACCATTTTAAAAATGAGAACCTGAGGCCCAGAGAGGTTAAATAACTTGTCCAATGTTACACAGTGAATACTTGTCAAAGCTAGAATTTAACGTCAGGTAGTCCTAGTTAATTCCCTAGTCAGCTTTTTCAATCATACTGGATTTGAAGTCCTTCAGAAACAAAAGCAACTCAAAACAGGTAATCAAACAATTCCGACTACTGCTGCAATCATAAAAGCAGAAAACTTTCGGCCAGGCACAGTGGCTCATGCCTGTAATCCCAGCACTTTGGGAGGCCGAGACGGGCAGATCACTTGAGGTCAGGAGTTCAAGAGCAGTCTGGCCAACATGGTGAAGCCCTGTCTCTACTAAAAATACAAAAATTAGCCAGGCGTGGTGGCTCACGCCTGTAGTCCCAGCTACTCGGGAGGCTGAGATGGGAGAATTGCTTCAACCTGGCAGGTGGAGCTTGTAGTGAGCCGAGATCACACCACTGCACTCCAGCCTGGGTGACAGAGTGAGACTCCGTCTCAAAAAAAAATTTTAAAAAGGCAGAAAACTTTCTCATCGATGCTTTATGAAGTGAATCACTGATTTGAGCCAAAGAACCTGCCACTATTTAAAGTGAATTCTAATATAAAGTTGGACAATATATTTTATTCTCATATATGTGATAGTTACCATTTTATAATTTCAGTAATGTGACTTCTTCATCACAAGTATTGCTTTTTAGTTGATGGATATGAAAATGTGTGAGAAAAATCCCCAAACCTCTGAATCTGTAAAATGCAACGTGGAGCTTATCATCATAATGAAATATGTCCATACAACCAAAGATAGTCCTCAACTTATGATTTTGTTACTTTCCAATGGGTTTATCAGGGTATTAAATGCATTTTCAACTTATGATAGTTTTTTATTTGCAACAGGTTTATTGGGATGTAACCCCACTGTAAGTCAAGGAACATCTGTATAATTATTTTGTTATAAATATGTAAATACCAGAATGTGGAAGACTATATAGCTAAATAATATTAACCTTTATTGAGTGTTTACCAGGGGCCACATTCTGTACTAAATGTTCTGATTGTGTCATCTCGCCTGATTCTCATGATATCGTGATGAGATCAGTCTATTACCCTGATTTTAGAAATGAGGTTGAAGACATTAACTTGTGTATATGAAGTTTCCGAGGAGATAAGCAGTGGGACCAGGATCTGAGTATGTGTGGGCCCCAGCTCAGCAACGTAATGATGCAAAACCACGGCAAACAGTCCAATCCAAAATGAGAACATGAAACCATGTCCCTGGTGGTCCTCAATCTCCATGTCTGTCAGAATTGCTTGTGGAGCAGTACAAACCAAACAAAAACTTCCATGCAGGTCTGTCTATTTTTGTAGATTCTTATTCTTTAGGACTGAGGTGATATCCAGGCCTCTAGAATTTTAAATTTTAACAAAGGTGATTCTGATGCACAATCAGAATGAAGAACCACTACGTTCTGTACATTCTGCATAGTGTCTGTAGAGATGTAGAAACATTTCTTTTTAATTACATGAATGCTACGTGAAATTTTCATTGAAAGATTCAAACAATGTAGAGGTATACAGAGCAAAACAAATATAGACACATTTCCATTCTATCATATACATTGTTATTCTATTTCAGGTATTTCTAGCATGCGTTCTTATTAATGCACTGATTACATCAGTTCTTTTGATCTAAGGGTCAGATTAAAATGTAAGATGAGATTTTGGCCAAAACAGATCGCACATTTCTATTGGTGGATTTTGTATTGCTGTGTATCTTGTCTTCCATAAATCAATGTCATTATCTTCCATATTCAAAAGTTCCTGCTGATTGTGCAGGTACACACACAAGGCTGTGGAGTCGGTTGTGTGACTCACAGTAGGTGCCTTCATAATTTGTTCCCTGCTTAGTCATTCTTGGCAGGAGCTGTCACTGTTTGCAGCTCTGCCTCTTTTTTCCCATGGACTACATGGCCATTTGGTTTAAAATAATTCAACTTTTATCTGACTGCTTTAAGATATCTTGATCCATCTGCCAGGCGTCTCCCAGCCTTTCCTGCTGAGGAGCTCATTTGGATTTTTCTGGAACTTGTGTTCTTTCCTAATCCTGGGACTGGGGATAAAGAGAATGGGGTTCATTGACAAAGTCACCCACAAGGGAATTCTGACTGTACTGGAGTCTAATTCAGGCAGCCGCCTGCCATACCATCTTCCTTGCGAGATTCCCCAGCACTGTGGGGAAGGGAGTGAGCCAACTTAGAGACTGCAGCCAGCTTAGAGACTGATCCTGTAAGGGTTCAAGAACAGCCAGTGGATCACTATTGACTTACTAGTTCATCCGAGTTCAGTGGCTTTTGGTCTCTTATAATTATTTCTTTCTACTCTAAAGAAGGTTCTTTGGAACCACTTTATAGTGTCTCTTTAATCAGTCAGATCTGATCAACAAAACAAACCTCGTTAAGTCATTCCAAGAAGTTATGAAGATACTGAAAAGTGCTATTATCTCCAAAATAAGGTAGAAAAACAGAATAAGGGAGAATTTCCATACCCCATCCAGAATCTCACAGTGTACAGATCTTTCATGCGCCTCTCCAGATCCAGTCTCTACCCTTCTTCACCTGCTCTGTGCCCTTGGAGGCTCATCTGTAGGGGCTATGTCATTGCTTCCAGATGGGCATACTACATAGGGACCACTGGCAGGAAATCAGCAGGAAGAAAGACAATAAAGTTGAAGTACTTATTTCCTCGGGTCCCTCTTTTTGGGGTCACAGGGAAAAGCTGGACCCATAAACTAAAGATACAGTGCCAGGTAAGTGGCTTTGTCTACACAGCCCTCTTTTCTTTAAAATTTCACCAGCTGTTCCCTCTCCTCTCCCTTTCAGCCTTTGATGAATAGCAGAGTCCTGCTGCTACCAGCACTGTGGTGTCGTGCTGATGTGGTTTGTCTCTGTGTCCCCACCCAACTCTCACGTCAAATTGGAATCCCCAGTATTGACGGAGGGGCCTGGTGGGAGGTGATTGGATCATGGGGGTGGATTTCCCCCTTGCTGTTCTCATGATAGTGAGTGAATCTGCATGAGATCTGGTTGTTTAAAAGTGTGTAGTGGGCCAGGCACGGTGGCTCACGCTTGTAATACCAGCACTTTGGGAGGCCAAGGCAGGTGGATCACGAGGTCAAGAGATCGAGACCATCCTGGCCAACATGATGAAATCCCGTCTCTACTAAAAATAAAAAAAATTAGCCGGGTGTGGTGGAGCACACCTGTGGTCCCAGCTACTCGGGAGGCTGAGGCAGGAGAATCGCTTGAACCCGGGAGGCAGAGGTTGCAGTGAGCCGAGGTGGCACCACTGCACTCCAGCCTGGTGACAGAGCAAGACTCCGTCTCAAAAAACAAACAAACAAACAAAAAACAAAGTGTGTAGCATCTCCCCCTGTGCTCTCCCTTCCTCCTGCTCCAGCCATGCAGGACATGCTGGCTTTCCCTTTGCCTTCTGCCATGATTGTAAGTTTCCTGAGGCTTCCCTAGCCATGCTTCCTGTACAGCCTGCAGAACTGTCCGCCAATTAGACTTCTTTTCTTTATGAATTACCTGGTCTCAGTAGTTCTTTATAGCAGTGTGAGAATGGACTAATACATGTTCTCTTCCTAGTAATTTTTCCACATACTGTCCATGCTTTTGTACATCATCCCTTTATTAACTACTCTTCTTAAATTGCCTTATTTCAGTGTGACATCTTGTTTTGCTGGGACCCATATAAAGCATTTAGAGGACATCTCTGTAATTCTCCAAAATAGCACAATGCCTAGAAACACACTAGCATTTTGGATTATATAAAGTAGGCAGCCCTGAAGGTTGAGTGCAGCAATATTCTCTCTATATGATTTCCAGAAAGACATGTTAATAGGGCTTTCACATGCTGTAGATTTCCAACAACACCTGAAGGAAACTTCTCCCTCATGGATACCAGCCCCATTCTCTTTATTGCCTCAACCAATCTCCTTGGACTTCTACCTCATTCATTTACACCAACTACCCAATTATCTTAGCAATATATTCATTCTGAAACTTAATCCAAAGATTTTAGTAAATATCCATTAGTCAGTTTCCAATGTAAAAAATATAAGCTTTTACCTTAAGGTAAAAAGGTTTTATTTGGGAATTATATATAGGAAGGATTAGCCGGGAGTGGTGTCTCACGCCTGTAATCCAAGCACTTTGGGAGGCCGAGGCGGGCAGATCACCTGAGATCAGGAGTTCAAGACCAGCCTGGCCAACATAGTTTACCCTGTCTCTACTAAATATACAAAAATTAGTCAGGTGTGGTGGCAGGCTCCTGTAATCCCAGCTGCTTGAGAGGCTGAGTCAGGAGAAAGAATCTCTTGAACCTGGGAGGTGGAGGTTGCAGTGGGCTGAGATAAAAAAAAAAAAAAGGATTGCAATCTGGTACATACATACCTACAAACTAGGGTGACTTTTGGTATGTCTGAAAAACAAGAAAAGATTAGAATTTATTGGGGAAAGAGAAGGTTACACAACTTGTTTTGGAAAAAAGCTTATTGGCACCCGGAGTGTCTTACAAGAATTGGCTGAGCATAACTATGTACTAAGCACTGTGCTATTCTAATATTGGGTATTATTGTAACAAGACTTAAGGTAAATTTTCCATTGGATTAAAAACATACAAAGCAAATTATTTATATTGGTAGACACTATATGCCTATATGTGTACTTAGATAAACTTATGTATATTAATAAGCAAAATCTAATATTAGGACAATTTTTAAACCATATTTTAAGAAGTGCATTTTTTGTCATTGAAAAATGTCAAAGAACAAAATAAGACACACTTCTATAACCTCATCTGGATTCATTAAGCAGTAACATTTATGCCATACCTGATATCTCTTCCCCTATTTCCTCCAACCCCCTCGCTCTCTCTCCATATGCACACACACACACACACACACACACACACACACACACACGGACACATAGACAGAAATTCCCTTTTCTCAACTGTCCAAAAATTAGGCTGCAGACATCAGGACACTTCATTCCTAAGTATTTCAGTTCTCAAGAACAGGACATTCTTCTACAGAACCACAGTACCAGTACCACACCTTAGAAAATCATTACTAGCCGGGCATGGTGGCACATGCCTGTAATACCAGCTACTCCGGAGGCTGAGGCAGGAGAATCAGTTGAACCTGGGAGGCAGAGGTTGCAGTGAGCCGAGATCGCGCCATTGCACTCCAGCCTAGGCAACAAGAGCGAAACTCCATCTTGGGGAAAAAAAAAATCATTACTTCAATAGTAACATCCAACACGCAGTCCATACCCAAATTTCCTCAATTGTTCCATTATGTCCTTTATTGTTAGATTTGTTTTTTAATCCAGGATCCAATCAAGGTTGATAAATTACACTTGGCTGCTGTATATGTTCAGACTCCTCATATTTTGATTTGTACCATTGCTTCCCTGGTTTATAATAATAAAGTCTTTGAAGAGACCTGCAGAACACCCCATATTCAGATTTTTTTCCTCGTCGTTAGGCTCAATTTGAACATTTCTGGCAAGAACACCTTGTAGGTGATGCTATTTCCCTCCCACTGCATAAGTTCAGGAGGCAGAACGTCAGGCTATTCCACTAGCAGCAATGTCAAGCTCAACCACTTGGATAATATGGTGAACTCTCTATTATAAAGATGTATTTTGTCCTTTTGCAATTAATAAGTTATCTGGGCCAGGCGTGGTGGCTCACGCCTCTAATCCCAGCACTTTGGGAGGCTGAGGCTGGTGGATCATGAGGTCAGGAGATCGAGACCACGGTGAAACACCGTCTCTACTAAAAATACACAAAAAAATTAGCCAGGCGTGGTGGCGGGCACCTGTATTCCCAGCTACTCGGGAGGCTGAGGCAGGAGAATGGCGTGAACCTGGGAGGTGGAGCTTGCACTGAGCCAAGATCTCGCCACTGCACTCCAGCCTGGGCGACAGAGCAAGACTCCGTCTAAAAAAAAAAAAAAAAGTTATCTGTGGGCCGATACCTTAAAACAGCAAGAGTATTCTGTTCCCCCAGAACTTGTAACCTAATGATTTAAGCATCTATCTATCTATCTATCTATCTATCTATCTATCTATCTATCATCTATCTATCATCATCTATCTATCTATCCATACATACATATATTTTTCGAGACAGTGTTTCACTCTGTTGCCCAGGCTGGAGTGCAGTGGCACATCATAGCTCTCTGTAGCTTCAAACTCCTGGGCTCAAGTGATCTTCTCTTTTTGCCTTCCCAAAGCACTGGGATTACAGGCATGAGCCACTGCACCCAGCCCTAAGCATTTATTTTTAATGACTCAAATCAAGTTTTACATTGGAGGTTAAAAAATAATTTTCTCATTCTATCAGTCCTTTTATATTTATTAGTGGATGAAATAAATATGCTTTAATAAACACTGAATAACCAGCCAGGTGTGGTGACTCATGCCTGTAATCCCAGTATTTTGGGAGGCCAAGGCAGGAGGATCACTTGAGGCCAGGAGTTTGAGATCAGCCTCTGGTCTCTCTCTCTCTCTCTCTCTATATATATATAATATATATATATATATATTATATTATATATATTTATATGTTATATATATACATTTATATATAAAAATCTTTCTCTATATATATAAATTTAAAAATAAACACTGAATGAAATGACAAAATTTCATCAACTAAGCAAAGTGATAAAAATTTTATCACCAGGCCTTAGGACTTATGAAATTCTGATCTCCAGCCGTTCAACTAGTCTCTCCAAGTTCAAAGGTAGATAATGGCATCCAAAAGTGCCTGGGATACCTCAGGATTTCAGTTCATTTCCAACTACACCACACCCCGAGCCAATCACTTAAGCCAAGTACTTTCACACATCAATTTGAGTGTTACCACCTCTAGGAAGTCGGTCCTCATTAGCCCCAGGTAGAGACAGTTGCTCTCATTTGTGCCCAAGCCATCCACAAAGCTCTGTCAGGGCATCTCTGACACTTCATTGCACATAATTACTGTTGAGTTTATTTCCCTCCTCTGGAGAAGCCAAGGGAGAATAAGAATCTTGTCTTACTGGTTTTCTCACCCATAGCATCTAGGATGATGTTTAACTGACGTTGAATTCACAGACATACTCTATATCATCTAAGAAAACCCCTGACGGTAAAGTGGGATGTATGTCATTTGTTTGTTTTATGCAGAGAAAAATTCAGAGAGGTTATTTTCAGAGGTCTGATTTTGTATCTACCCAAGAATAAATCCCAATGATGCTCATTCAGTAGTTTAGGGATTTCCAGGAATAGGAAAACATCCCACATGTTCTGTCATAAAATGCCTCGCTCATTTCTCCAAACCTTCCCATCTTGAATATTCTTTCCATTTTTCTGATTTTTTTTGAGACAAAGTTTTCACTCTTGTCCCCGAGGCTGGAGTGCAATGGCGCGATCTCAGCTCACTGCAACCTCCACCTCCCAGGTTCAATCAATTCTCCTGCCTCAGCCTCCCAAGTAGCTGGGATTTACAGGCACCTGCCACTATGACCAGCTAATTTTTTGTATTTTTAGTAGAGACGGGGTTTCACCATGTTGGCCAGGCTGGTCTGGAACTCCTGACCTCAGGTGATCCACCTGCCTCGGCCTCCCAAAGTGCTGGGATTACAGGCTTGAGCCACCATGCCCGGCCATTTTTCTGATTATTAAAGCTATTATTTGGTAACAGAAACAGAGACAAGGAAAGACTACATAACTTGACTCCACCATATACTCTTAGAACATAAAGGGGCCAGGATTTCCTTGGACAGTCCACAGCATGGGCTTGAACACTTTCATAATAGAGCCTTCATCTTGTTTTGGTGCAGACCGAGTATCAGGCCTGAGAAAGAAGAACCGCTTAAAGAGGAATTGTTAGTCTCCTCATTTACGGGAGGAAATCCATCTCAAAGGGGGATCAGGTAACTTCCCAAGTAATGGCTAGTAACTAGTAAAACTAGGGTTCTGAACCCAGATGACCTGACTCCACAGGTAGAGGTCTTCATGGTTGATCCACTGCCTCTTTAAATTCCCCTTTCAAAGTCCAAGAGCACCTTCTTTCTTATAATTAGACTTTACAGAGGAAGGGAAATCCGCAGTTGTGCCAAGGCTAACACCAGCTACCATTTATTGAGCACGGACTATGTTCCAGGAAGTGTTCTGAGTATTTTAAGCATGTTACCACATTTCTTCCCCACTTTCAGCCTGTAAAGTAGATGTTGCTCTAAGCATAAAAGATTCTTCCTTAATTCTCACAACCAACATTGTTATGAAAATCATGGAGGTTTTAACTCAGAAGTATAACTCTTTTATGAAAATGTGCACAGAATAAGCAATACAGTAGAGAAAGACTCACAACTGTAACATTCCGGATAAGAAAGAGAATTCTGGACTTTCATTTTTTTTTTTGAGACAAGGTCTTGCTCTATTGCCCAAACTGGAATGCAGTGTCATGATCATAGTTCACTGAGCATTGACCTCCCTGGCTTGAGCAATCCTCCCACCTCAGCCTTCCAAATAGCTGGGACCACAGGCGCCATCCCCACACCCAGCTAACTGTATTATTAGTAGAGATGGGCCTTCACCATGTTGCCCAGACTAGTCTTGAACTCCTAGGTTCAAATGATCTGCTCGCCTCAGCCTCTGAAAGTGTTAGAATTACTGGTATGTGCCACTATGCCTGGCCTGGGCATCTTTTTACTATGAAAACAGCAAAAAGATCAGTGGTTGCCAGGGGTTCAGGGGGGTAGAGGGAGAGACGGACGGGTGGAACACAAGGGATTTATAGGGCAGTGAAGCCATTCTGTATAATACTGCCATAGTGGATGCATGTCATTATACATTTGTCAAAACCTATAGAAGGTACAATGCAAAGAGTGAACCCAATGTAAACTGTGGACTTTAGTTAATAGTAGTATATTAATATTGGCTCATCAATTGTAACAGACATACCGACTAATGCAAGATGTTAATAATAGTGGAAAATGGGGGTGGGAATGTGTATGGGAACTCTATGTACTTTCCACTCATTTTTCTGTAAATCTAAAACTGCACCAAAAATTGCCTATTAATTAAAAATACATATCTAGGCTCGGCATGGTGGTTCACACCTGTAATCTCAGCACTTTGAGAGGCCGAGGCAGGTGGATCACCTGAGGTCAGGAGTTTGAGACCAGCCTGGCCAACATGGTGAAGCAGCATCTCTACTAAAAATACAAAAAATTAGCCGGGTGTGGTGGCAGGTGCCTGTAATCCCAGCTACTTGGGAGGTTGAGGCAGGAGAATTGCTTGTACCCAGCAGGCAGAAGTTGTAGTGAGCCGAGATCACACCACTGCACTCCAGCCTGGGCAACAAGAGTGAAACCCCATCTCAAAAAAAAAATGTGTATCTATAAGTATAGATACGTACACAAGAATAAGGATGTGTAGCAAAGAAAGAACAGTATTTGCAAGGTGCTCAATGTATCATATGTTGCAATGTTCTTAAAATTGGTTTTATTGGCTTCTCAGTTAGCTTCTCTTCAACTTGTTCCTAGTGAACCACACTGCTTCAACAGAGTTGACAGCAGCAGACACCACATCCCATGGCAAAACTAAAGGGAGTTTCCCTTTCAGTAAGCAAAAAGAGTTGCATTATTAACATGCATCCCTATGGTCTGCGGAAAGTGGCTTCCAGTATTTCTGAACTTAAACTAGTCAAAGTTTATGCAATAGGAAAACCCAGGTCATTTTTGCCCTCAGAAAGACTGACGTGGGAAAATATTCCCATTGGCACTGCGAGTGACAACAAACAAACAATCAAACAAAGTGTTCTCATGGTTTTTAAATTAGGTGTACTTACTCTTTAACCAAAGTTTCTTTTCTGAAAGCAAGTTCTAGCAGCAGAGATGGTACAAGGTACACCACAAGGGCAGTCATAACAATCCATATTGGCCTGGAGCCCAAGGCAGGAGTCATCAGGGACAGAATCATTGCCGCAGGTCCTTAGTTCCGTCTGTGCTCCGTGGAGTGTGGAGAAAAGTGTCTTCCAGATCAGCTGGTGGGGGCTGGGGAGAGGGGGGAGACGTGCACACCTTGAAACTAGGGCATCTTTATGGCGTGAGCTCATTTTACCTCTTTTCTTTTTAAAGTCTAGATGAGGCATGAATATTATGAATTGGAAATTAGAAAGAGAGGAGAAGTCAAAGAAGGAGACTTTCAGTGTCAGTTGAGAAAAACTACACCCAACATGCACTCATACACACACCAGTAAGATCTTGCCTAGGGCGTACTTCAAGAGCCTGGAAATTAGAGGGCACAAGCATGAGAAAGCGAAGGTGAAGGTCAGTGGCCCTAAATGAAGGACTAGGGAGAAATAGAAAGATCTTATTATCAAGTTCTTAGGTTTTGTTTTTTTCTTAGTGGGGTGGGAATGGGGGAGTGTGATTTAAAAAAGAAAGTAACACAGGTGCTATCTTAAATTACATGGATACTGTCAGTGCTGGAGGCGGAGGTGGTCTTTAGATCTAATGTAGAGCATGGGCTTTCAGATGCATTCCATGCAGCCCAAGAATTTTCTGAAGTTCCTCTAGGGCCATTTTCAGTGGCTAAAGCTCAGCTGTGGGCCACCCTTCTTCCGCTTCAACCTCAACAGCTCTACATTCATGTTTTTGATATTTGGAATGCACATAGTTTATTTGTGTGCCTGAAAAAGGTTTCCACTTCTTCAAAGAAAATATTTTTTAAAAACAATCAATTTAGTCCTAAGTTCAAAGAGACAGAATCTTCTAAAGCTACCTGTATTTACCTGTTGTCACTTTTTCCAGATCCGAAATAACTGAATGGAGTCTTATTTTTTCCACTCTTTTGCTAATGGAAAGCCTACTTTGAGTACACAGGCTAAATCACATGAAAAGAAAAATCTCATGGGACTATCCAAATCATGATGCAGTCTTCAGTATTATTCTGATATGAAGAAATACCGACTAATGCTTAAAAATTGGAAATGTTGTCAAAATGACATATTTAAACTGTAAATTATCACCTTTTCAGGAAATAGATTAATCCAGACCCTTAATTTTAATAACCTGTTTTGCCTTTGTTTTGATACATTTTTATAAAATAAATGAGTAGTAAATACTCTTTATTTAATTTAATGGAATCTTATATGAAACAAAGTCTTACAATGCCTCAGTCTTTGCTCCGAAATCAGTGTTCACTGTACTTATGTAGTTGTGAATATAGAAAATGTGATAAATTTGGCTGAATTTGTACTTTCCCTGTGTTACATTTTGCAAAATGACTCTTTAACTCATCCCCTAGCCCCAGCCTTGTGCGTTTATATGCCAGGGGCATAATCCTTAGTAACAGAATTGATGGATCCTAGGATATGCAAAGCTTCAAATTTACTAAACAAATGAAGCCAAATTTTGTTTATCCTAGTGTATAGCTTGCTTTATCGTATTCTTTGTGGTATTGTTTGAAAAGCTGGTTCTTACTAAAGTTTATAACATTTTCTTTTATATTTTATAACCTTTTATATGTCCTAAGAAATCTTTGCCTGCCTTAAATATTTCCTGCTGGAAGTATTGTGGCTTTGATTTTTCATTTAGTCTCTGATCAAGTTAATTTTGCTTTTGTTATTTTTTTGGTGTAGTGAAGTATATTATGAGTCAAGACCCATTTTCTTTCTTACAACTGGTATCTTCTATCCAGTTGTTTCAGCATTACTTGTTTTAAAAAGAAGAAAAAGAAAAAATGATCCTTTTCTCATGAAGTACCTTGATCTCTGTCAAAAATCAATTGTTCATATGTATGTGGATTTACCGGTAGTCACTTTATTCTGTTTAATTGCTCAATTATTATATTTATTTTTATACCAATACCTCACCTTTTTGGTTACTGTAGTTTTATAATAAATCTTGAAATCAGATAGTTAAAAATGTTCAAAATTATATTGTTCTCTTTCAAAATTATTTTGGCTCTTGTTAGGTCTTTGTGCTTCTGTATTAAATTTGGTTTTATTTATTTATTTATTTATTTGAGATGGAGTCTCACTGTGTCGCCCAGGCTGGAGTGGAGTGGCATGATCTCGGCTCATTGCAACCTCTGCTTTCGGGGTTCAAGCGATTCTTGTGTCTCAGCCTTCTGAGTAGCTGGGATTACAGGCCCACGCCACCACACCTGGCTAATTTTTTGTATTTTTGGTAGAAACGGGGTTTCCCCATGTTGGCCAGGCTGGTCTCAAACTCCTGAGCTCAGGTGATCCACCCGCTTCAGCCTCCCAAAGTGCTGGGATTACAGGCGTGAGCCACCGTGCGCAGCTGTATTAAATTTTGAACTGGCTTATAAAAATTTCCACCAAAAAAAGTCTATAAGGATTTTGGTTGGGATTGAACTGATTCCAAGGTCAATATGGGGGACCTAATATGTTAAACATATTGAGTCTTCATATTGAGCAGAATATATATATCTCTATTTATTTTTATATATGTCTAAATATTTCCTGAGATATATTTATAATATTTCTCAGCAAAGTTTTGTAGTTTTCAGTGCATAGGTCTTGCACATAATTTGATAAATTTATCTCTAATTACTTCATGTATTTGGATGCTAGAAAATGGTATTTTAATTTCATTTTTCAATTTGTATTGCTAGTATGTAGAAACACTACTGATTTTTGTTTATTGGCCTCATTTCCTGCAGTCAGCTAATTTAACTTACTAGTGGTTCCCTAATCGATTTTTCTTATTAGTTCTCCTGCCCTGCCCTCTCAACGGTCAGCTATGCTCTCTATGACATCTTTTCTTTTTGGTAAACAAACCAAACACCACGTTTGCAGCTGAGTAGCTTTCTCAACTGAATTTCTGCTTCCTGCCTTAAAGAAACTGATGAATTAAGGGCCTTTTTTCATTTAGTGCCGTGTCTCTCTTTCTTTTTTTAATGCAAACTGATGGTGTTTTCTCCAACAGAAGTCTCCGGAAAGGTCCTCTATGTAGCCTCTTGTCATCCCTGCACCGTGGCCACAGGGGAGTGGTCTAAGGGAGTGAAAGTAAAACGGATAAACTTTGTTTTAATATAGCTGACTTCTCTCCCCACTCTTCTGGGCTATTATTGTCTCTATAATTATTTCTTTGTACAACTTTATGTCTTTTAAAAAAGCTAAGAGATGCCGGGCGAGGTGGCTCATGCCTGTAATCCCAGCACTTTGGGAGGCTGAGGCAGACGGATCACTTGAGGTCAGGAGTGCGAGACCAGCGGAACCCCATCTCTACTAAAAATACAAAAATTAGCCAGGCGCGGTGGCGGGTGCCTGTAATACCAGCTGCTCCGGAGGCTGACGCAGGAGAATCACTTGAACCCTGGAGGCGGAGGCTGCAGTGAGCCGAGATCGCGCCACTGCACTCCAGCCTGGCGACAGAGCAAGACTTCATCTCAAAATAAATAAATAAATACATTAATTAATTTAAATAAACAAAGTAAAAAGCTAAGAAGAAGGAGACATATAGTCTTTTATATTAATCCACATATCTATCATTTCTGATTTTCATATCTGCCTATGGATTTTAGTTGTCTTTTTTTTTTTTTTTTTGAGACAATTTCACTCTTGTTGCTCAGGCTGGAGTGCAGTGGCGTGATCTCGGCTCACTGCAACCTCTGCCGCCTGGGTTCAAGCGATTCTTTTGCCCCAGCCTTCCGAGTAGCTGGGATTACAGGTGCCTGCCACTACGCCCGGCTAATTTTTGTATTTTTGGTAGAAACGGGGTTTGCCGGTGTTGGCCAGGCTGGTCTCGAACTCCTGACCTCAGGTGATCCACCCACCTCGGCATCCCAAAGTGCTGGGATTACAGGCGTGAAGCACCGCACCCAGCCGTTACTTTCTCATTTTATTTCCTTGTTCCAATATATCTCTATTCTCCCCCGACCTCCACTTTGTGGTATTATTGGTACATATTAGATCTTTTTAAAAAATGATTACTTTTCTGTTTGTCCCTGCAGTACATATTAATCTTTATGTGTCATTACCCTTGCAATATATTTTGATAATTATCATTTCATGCAATTATCTTTTAAATCAGTTAAGAGAAGACATCATATTTAATTATGTAATTACCAGTGCTTGTTCTTTCTTTATATAAATTTGAGTTACTATCCAGTGTCATTTCCTTTCAGCTTAAAGTACTTATTTAGTATTTCTTGAAAGCCAGGTATGTTAGCAACACATTTGCTCAGCGTTTGTTCATCTGGGAATGGTGTTCATCTGGAATGTCTTTATTTCAGCATCATTTTTAAAACATAGTCTTGCCGGGCGCGGTGGCTCACTCCTGTAATCACAGCACTTTGGGAGGCCGAGGCGGGTGGATCACGAGGTCAGGAGATCAAGACCATCCTGGCTAACATGGTGAAACCCTGTCTGTACTAAAAATACAAAAATAAATTAGCCGGGTTTGGTGGCTACTCAGGAGGCTGAGGCAGGAGAATGGCGTGAACCCAGCAGGCGGAGGTTGCAGTGAGCAGAGATTGCGCCACTGCACTCCAGCCTGGGCGACAGAGCAAGACTCCATCTCAAAACAAACAAACAAACAAACAAAAAAACATAATCTTTCTGGTTACTTCTGGGATTAGGGCAAATCAAGTGAGGCACTCACCTTGAGCACAAAATTTAAGGGAAACCAAAAATCTCAGTAATCAAAATAAATAAAAATGTTTTAATGCCATATTTAAAAATGAAAATGGATGCAATAAAACCTATGATGAACAAAATACCAAAATTTAAAATAGAGATAGGATCAATATTGCTGATTTTTCCTTTTGCCTCAGGCTCCAGTATGGATGGCATGACATGGCACTGTTGGATAAAATTCTTCATTTTCTTTTAGAATTGTGAATTACGTTATCCCATTGCCTTTTGGTCACCACTATTTCTTTTTTTAATTAATTAATTAATTTTTGAGACAGAGTCTCACTGTCACCCAGGCTGGAGTGCACTGGCGCGATCTCGGCTCACTGCTGCCTCCGCCTCCAGGGTTCCAGCAATTTTCCTGCCTCAGCCTCCTGAGTAGCTGAGAGTAGCCACCACACCTGGCTAATTTTTGTATTTTTAGTGGAGATGGGGTTTCACCATGTTGGCCAGGCTAGTCTCGAACTCCTGACCTAGATGATCCACCAACCTTGGCCTCCCAAAGTGCTGGGATTACAGGCGTGAACCACCTCGCCCAGCCTGGTCACCACTATTTCTAATGACAAGTCCATTGATAATATTAATGTCGTTCCCTTGCACATAATGAATTTTTTTTCTTGCTACTTTTAAGGTTTTCTCCTTGTCTTTGGCTTTCAACGATTTGATTCTGACATCTCTAGGTATGGATCTGTTTTCTATCTATCCCACTTGGAATTCTTTGACCTTCTTGGGTATATAGATGAATGTTTTTCATCATGTCTGGGAAACTTTTGGCTGTTATTTCTTCCAATACAGTTGACCTTTGAACAATGCAGGGGTAAGGGGTACCAACCCCACACACAATAAAAAATCTGCATATGTTGACTCCTCAAAAACTACTGTTGACCAGAAGCCTTACCTATAATATAAACTGTCAATTGATCATATTTTGTATTTTATGTGTATTATATACTGCATTCTTAAAGTAAGCTAGAGAAAAAATAAAATTATAAGGAAGAGAAATATATTTGTTATGCATCAAGTGAAAGTGGATTATCATAAAGGTCTTCATCCTCATCATCTTCACATTGAGTAGGCTGAGGAGGAGGAGGAAGAGAAGGGCAAGGGTTGGTCTTGCTGTCTCAGGGTGGCTGAGCTAGAAGAGGTGAAGACGGGAGAAGGGGAGGCAGAGGAGGAAGGCACACTTTATGTAAGTTTATGGAAATACATCATAATTTCTGTTTCCTTTTTTATTTCTCTAAAAATGTTTCTACATGGTACCAATCCTTCTTCCACCTTTGCTTTAGTTTCAGTGCCTGTATCATGAAAGGGTACATGTTGTAAAATAAGTTAAAAGCAATCTTGATTAATCAGAACCCTTCTGCCAGATGGTCTCATGTCAATTTATTTTCTGACACTGCTTCTTCTACATCTTCTTCCTCATCATGTAAGCCTGGTTCGGAAGCACTTCTTTCCACCAACCTGCCTTCTGTTAACTCCTCTGGTGTGGTGTCTGTTCACTCTTGAATTTCCTTGAGATCCTTGTCTTGAAACTCTTCACTCACCACCTTTCTTTTTCTTTTCTTTTCTTTCCTTTTTTTTCTCTCTCTCTCTTTATTTCTTTGCGATAGCCACAATCTTTTTCATGATTTCCTTGATTGACTCTGTCATAAATCCTGTGAAATAATACACTACATCTGGACACAGTTTTCTCCAGCAGGAATTTATTCCTTCAGGCCTGTTGGCTTTCCTGGCGTTTTCTATCACAATGATGACATCTTCAATGGTGTAATCATTTCAGACTTTCATGATGTTCTTTCTTTTGAAGTTCTCTTCCATAGCCTTAACAATCCTTTCCACAGAGTATGGTATGTAATGAGCCTTAAAGGTTCTTATGACTCCTAATCTACAGACTGAATTAGAGACATTGTGTTTGGGTCATGTAGACCCCTTCAGTGCTTTCAGTGTTGAACTCATGGGATTCTGGGTGGCCAGGAGCATTGTCCAATATCAAAAGAACTTTCAAAGTAGGTATGTTTATATACACCATGGAATACTATGCAGCCATAAAAAATGATGAGTTCATGTCCTTTGTAGGGACATGGATGAAGCTGGAAACCATCATTCTCAGCAAACTATCACAAGGACAAAAAACCAAACACCACATGTTCTCACTCATAGGTGGGAATTGAACAGTGAGAACACATGGACACAGGAAGCGGAACGTCACACACCGGGGCTTGTTGTGGGGTGGGGGGAGGGGGGAGGGATAGCATTAGGAGATATACCTAATGTTAAATGATGAGTTAATGGGTGCAGCACACCAACATGGCACATGTATACGTATGTAATAAACCTGCACATTGTGCACATGTACCCTAAAACTTAAAGTATAATTAAAAAAAAACGTAGGTATGTATAATGTGTCCCACAGGTATTCATTTTTTCCTTTTTGTTCATATTGGATCATCTCCAGAGACCCATCTTCAAGTCTGCCAATTCTTTTTTTTCTGCTAGTTCAAATTTTCTTTTCTTCTTCTTCTTTTTTTTTTCTTTGTTTTGAGACGGAGTCTTGCTCTGTCACCCAGGCTGGAGTGCAGTGGTGTGATTTCAGCTCACTGCAACCTCTGCCTCCCAGGTTCAAGCAATTCTCCTGCCTCAGCCTCCTGAGTAGCTGGGACTACAGGCACGTGCCTACATGATCTAATCATCCTCTATAAGCCCTATCTCCTTTTACTATCATATTGGTAATTATGTTTCAACATATGAATCTTCAGCGAACACAAATGTTCAGACCATAACAATATCATACTTTCTTTAATTCTTTCATTACAAAGTTTCTGAGTTCTAAAAACATATATTGTAATAGTTGCTTTGAAGTCTTTAGCATCCAGTCCCCTCAAAATGGCTTCTATTGACTTTTTGCCCCTGTACATAGATCATACTTTCCTGTGTTTTTCTGTTTGTTGTTTTGTTTTTAATTTTGCTCTGTCATGAATTTTATTGACTTTCTGTTCTTACAGTGCCTCAGTAGCTTTGTTTGTTTGTTTGTTTCTTTTGAATAGCTGCTCCTCAAATTGCTGTGTGTCTGGTCAATTTCCACTCTTGAAATGATTGTTTTTGAAAATTTTTATCCAGTTTTATCATTGCATTTTGAGGTAAGTAGGTGCTAAGTGTCTCTCTCAGCCATTTGGAACTCCTGCTTCCTGCAAGACCCTTTAAGACCCAGCTTTTAAAGCCACACATCACTTCTGCCTCATTTTATTAGTCAAAGCAAGTCACAGGGCTGAGAATGGGAAAATAGCAGGAGAGATTCTGTGGCTAAATCAGTTTTTGCTATAATACTAAATACAAAATGATCTGTTTTGGATTTTGTTTTTTAATTATGTAATCTTTCAGAGACTATTTTTTTAAAGAGATGAGGTCCAGGCTCGGGTAGAACTCCTGGCTCGAACTCATGAGTTCATGAGTTCAAGTGATCCTCCCACCTCAGCTTTCTGAGTAGCTGGGATTATAGGGTTTTCAGAGGCTTTTATATGATAATGTCAACTATGTAGTGTCCCAAATATCTGTGACTGTGGATTCTTTTGTGGGGTTCCTAAGAGCAGGGATATATGTCTCTCATTTCCTGTTTGGCACACAGTGAGCACTGAAATATTGCTAAATGGAATATATGGAAATATTTTCATATAAGCTCTCACATGACTAGCATCCTCTGGCAAATGCTGGGACACATTGCATTACCACAGCTCCTTTCCCATAAACGAGCCTAACTTCCACCAATAACATCTCTACATTCCCACTTAGGGTGAAAATTTTCCCTTGGTTCCTTTTCTCCCTACCCTGTGGAAGGGAAGAGTTTATATTTGTACTTAGGAATGCAATCTCCGTAGTTTAAAGGCAGAGAAACAGTGGAATTGACAGGAAGTACAACTGGAATTTTAAAGAGATCATTTCTAGTTTGGGCTTCCAAGCTGTTCTTCATAGCACTAGTAGGATTTAAGCTGAATTTTGATGTTACAGTGGGAGTTCAGCAGCAGAGACAAGTGAGAAAGTAAAAGCAGTCAAAAAGGAAAGGCAACAAGTCAGAAAAGCATAGTGGGGACAAGAAAATTAGTTTGTAGGGGAAGTTTATATGAAGAGGCTAGCTAGATATCACTGAGGAAAACCCATACGGAAGAAAAGGAAAAATAGCCATGATAGGCATTATGAAGGAGAAATTACCTGGTGACTTTTTGGATACAGATGGTGAAAGAAAGAGTTAACTCAACTATACACTTGGGTATATGAAAGATATTGCAAAAATCCAGGAAAGAGAAGATAAGGATCAGATAGGAAAAGTGATTTCAGGATAGAGAAGAGAGGACACAATGGAGAAAACAGTTTGGAGGTAAAGTAGTCAAGATTTGACGATTGATTGACTCTGAGGAAGGATGAGTTAAAGTTATGGGTCTAAGATACCCCAGCTAGCCTTCACCTCAATTGATATTGGGAATAGTTTGGAAGTTGCCAGGTTAGAAGGGAAGGTCGTAAGTTCAGTGTCAGATGTGTTGATGGCTTGTCAGACATCTAGGAAGAGATGACTAGTAGGCACTTGCATAAGTAAGTCTGAAGCACAAGGTTAGAGCTTGTAATAAAGATTAAGGAATTGAGTGGAAACATTGGTGAGATAATCATCATTGAGAGAGAGAGAGAGTGTGTGTGTGGGATGTGTTCTTACGTGCATGGATGTGTATGTGTACTCAAGCACATGTAGTTTTGATCTTGAAATGTTTGTTGTATGTCAGTTTGTTCATTATATTCTTGATTGGTATGCTGGGCTATTATCCCATTGTCAATAAAAATGTCAATAAAGAATAGATTTGGGCAAGGTGGCTCATGCTTGTAATCCCAGCATTTTGGGAGGCCGAGGTGAGCGGATCACCTGAGGTTAGGAGTTTGAGACCAGCCTGGCCAACATGGTGAAACCCCATCTCTACCAAAAATATAAAAATTAGCCTGGGGTAGTGGCACATGCCTGTAATCCCAGCTACTCTGGAGGCTGAGGCGAGAGAATCACTTGAACCCAGGAAGCGGAGGTTGCAGTGAGTCAAGATCACACCGCTGCACTCTAGCCTGGGTGACAGAGTGAGTGAGACTCCATCTCAAAAAAAAAAGAATACATTTTCTTTTTGGTCTTCTTTACTTGTTGCAGGAGGCTAAGTAAATTTCTTTTATTTTGGAAGCAAGAAAACAAAAAGAAATTTTACTTGACCTTGAATATCTTCCACATAGAAAAACAGCAATTGGAAAATAAAGTTAAATAACTAACTGATTCATTCAAACCACCATAAAAATACATAGAGGTCTGAACAATTTAGAGGGGTTGTTTTTCACCCATCTTCTCCGCTACGTAATTTTGGAGCCCTTTATTTAGTCTATATAGACTCCTAGCAATTGTGACTACCTGTCCTGAATCAGAAGCTCTGTATTTAAGGATTTCACCCAAAACTTGCTGTTTATTTTGCTGGTTCAACTTATAAAATTGCTCAACACAGCCGGAGAGTCTTCACTGGAAATAGTGCATGATTTATGAGATAATTAGGTACCTTTTTTGGTTTTGTTTTTAGAGTCGATTCAGAGTGATCCAAGCCATAGCTTGTGGCATCGCCCCTTCTCCTTCATTTTTCTCTAAAGTCACCTTGATCTGATCCACTCAGAGATGCCAGAAAAATGCTCTTCCCTTTTGGTAATGACTAAATTGCATAGACTATCATTTTATTGTGCTAGGTCTAGTAAGTGACCTATTAATGTGGCATAGGGAGGCCCTTGTGGGGAAGTGGTTTACTCCAACACATTTGCCTGGTGTGATAATTATTCAGGACATACCCACGAGTCACTCCTGAATATATTGTGCTATTAGTCAGCCTTTTTCTCTTAATTTGCAACACAAGTCATCTGATTGTAATCACTGAATAAAACCTTCCCAAAGAAGTTGTGATCTAGAATTGTTTTGTATAATAATAATAAATATCTCTTATTTCTTGTTTTCAACTTTGCATACACTTAGAAAAGTTTAGGGCCGACTGATGGAATTTAGGATATATAAAAAGGAGCTTTTGAGTTATTTTGAAGTTAATGAGAAAAAGAACAGGTTACCATTTTAAAAATGCTTATATTGCCTATAGTGTATATACACCAAGTAATTTTGTTCCAGTATATATTGCAGTCAAATGACAGAATTTGAAAGATTTCAGATTGTGAAAGTGCTATGTCAGAAAGCACAGTTAGCATTCTAGATTTATAAGATGTAGAATGAGGTATATCCTAACCGGATTATGTAAATTTTAAGGAAGTTTCAAATATATTACTACATGTAATCTACCCCTTCTCACTTCCCTGTAATGCTGTGAAGAGGCCACACATGCTCTGGTAACCAGGTTTTACAGATGAGGACACTAACAGACTGAGGTTTTGTGACTTTGTCAAGATCACACTTAAGTGGCTGAAGTAGGATTAGAATGTAAGAATTTTTGCTCTTAGGAAAGGGTTTTCCCCATGAAATCATATTGGTTCTGAACTTTAAAAAAGAAAAAGAAAATAAACATTATATAGCTCTTCTGGTTGATGAATGTCACTGTATCTATATCTGCTTCACTGTGATTGAGTTAGACTTGCTGTGATTGACATTTGCTGAGAGGACCACTGAGCTGGACCAAACACACTGCACAGAGAAATCTCCCACACTGTTCTGTTCCATGTCCATTGGCATGCTCAGGAATATGCTAATTTAGGAAGGTAGTTTTTGCCTACAATCAAGCAGAATGTCTTTTGAAGAGAGAAGGTGAGAAAATGATTGAAAATTCTTTTCTTTCCTGGGTTCTTAGGATTATACACACACACACACACACACACACACACACACACATGTATATAATCCTAAGAACCCAGGAAAGGATTTTATATATATATATATATATACACACCACACACACACATATACACACACATATATATACACATATATAATACACATATACATACACATATATACATATATACATACATATATACACACATATATAATATACACACACACACATACATATATACACACATATATACACACATATATACATATATACACATATATACACATATACACATATATTCACATATATACACATATATACATATATACACATATGTACACACATATACACTCATATACACAAATATACGCATATACATATATACACACACATATATACATATACACACATATACACATATATACATATATACACATATATACATATATACACATATATACATATATACACATATATACATATATACACATATATATACATATATATATGTGTGTATATATATATATTCTAGCATCCAGCCAAGAGTAAAATAGAGTATTTGAAAATATATCCCATGACTATAGCTTAGGAAAGTGTGATTCCACTCCCTCCTTCCTCTCACCTCCCACACATGATGTGTGTGGTGTGCGCATGCATGCGCACTCACACACACCCATCTTCTCAAATTAGTTAGCTGGCCTATTTCTGAGGTCTGACTCACATGAGACATTCTTGTGGGGAGTGACTTTTCCTTTTCCTCTGCCTCTGGAAGACATCAGAAGCCAGAAGAATTCAGAAGAAAAGGGCAGCTGACTGAACATGGGGTTGGAGCCTGGTGGATCTTATTATAAAACTTTCATACTCTGGGAAAGTATACAGTCTTGTTTAGAGTCTGATATTTGCCATTAACTACAATCTGCAAGATGTTTAGAAACTTCAATTGACTAAACTGTTAATGTCACAAAACTAATCAGTGATTGTTCTACTGCAGAATGAATTCTTAATTTGAGGCTTTTCTTGGGTAACTTTATTGTGACATAATTTCAAATTCATAGGAAAGTTATAAGAATTGTACTAGGAATTCCTACAAATACTTAACCTAGATTCACCAACTGTTTACATTTTAGCCTGTACCCCTTCCCCTTCCTTTCCAGAGCACATGGAAACATCCTCTCCCTTTACCCCTTAACATCAGAGCATATTTCTTAAGTACGGGGGTATTCTCTAAAATAACCATAGTACGCCATCAAAATCATGAAATTCAACATTGATACAATTATGCAATTCACAGTCTGTAATAGAATTTTATTAACTAACCTAATGATGTCTTTTTGAATGTTTTTTTTCCCCAGTGCAGTACCCAGTCTGGAATGCTGCATTGCACTTAGCGTCATGCCCTTTTAGACTCCTTTAAACTGAAACCAGTCCCTTAGTCCTTCTTTGTCTTTCTAAAGTTAATATTTTTTGAAGAATACAGGCCAGCTACTTTGAGAATGTCCCTCAGTTTTAGTTTGTCTGATTTTCCTCATGATTTAAAAATGCAAGTTAAGCTTTTTGTTGTTGTTGTTGTTGTTGTTGTTGTCAGGACTATCACAGAAGTGATGTGTCTCTCTCAGGAAATCACATTAGAGACACATTGTGCTGGTTTGAACTATTATTACTCATGCTTCCTTTGATAGCTTGCTTAAGGTAGTGTCCAACAAGTGTCTCCATTGTAAAGTTACAATGTTTCTCTTTAGGTAACTTTCAGGGAGTTGTTTTTGAAACCTTGCAAATATCCCTTCCTCACCAAATTTTCACCCCCTTGTTTTGGCATCCACTGATGATTTTTTTTAAATCAATTTTCCCTTCAAATATTTTTAGTGGGCAATCTACTGGAAGGAAGAACTTTCCCTTCTCACCCATTTATTTATTCATTTAAAAAAATCAGAGTAAGGACTCAGAGATTATTAATTTATTCAATGAGTTATAATCCCATTGTTTATTTTGATGTTCCAATACTCCCATATTTGGCCAAAGGCAGTCAAATCCTGGACTGTAATAAATCCTTGAACCAAAAATAAAATGCATGCTCTTCTCATGATCTCTGATATTTTCCTGATCTGGCCTCTGCTGACCTCATGTCAGATTCATCTCTGGCTCCAGTCCCTCTGGTTCTGTGTTCTTTAGCCACACTGGACACCTTTCGATTGCTCAACCACATCAGGTTCTTTTTCATCTTAGGGACTTTGCACTTATGGTTCCTTCTACTTGAACATATTTTCCTGAATCTCCACTTGCCTGGCTTTTTCTCATTATTCAGATCTTGGCAAACCAAGAGATTGTGATTACTCTACCTAATGTTGCTTACCACATTTCCTAGTCATTCTCTGTCTCCTCCAGTGTTTTATTTTCTATATAGCTATCATCACTCTCCTAAATTATTTATTTGTGTGTCTCTTGTCTAACACCCTGTAAGCAGTCTGGAATCTTATCTATACGTGTAACCGCCCAATGGGTTCACCATGCCCACTGCCTAGACAGAGCCGATTTTATCAAGATGGGGGGGAATTGAAACGGAGAAAGAGTAATTCACACAGAGCTGGCTATGCAGGAGACCAGAATTTTATTATTACTCAACTTTGTCTCCCCGAGTATTTGGGGATCAGAGTTTTTAAGATAATTTGGCGGGCAGGGGCTTGGGAAGTGGGGAGTGCTCATTGGTCAAGTTGGAGACGGAGTCATACAGGGTTGAAGTGAGTTTTTCTTGGTGTTTTCTGTTCCTGGGTGGGATGGCAGAACTGGTTGAGCCCGATTACTGGTCTGGGTGGTGTTAGCTGATCCAACAAGTACAGAGTCTGCAAAATATCTCAATCACTAATATTAGGTTTTACAGTAGTAATGTTATCCCTATGAGGAATTTGAGGAGGTTGAGACTCTTGCAGCCAGAGGCTGCATGACCCCTAAACTGTAATTTCTAATCTTGTAGCTAATTTGTTAGTCCCACAAAGGCAGAGTGGTCCCCAGGGAAGAAGGAGGTCTTTTCAGGAAAGGGCTATTATCAATTTTGTTTCAGAGTCAAACCATGAACCAAATTCCTTCCCAAAATTAGTTCAGCCTATGCTCAGGAATGAACAAGTACAGCTTAAAGGTTAAAAGCAAGATGGAGTTGGTTAGGTTTGACTTTTTTCACTCTCATAATTTCCTCTGTTATAATTTTGCAAAGGCGGTTTCATACAGCAGCTAGGAAAATGTCTGCAAATGTGTATATGCATGCATAGGTGCTTGTGTGTGCATGTGTGTGTGTGTGGAAGGGGCTCAATTAATATTTCTTGGATGAATGGATGATGTAATAATTTAGCCTGATATTCTTTATGATATGTCTTTCTTAGTTTTAAGAATCCTGAAGGACAAAATTTTTCCTTACACAAATTATTAATGAATAGAAATTACCATTTCTTTACTTTTATACTTTTTACTTTGCTTCATTTTCTAATAAGCAAATATACACTATTCTCTTACTGCAATATGTTTGCATGTAAAAAGTGTATGCTTATTGATATTTTTGAGCAATTACTCAGAAAATAATATTTTCACCTTGAAATTATGAAAATACTAAACATTAATATTTTAGTTTACACAAACATATGCCTAGTTAGAGCCATAAAAAAAATGCTGGCCGGGCGCGGTGGCTCATGCCTGTAATCCCGGCACTGTAGGAGGCCGAGGCGGGCGGATCACGAGGTCAGGAGATCGAGACCATCCTGGCTAACACGGTGAAACCCCCGTCTCTACTAAAAATACAAAAAAATTAGTCTGGTGTGGTGTCGGGCGCCTGTAGTCCAAGCTACTCCGGAGGCTGAGGCAGGAGAATGGCGTGAATCCGGGAGGCGGAGCTTGCAGTGAGCCGAGATTGCGCCACTGCACTCCCACCTCGGTGACAGAGCGAGACTCCGTCTCAAAAAAATAAAATTAAAAAAAAATACTGCTGTCTCTTTTTAAGAGTATTAAACTAGGACAAAGGTTACTTGACCTAGGAGATTACTCAGCACTGCCTCTACACGGAAATGAAACTGGGGGTTTTGTCTCTGGTGTAACATAAATAACAAAGAATGAGCCATTAGGGACAGGGACTGGGGACTCTGGAATAAACTCCACTCTGTGACAGAGGACAGCTGTTCACTTCCCATAAGGGCAGTTAGACACAAGCTTTTAAGTTTGGCTTTGTGTTTACTTGTTGCTCAATGGGCTTGGGGTGGAGAGAGTACTAGTTCATAATTGGATTTATTTTTGCTCCTCCACAGATTTTTAGTTGTGGCACCAAAATAGCTGTTAGGTTGGTGCAAAAGTCACTGCAGTTTTTGACAAATAAATATGTGAATGAAATATCTGAAGCAATCTGTCTCAGGATTTTTAAAAAATTTGTTAACCTAAAAATTCCAGGAAAACCTTTGACAAATATTTGATCGTTTTCTAGATGGTACCTCATTTTTAGAAATGTAATTGTTATAATTGCATAGCTGATTTTTTTCCCCTAGGAATAGAGACATAGGGGTTGTCAGAAGAGGCAGCATGCATTTTGTTTGTGTGTTTGTTTCTAAGGAGCTTAGCAGCCACCGATCATGAACCGACAGATGCCAGGAAATCCTTTCCTTGTTTTGATGAGTGCAACAAAAAGGCAACTTATACAATATCTTTCACCCATCCCAAAGGATCTGAGGCATTTCAAATATGCCAGTGGCGGTAAGTGTTTTTTAAATGTCTTGTTTGTGCAGAGTCTGTTGACAACATTAGGTCAATTACCTTATTTTCTGTGAAAGAAAACCCATTGAATTCTAAAACTAAATGTGCACTAATAGTTTATTAAGCTGAGTAAAATACATTTTGGCAATATTTTTCTTTGAGTCCTGGAAGTTTTTAAGATACCACAGTCCAGTAAGAAAGCCACATTGGTGTTTCTACACAGGAGACAATGCCATGGACACATACATCAGCTTGAGAGTCGTGACAAATTACAGTAATAGCAAACTAATGGAATTACAGACTTGAAAATATTTGAGGGCTACTCACTATTTAGTTTTCAGGTGAATATAAATCCAGTTTTTTTCGTTTTGTTTTGTTTTTAAGATAAAGCTACTATAAAAAAAACATCACTTAAATACTGGGTTGTGGAAGCAAACTCCAGGGAATACTTTGCCCATAGACTCCTTTGGTGACTGAAAAGTACTTGTTAAATGTCTGGAGAAAAAAATAACAGGCTATAAAAAAGGATGAGTTTTTGTCCTTTGCAAGGACATGAATGAAGCTGGAAACCATCATTCTCAGCAAAGTAACACAGGAACAGAAAACCAAACACTGCATGTTCTCACTCATAAGTGGGAGTTGAACAATAAGAACACATGGACATGTCGGGGGAATATCACACACCAAGGCCTGTCAAGGGCTGGGGGGCCAGGGGAGGGATAACATTAGGAGAAATACCTAATATGGATGACGGATTGATGGGAGCAGCAAACCACCATGGCACATGTATACCTGTGCAACAAACATGCACATTCTGCACATGTATCCCAGAACTTAAAGTATACTAAACAAATAAATTAATTAAGTTAAATTATAAAAAGAGAAAAAATAACATGCTGATAATTTCTGCTTGTCTAAATTATTCATTAACATAAAACACTTTTCTCTGTTATCGCGTCTTATTTCCATAATGGATAATGTTGTTACCCAGAGTTTCATTACCTCAAAGTTGAGGTTTACATACTTTATACATCTGACATGTAAAAGGGTCAGGCTCATCTTTAGGTATAATAATCATTAGGACACAGGCCCCAAATTATGTCTCCCATCTTTCTGATCCACTATTTGAAATATTATCATTAAAATTCATCTTTTTAAATGATAAAATATTCCTTGAAAAAGCAACAGTAAAATAAAGCAAATAAAAGCTTAAGAGGATTAAAATGTACTCTTAGAGGCCATCCATGCTTCAGTGAGAATTAATTATCAACTTGTTTTCTTCTAAGGTTTGATTGGAGAAGAAAGAGGAAAGGATAAACTTAAAATATGACACACCAATCTAGATGAAGGTGGGGGGAAAAATGGCAAATTCACCAACTTCTGCTTGAGATATTCCCTTATGGCCTTTTCACTGTGCAGAGTTACACTTCACCTTCTACTAGATCCAGATAGTAGTTCTGGAAGAAGGAGGATATTCTGGGTTCTTAGGAGATCAAAACTAACACTACTAGGTTTTTATGGTAGAGTAATGTAACCTGGAGCACCACCACAATTATACAAGGGCGTGCACACACATGCTTGAAGTGTCAGCAGCACCCATTCTAGTCCAGCCTCCCTCACTTTATCTCTTTTTAAACCACCTCAAATAGAGTGGCTGCAGGAGATGTGGAAATGTTTAAGTAATGGAAGCAGGAGTTGGGCAAGTATTCATGGTTGAAGTCTTAGGATAGGTGATCGGCAGTGAGGACAGCAGAGCTGACATGGACAAAACAAGCCAGATAGGTCAGTAGTTGTGTCAAGCAATAGAATCCTTCTCTCTGTCCATGGAGACCGAGGCACTGACTTTGGTCATCATACCTTTAGTCTTTGATGTAGACAACGAAAGATGGAAAAGAGAAGCCAATGTTCCACGAAACTGGGTACAGCAATTGCCCTCCTGCACAGTCGAATCAGAAAATACTTGAGCACGAGCCTGTTTTTCATTAGATCAGAGTACTCTCAGATATTATAGTCAGTATGATGTGTTTCGTGTAGACAGATAAACTCCTATTCAACTGACAGTCCAGTCAAGATTTTATTTCTCCCTGAAAAACCTAATACAGTGTGTAATTCAGTCAGTCTTTCACAGTTCTAAGAACAGAGTAAATTTTCCTATAGTCTTATCAACATCACCACAAACAATTTGACCTCTAAGCTTTGACAAAGGACTTCTGACTAGAAAGCAAGGTTTGGGGCAATCGTTTATTTGTTTGTCTTGCATATATATGATTGATCTTTTGATAGATAAAAGTTGATCTTTTCTTTTCTATAGAAACAAGGGTCAGTGGATGAAAAATGGAATCAAACAACTGTCGAGAAGTCTGTCCCCATGAGCATGTACCTGGTGTGCTTTGCTGTACATCAGTTTTGTCCTGTAAAGAGAATATCAAATATTGGAAAACCTGTGAGTCTCATTATATTTTAAAAATTTACCATCAATGCATTTGTAATTTATTTTCTACTTTTTTTTTTTTTTTTTTTTTGAGACAGAGTCTTGCTCTGTGGCCCAGGCTGGAGTGCAGTGGCACAATCTCAGCTCACTGCAAGCTCCGCCTGCCGGGTTCAAGCCATTCTCCTGCCTCAGCCTCCCGAGTAGCTGGGACTACAGGTGCCCGCCACTGCGCCCGGCTAATTTTTTGTATTTTTAGTGGAGATGGGGTTTCACCGTGTTAGCCAGGATGGTCTTGATCTCTTGACCTCATGATCCACCCGCCTCGGCCTCCCAAAGTGCTGGGATTACAGGCATGAGGCACTGCACCTGGCCAATTTTCTACATTTCTGGGGAGTAGTGCTTTTTTTTTTTTCAAACAACATGCCAGAAAATCCCATTAGTCCCCAGGGTCTGTGAACTTGATAATACATAGAACAATATAGAAAAATGACTGAAAGGACACAGGTAAAAAATAAACAAACACAACAGACATAGATATTTATGGCCTTAAATTATTTCAAAGGAAAAATTTGCTATAAGTCAAAAGCTAGCTCCTAAGTATGCCAGCAAAAATACATTAAAATGTTTGGGTATGCCCAGTGTAATAAAATGTTTGAGTATATGTGTACCTCTCCCATATATAGACTAGACAGAGAAGAGGAAACCTGAGGTAAAGGAATATCCTTCGAATGACGAGGCACTGAGAAGTTTATGGCTCCATTCCTATATGTAATCAAAATAGGAGAGCAACTGTGTATCCAAAACCATTTTTTTAAAGCATGATAAAATATAAATAAGCATTTTTTAAAATATGAAGATGACTAGTTCAATAGTTTCCTTTGTTTTTGTTGTTGCTGTTGCTTTTTTTTTTTTTTTTTGAGACAGTCTCGCTCTGTCACCCAGGCTAGAGTGCAGTGGTGCGATCTCAGCTGAATGCAACCTCTGCCTCCCAGGTTCAAGCAAGTCTCCTGCCTCAGCCTCCTAAGTAGCTCAGATTATAAGCGCCTGCCACCAAGCCTGGCTAATTATTGTATTTTTAGTAGAGACGGGGTTTCTCCATGTTGACCAGGCTGGTCTCGAACTCCTGACCTCAGGTGATCCACCCACCTTGGCCTCCCAAACTGCTGGGATTACAGGTGTCAGCCACCATGCCCGGCCTCATTAATGGCTTCTTCAAGTTGTCTTCTGTGCTTTTTTTTCCCCCTGTGGCAATGGGGAAAATTTTTTTTGTATTTTGGGTAGAGACAGGGTTTCACCATGTTGGCCAGCCTGGTCTCAAACTCCTGACCTCAAGTGATCCACCCACCTCAGTCTCCCAAAGTGCTGGGATTACAGGAGTAAGCCACTGTGCCTGGCCTTAATCAGCAATTTTTATTTATTTATTTTACATTAATTTTTTTAAGAGACAGGGTCTCATTTTGTTGCCCAGGCTTGAGTGCAGTGGCACGATCATAGCTCATGCAGCCTCTAACTCCAGGCTCAAGTGATCCTCCCACCTTAGCCTCTGGAGTAGCTGGGACTACAGATGCATGCCACCATTCTTGGCTAATTTTTTCAATTTTTCATAGAGACAGGGTCTCCCTATGTTTCCCAGGCTGGTCTTGAATTCCTGGCTTCAAGTGATTCTCTTGCCTCAGCCCCCTAAAGTGCTGGGATTACAGGCATGAGCCACTGTGCCCAGCCTTTTGTACTCTGTTGAGGTGCTCAGTCATTCTATATTTTCTTGAACATTGCCTTACTTTCTGGCATCATAAAATGTTCTGGGCTCATATTACTTTTCTTGCCCCAGTCCTGGAATCAACCATTTTCCCAGGAAGCTCTGGGTTTGTTTGTTTGTTTTGTTTTTGTTTTTTGGACAAAGGTACATAGAAAACAAGATCTGAATGCTAGGTATATAAAAAGCATTTTGTAACACGTTGTGGAAAAATAGAGAAAAAAATCAGATGAGGGCAGTGTGTCCTCTACGTTTAGCAGAGTGTACTCACTAGACACCCAGTAAGTGTTTGATGTTAGTGTGGCTACACTTGTAACCAAATATAGTCAGTGACAAAAATGCTTCATCTCGACAGTATGGGTAAGGTGACCCACTAGCTCTGCTTACCAGGTATTGAGGAGTTTCTTGGGACACTGGACTTTCAGTATGAAAACCAGGAAAGTCCCAGGCAACCTGGGATGAGTTGGTCACCCTAATATGGAATAGGGTCAGTGAGGAAGGGAAGGAATCAATGTTGGCTGCGTTCAGCAGAGGAACCTTCTGGAGGGTGGGAAGCATAGCTTATGCAGCTCTCTGAGACATCAGGAGTTGCTAAGAATCCCTTTCTCTGCTCCTTAGGCATCTCAGATGCTGTCATTCTCCATGAGTAGCATTTGCAGCATGGACCTCATCCATAGCTTCTGATTCTCTGCCCTATCCTCACTGAGCTCTAAATAATAACTTTGAACCTTTCAACACGGCTCAGATAAGCTGTGATGGGAAACATGGTCTGTGCCAATGGAGCACATGGTTCTGCCAGCGACAGACTGTTCGAGAAAGAGGTGGGAAGTCCAGATGTACAATTACTACTGGGCTTCCAACAGCATCCCATCCGGGGTTTACAGAAGCGCAACTCAATCAACAAAGGTTTTGTTTCAAGCATCACTGTCCACAGCTGCTGTGGCGTCTCAGTTTTTCCTATCAAATATTTTCCAAAAGGGCTGAGTGTGAGGCTGAAGGATCAGAGGAAGAAAGGTTTAGAGATGAATGCATCTTAGGCTTGAGCAGAAAGTCAGTCAAACATCTTGTTAAATCCCCTGCCTTGATGTATTATTGCCCCCATTCTGCAGATTCAGAAACTGAGGCTTCAGAACCATTAATGGTTATGCCCAAACTGCAGCTAGAGAAGGGATGAGAGAACTCTTTCCTCTAAGACTAGCGCTCATTTTTCCACACAAATGCTTCCTCAGTTATGTTCCTAAAACCCACATAATGTGTATAATGAGAAAGTCCTATTAAAAAAATGTTTACTGAATCTAGATTTCCCATCTTATTTGCGCATGAAGCTTTCTTCACCAGATTCCCATTATGAGACCACAGAGAGCTGAGTCTAAGAAAGTCGTCACGGGTGGGGAATTTGAGGTTTTTTTTTAAAAAGAAGTGAAAAATCACAGACATATTAGAAGTACTAAAATACTGTAACCACTCATGAGGGAATTGTTTGGGTTGATAACTCTGTAGGACTGATACAACATAAGGGCATTTTGATTGGCTGAGCCATGGTTTACTTTAGACTACAAAGTACTGTCCCTATCTTTCAGTGTGGCTGTTTCAGTAGTATTTGTTTCAATCCTATTTTTCAGCCAGTGGGTGAAGGACAGCAGTCACATAAAAACTTTCTTCAAGAGATTTCAGGCTTGGCGCAGTGTAATCCCAGCACTTTGGGAGGCCAAGCTAGGTGGATTGCATGATCTCAGAAGTTTGAGACCAGACTGAGCAACATGGTGAAACCCTGTATTTACAAAAAAAAAAAAAAAAAATGCAAAAATGAACCAGACGTGGTGGTGTGTGCCTGTAGTCCCTGCTACTCAAGAGGCTGTGGTGGGAGGGTAGCTTGAGTCTGGGAGGTTGAGGCTGCAGTGAGCCATCTTCATGCCACTGCACTCCAGCCCGGGCAACATAGCAAGACCCTGTCTCAAAAAAAGAGAGATTTTTAGAGACTCTGAGTACACACAGTGTTACTTTGGGGTCCAAAGTGTGTGAGGCAGAGTCACTCAAGAGAGCCAATCTCCTCATCTTGACACAGTCTTTAGTGCAGGGCTGGCCCTTTGAGAATTTGTAGTTGTGGAAGCATTAGGAGATAGCACCTCTGACAAATACCTTGACACTTTGGTACAAGGAACTCCTGCCTATCAGTGATAAATAGAGAGCAATCCCATTTTTTTTTAAAAAAAGAGGAGAGTTGCTATGAAAAGGATATTTGTAGAATGGGAAGCCACCAAGGTTTTGACCATAAGATGAGAGCCCAAGTTTGCTGGTAATTAGAAATAAGACAAATGCAAATTCAAACCACAGTGAGCTACTTCTTCATGCCTACTGGACTAGGTGACAATTAGAGAGCTAGTGGGGCTATGGGAGGCCACATGCTCTGTTGGTGGGTGGGTGGACTGGTACTGCCATTGTGGTGTTACTCATGCAAATTATATATATGTTTACACATGCCTCAGTAATTCCTTGCCTGGTATTTATTTCAGGGTCCATAATGGAACTTGCACAAGGAAGTTTTTTGCATTATGGTTTATGGTGGGGAAGTTGGTGGCAACCTGGGAATTCATTACAAGAAGTGGAGAGGTAGGGATAGGCAGGGGTCATATAGTTTGGATACTTGTCCCCTCCAAATCTCATGTTGAAATATGATCCCCAATGTTAGAGGCAGGGTCTGGTGGGAGGTGATTTGATCATGTATTAGTTCATTCTCACACTGCTATAAAGATATTACCCGAGACCGGGTAATTTATAAATAAAAGAGGTTTAACTGACTCACAGTTCAGTATGGCTGTGGAGGCCTCAGGAAACTTACAATTATGGCAGAAGGGGAAGCAGCCTCCCTCTTCACAAAGTGGCAGGAGAGTGCGTGTGCATAGGAGAAACTGCCAACCATTTATAAAACCATCAGATCTCATGAGAACTCACTCACTATCATGAGGACAGCATGGGGAAACCACCCCCATGATCCTATCACCTCCCACCAGGTCTCTCCCTCAACACCTGGGGATTACAATTCAAGGTGAGATTTGGGTGGGGACACAAAGCCTAACCATATCAGATCACGAGTGTGGATCCCTCATGAATGGCTGAGCACCATCCTTTGGTGATAAATGAGTTCTCACTCAGTTCATGTGAGATCTGGTTGTTTAACAGGGTCTGGAACCTCCTTTTCCCTCTTGCCACGTGTTATGCCAGCTGCCTCTATATCTTCTGCCATGTTTGGAATCTTCTTGATGCCTCACCAGGAGCAGATGCTGGTGCCATGCTTCTTGTACAGCCCACAGAACCACGAGCCAAATAAACCTATTTTCCTTATAAATGATCCAGCCCCAGGTATTTCTTTAAACAACACAAGAACAGACTAACACAAAGGGTAATATTCAGCTGATAGGCATGATACAGCCACACGGGTTGTTGAACTAGTGAAACAGTGTCCTCATGTCATGTGGGTTGATAACCTGCTGCTTCTCAGCCTACTAAATGCCTCTCCATCTCCCCTACAAAGTACCCTAACCTTTCCTGCTGCAGCAATTTAAGATTAAATTCTGAATTTCAGGAGCCTCTGGGACCCAGTTCCAGCCCAGCATTGAGGCTCCCTCCTCATTAGGTCATGTCTGTGTTGTTCAAGGGTTAAATATTTTGTACATTAACTGTGTGGAGGGGTCAACCACAATAAATTTATACAATGGGCTACTAGGCAGTAGTTAGAAGCAATGGCTGTAGATACAAGCTTATATCTTAAAAAACTAGTTCTTATGCAATTGAATTGTTCTATATTATGTCATTTACAAAAATTAAAAATTGCATGCACCCAAACTAAAATGTGCATTTTATAAGAACACATTCAAAAGGTGAGACACACAAACGATACATTAAAATTATTGCTTAGGGAAGAAAAGAGAACTGGAATGAGTTATGGCAATTAAAGGGAGTGAATGAATGAATGAATGAATGAAAACAAGATGGACAGTGCACAGGTCCAGAGGACATATCATGAAGTAAGGAGTATGGCCAACTCAATCATCTTCCCCCGGAGTTCAAAGTGAGAAAGCATTAGCTAAAACATAACACCATGAGCCAGGCACTGTTGAAGGCACTTTGCATATAGTAACTCATTTGATCCTGACAACATTCTCAAGCCTGTCCAGGTCCTATTTGCCTTTGGATCCAGTCCTGGCCATTTCCCTCTCTCTGCTGTATCCTAGCAGTGTTAACGTTGTTCCAGTGGCTTCTGAACCAGCCAACATTGACCAACCAGAGCAGCAGAAGAAAAAGGTGGGAGAGTGGTCCTGCAGCTAGTTGGTAAGCCATCTAAAGGCACACAATGGGGACTGTGTTAATTTCAGAGTGCTGCCATCAGATTTACCACCGATTTAGTGGCTTAAATCAATACAAATGTATTATTGACAATTCGGTAGGTCAGAAAACAAATCGGCCCCACTGTGCTAAAATCAAGGTATCAAGGAGACCATGTTCCCCTTTCTGGAGGCAGTAGGGCAGTGGTCCCCAACTGTTTTGGCACCAGGGACAGAATTCGTGGAAGACAATTTTTTCATGGACCACAAGCAGTTGGTGGGGGTGGTAGTTTCTGGATGATTCAAGCACATTACATTATTATGCACTTTATTTCTCTTATTCTATTATTATATTTTATTTCTATCATTACATTGTAATATATACTGAAATAATTATACAACTTATCATAATGTAGAATCAGTGGGACCCCTAAGCTTGTTTTCCTGCAACTAGATGGTCTCATCTGGGGTTAATGGGAGACAGTGACAGATCATCAGTCATTAGACTCTCATAAGGAGTAGGCAACCTAGATCCCTCGCATGCCCAGTTCACAATAGGGTTAGGCAACCTAGATCCCTCGCATGCCCAGTTCACAATAGGGTTCACATTCCTGTGAGAATTTAATGCCACAGCTGGTGTAACAGGAGGTGGAGCTCAGGCAGGAGTGTGAGTGATGGGGAGCATGTGTAAATTCAGATGAAGCTTCGCTTGCTTGCCCTCCACTCACTTCCTGCTGCTCGGTCCAGTTCCTAACAGGCCATAGCCTGGGGGTTGAGGACCCCTGCCCTAGGTGATCATCTATTTCCTTGCCCTTTTCAGCTTCTAGAGGCTGCTCACATCACATTTCTCTCTTCATAACCCCCTTCTCTGTTTTCAAATCCAGGAACATTGCATCTCTCTCACCATTCTCACATAATCACAGCTCCCTCTCTGACTCTTTTTTTTTTTTTCAGATGGGGTCTTGCTCTGTTGCCCAAGCTGGAGTGCAGTGATACCCAAATCCCAATCCCCAGAACGTGTGGATATGTTATATTACATGGACAAAATGATTTTGCAGATGTGATCAGGGTTAAGGACTTTGAGATGAGGGTATCATCTCAGATTATCCAGGTTGGATATTATCCATCGCTCACTGCAGCCTCAACCCCCTGTGCTCAAGTGATCCTCCCTTTTCAGCCTCCCAAGTAGCTAGGAACTACAGGCATGCACCATGATGCCTGGCTAATTTTTACATTTTTCTTTTGTAGAGACAGTCTTGCTATGTTGCCCAGGCTGCTTTCAATCTCTTAGGCTGAAGCCATCCTCCTGCCTCAGCTTCCCAAAGTTCTGGGATTACAAGTATGAGCCACTGTGCCCAGCCACTCTCCGACTCTGACCTCAGCTGGAAAAGTTTCTTTTAAGGACTCATGTGATTAGGTTGAGCCCACCTGCATAATCTGAGATGATACTTTCATCTCAAAGTCCTTAACCTTAATCACATCTGCAAAATCCTTTTGTCCATGTAAGATAACATATTCACACGTTCTGGGGATTAGGATTTGGGTATCTTTAGGGGACCATTATTCTGCCCACCAAAGAGATGAACAGAAATATTTTGGGGTGAAATGATGCCAAAGGAGAAAGCAGGGTAGAAAACAAGGGAATTTGCCACTGATGTTGGTTTCCATGTGATCTCATGTCTAATTCAAACATTGATGAAATCTGCCAGCATTTGAGCTGTACTTAGAATACAGTCATTTGCAGAAGATCAAAAAAGATCCTGGAAAAAGAATAAGATAATCAAAGGGGTTGAGGGAAGCAGTTCCAGACTCTCAGATTAACTGCAGAGTGGGGAGGGTAGAGGTGGAGAGGGTGGTGTAGGAGGGTTATGGGGGGCAGTGTGAGGGTGGGAGGAGTTGCAGGCTCCCAGATGTACTGTGAAACACGAAAATAAATGAGGTGAAGAGAAGAAAAAGGATGAAAAGTATACATTTCCTTGTCTCTCATAAAAGAAAGCTAAGATAGACTGGGCGCAGTGGTTCATGCCTGTAATCCAAGCACCTTGGGAGGCCGAGGAGGGTGGATCAACTGAGGTCAGGAGTTTGAGACCAGCCTGGCCAACATGGTGAAACCCCATCTCTAGGAAAAATACAAAAAAAAAAAATATCAGCGAGGTGTGGTGGTGGGCACCTGCAATGCCAGCTACTCAGGAGGCTGAGGCAGGAGAATACCTTGAACATGGGAGGTGGAGGCTGCAGTGAGCTGAGATCGTGCCATTGCACTCCAGCCTAGGCAACAAGAGTGAAATTCTATCTCAAAAAAAAAAAGAAAAGAAAAAAGAAATAAAGAGCTAAGATAACTAAGCTCTCCAATAAAAATAGCAAAAACAGCTTTTTTTTTTATTAGAGAGCTTAGTTATGGAGAGGTAATTTTGGTATTAATGTTTTAAGGGAATCCCTAGCAGAATCAAAAACTGTATGTTTGTCTTCCAAATGAGTGACAAAGATGACAACAAGTAGAGCATTGCCCAGACATCAGAAGGCCAAATAGAAGATTCAATAGCAGAATATTAAAATACAGCATGAAATAGACTGACAGAGGCTGGATCCAGGAGGCATTTACACCAGTGATTTGTACCTAACGGTGTAAATTCCACTGCCAAGAAACCAAGACTCTCACACTACAGGACTGTATTTGTTTAACAAATTGCTGCTTCTGAAACATCTCGCTGAAGCTGAATGACCTCAAAAGTCTAAAAGCAAAATTGAGAAAGGCAATATTAATTAAAAAAGAAAAGGTGACTTCCAGTGTAGAAAATAGTAACCTAACATCTAGGGCAAAACTATTGGCCATGACAAGCAGGAAAATTACTTATGATAAAAATCTAAAATCAATAATACAATTTTGAGATTATCAAAGTTTAATTCTTTGAATCAATATAATAAATAAAATACAACCCACGGGAAAGACATGAAAATCATAATTAGAGGATAATTTTTTTTCTTGTTCTTTTTTGAGACAGAGTCTTGCTCTGTCGCCCAGGCTGGAGTGCAGTGACATCTTGGCTCACTGCAACCTCCACCTCCCCTGTTCAAATGATTCTCCTGCCTCAGCTCCTGAGTAGCTGGGATTTCAGGCACCTGCCACCATGCCTGGCTAATTTTTGTATTTTTAGTAGAGATGGGGTTTCACCATGTTGGCCAAGCTGGTCTTGAACTCCTGAACTCAAGTGATCCGCCCACCTTGGCCTCCCAAAGTGCTGAGATTACAGGCGAGAGCCACCTCACTCGGCCTAGAGAATGATTTTGATTGTTCTATGTTAATGACAAATTAAGGACACAAAAATTAAATATGGATATAAATGATATAAACAATGAAAATAAGTTAGATGGAATGAATAGGATAAGTTTTTTTACTTTATTGAAAATATACCTTCTTTTCTTATGTTTGTGATTGTTTATACAAATTGATTATATGATACACACTGAAAGGCACAAAGATTCAAAAAAAAGCATTCAATAAATATAGAATTTTTACAAATATTTTATTAAATAACAGTTGTCTCACAGCTCAAGATTAAAACCACAGATTATTCAGAAAATAAGGAAACTTCTTTTTTATTTTAAAACATTACAGAAACAGGCTGGGGGCGGTGGCTCACCCCTGTAATCCCAGCACTTTGGGACACGGAGGCGGGAGGATCACTTGAGGTCAGGAGTTCAAGACCAGCCTGGCCAACATGGTGAAACCTCTTCACTACTAAAAATTCAAAAATTAACCAGGCATGGTGGCGGATGCCAGTAATCCCAGCTAGGGAGGTTGGAGTGAGCTGAGATCGCACCACTGCACTCCAGCCTGGGCAAAGGAGTATGACTCTGTCTCAGACACACACACACACACACACACACACACACACACACAACCCCTGCCACCAAAACCACTATAGAAATATATATTCAGTCATGCGCCACATAATGACACTTGGATCAGTGATGAATTGTGTCTATGACAGTGGTCCCATGAGATTATAATAATGTATTTTTTGCTGTTTCTTTTCTATGTTTAGATACACAAACACCGTTGTGTTACAGTTGCCTACAGCATTCAGTACAGTCATATGCCGAATAGATTTGTAGCCAGGGAGCAATGGGCTCTACCATATGGCCTAAGTGTGTGGTCGGCTCTACCATCTAGCCTTGTGTAAGCTCACTCTGTGATGTTCACACAATGATGGAATTGCCTAATAAAGCACTTGTCAGAATATATCTGTTTTTAAGTGATGAGTGACTGCAGTGTGGTCAAAGCAGGACTCCAAAATAAATTCTTAGCTTTGAATATTTCATAATAAAATAAAAAGGTGAAAATAAACAAAACGAAGCATTCTAACCAAAATTTAAAAATAAAGAAAATAATTATACTGTCCACTTAAACAACATGAAACCATGAAACCTACCAATAAATGTATTTTAGAAAAGACTAATAGAATAACTAAAATACTAGTTATTTTAGTATAAAATATTATACTAAATATAAAATGAAATAATTAATATTAGTAATATTAATTAGTAAATAAATAGTAATTAATATTAAATAAAATACTAAAATAACTGGGGCTGGTGGTGGTGGCTCACACCTGTAATCTCAGCACTTCTGGAGGCAGAGGTGGGCGGATCACTTGAAGTCAAGAGTTTGAGACCAGCCTGGCCAACGTGGTGAAATCTCTACTAAAAATACAAAAGTTAGTCTGGCCTGGTGGTGCACACCTGTAATCCCAGCTACTTGGGTGGCTGAGGCAGGAAAATTGCTTGAACTCGGGAGGCAGAGGTTGCAGTAAGCAGAGATCATGCCACTGCACTCCAGCCTGGGCAACAGAGTGAGAATCCATCTAAAAAAAAAGAACTAAAACACTAGCAAGTTTCAAAACATGAGAGAAAAAAAAGAGGTGTAACAATAGAAAATAATAATGCACTTTTAATGCATTATTATAAATGCAATTACGAGGTGTACATAATTATATTCTATTAATAATGAAGCATCTTAATGAGATGTATTATTTTTACATAACATAAATTGACAATGGCAAATTGATATAAGATCAAATAAGAATTTGAAATTATACTAAGGAATGAAACAAATGAGAAATATTTAATGTGGGTGTTTTCTGCTCCCTGTCTTTACAAAAAGACAGAAAGCTATAAGATTTATCCTGTAAGGGAGATGTTGCTGTTCCCAATACCTGACCAAGATAACCAAAAGTATATTAGAATAATCTCACTTGTGAATACAAAACTATGTGATTAATAACAGTGTCAGTAAGTAGAATTTAATGATATCTTAAAATAATAATATAAAAGCACAAAGGGTTTATCCCAAGTATAGAAGTGATCAATATTAAGAAAAACATTAATATATTACTATAGCTTATATTACATCTCTGAAAAATGAGTCTATAAATGGATAAATGAGTAGATATTAAAGGGTGTTTTATCAAGTCAATCTATTATTATTTTAAAGTCTTATAAAGACATATAAGAATTAGAGACTACTTCCTTAATATTATCAAGAGTATATTCTAAGCTATTAATAATAATTGACATTATGCTCCAAGGAGAAATAAGCCCTCTAAGGATTTCTCTTCAAACAAAGCACTTAACAAAAGTCCCTTGTCTGCCTTTTTAGTTAATTCACTTTTGAAAGTTATGAGAACTGGCTTTGTGTATCTTGGCTATCAAGGAGGTTAGAGACTCAACTTTCATCTGAAAGAACTCTAAGTATCTGATATAATGTTTGTCCCCTCCAAACCTCATGTCTAAATATGATCCCCAATGTTAGAGGCGTGTGGTCATGGAGTGGATTCCTCATGAATGGCTTGGTGCCCGCCCCAAGGTAATGAGTGAGTTCTTGCTCTGTTAGTTCACTGAAGAGCTGGATGGTTATTTATTTATCTATCTATTTATTTATTTTGAGACAGAGTCTTGCTCTGTCACCCAGGCAGGATTGCAGTGGCATGATATCAGCTCACTGCAACCTCCACCTCCCGGGTTCAAGCGATTCACCTGCCTCAGCCTTATGAGTAGCTGGGGCTACAGGCGCCCGCCACCCCGTCTGACTAATTTTTTATACTTTTAGTAGAGATAGGGTTTCACTGTGTTAGCCAGGATGGTCTCGATCTCCTGACCATGTGATCCATCCGCCTTGGCCCCCCAAAGGGCAGGAATTACAGGTGTGAAGAGCTGGTTGTTTAAAGGAGCCTGGCACCTCCTCCTCTCTCTCTTTCTTGCTTCCTCTCTCTCCATGTGATACACTGGCTTCCCATTCACCTTCTTCCATGATTGGAAGCTTCCTGAGGTCCTCACCAGAAGCAGACACTGGCACCATGCTTCTTGGACAGCCTGCAGAGCCATGAGCCAAATAAACCTCTTTTCTCTCTAAATTACCCAGTCCCAGGTATTGCCTGATAGCACTGCAAAATGGACTAACACAGTAACCTCAAGACACTAGTTCTCTTCCTGCTTCCAGGTGGGGCACCGCTTGCTTTCTCACCAGGTGCTGCTTTGGAAACACAGCACAATGAAAAACAGAAAGCTCGCTTTTACTTCTTAGGGGTTATCTGGTCTGAACCCCCCAGTTTGCATGTGAGAACACTGAACTTCGGAAAGGAAAAGTGAGCTATGTAAGAGCAAACACTTACTGGCAGAGCTAGGGATGAATAATCACAATTTATAGAACACCCGCCACTCACCCCTTGAACAGCCTTAGGAAAAATATTGCACTTCCTATTGCATTCTTTTTTTTGTTTATTTTGGAGATGGAGTCTCACTCTGTCACCCAGGCTGGAGTGCAGTGGCATGATCTTGGTTCACTGCAACCTCTGCCTCCTGGTTTCAAGCAATTCTGCCTCAGCCTCCCAAGTAGCTGGGATTACAGGCACCCACCACCACACCTGGCTTAATTTTTGTATTTTTAGTAGAGACGGGGTTTCACCATGTTGGTCAGGCTGGTCTCGAACTCCTGACCCCAAGTGATTCACCTGCCTCACCTTCCAAAGTGCTGGGATTACAGGACCTACTACATTCTTGCAGGTGAGAAGAGTGAGACTTGGAGGCATTAAACATCTGTCCTAAGATCACCCAGTTAGAAGAAGCAGAGCAGAGCGGACAGAACACCCAGGATAAGTTTGTAATTTTTATTTTTATAACATTTCATAAAATAATGTTAAAATGTTTATATCTCTCTTTTTTTTCTGAGACAGATTCTTGCTCTGTCACCCAAGCTGGAGTGCAGTGGCGTGATCATAGCTCACTGCAGCCTCGACCTCCCCTGCTCAAGCAATCCTCCCACCTCAGCCTGATGAGTAGCAGGGACTACAGGTATGCACCACCACACCTGGCTAATTATTTTTTTTTTATTTTGCAGAGATGGTGGTCTCGATATGTTGCTTGGCTGGTCTCGAACTGGGTTGAACCAATCCTCTTGCCTTGGCCTCCCAAAGTGTTGCAATTACAGGTGTGAGCCACCACACCCAGCCTTGTACCTCTTTTAAATATTTGTTCACTATTTATTCAATGAGTCACATCAGCATATCACCTACCATGTCAAGGGCAAACCAGCAAAGCAGAAGTCCAGAACAGAGACCACATTTCTGATGTATGACATGTTGACATGGCCTAGGACCCTGTCTCTTAATCTGGTTCTGAGACAGTTTTGGATTGGAACTCAAATTTGCTGGTTCCACAGCCTGTGTACTGGGCTATGGCACTCAGAGCTCCTGATTCCTGGACAAATGTACTTTCCTTGCGAACCCCTTTCTGAAAACCAAAACTGAAGATGGCATTATTTTCCCTTCCCAGGTCATTCCAGGGGTATTTCTTGTCCACCTACGTTGTGCAGAGTAATAAGCATGAGACCAGGCAGGCAAGGTCTAGCCTCACCTAGAGGATAAGACCGGGCTGAAACATGCAACTGCATTTTCAGGCTGTGGTTTAATATTTGTCTCTGGAAATTCCAGCCAGGTGGCGCTAGTCTTGACTTCTCTGGCTTCTTTAGGAAGCTTTCTCTTCTGGCTCCTGATGATTGGCTTTCTGTGGGAAGGTGCCTGTAAACTTTCTCCCCATGGACTCTGACCTTGCTGCTTGTAGTCTGATCTTTGCTTTGGTTTCTTTCTTGCAGGAGAAGGCTTCTACTGCACAACTGGAAGAAACCATTGCTTTGGGAATTTTCTATCCTGCAGCCCTTAGCTACCCTTTGCTGGAATGCTGCCACCATGACTGCTAGAGACACTTCGTGGAAGACCGCAGGATGTGCCATCTTTTCTCATGTGGGCCAGGCACAAGCTTCTGTTCATTCAACCTATGGTTTGAAGGTCAACCCTGTGCAGCAACTGTTTAATCTCTAGAAGAGATGCTGATAAAACTTGGAAATGGGCCAAGCGCGGTGGCTCAGGCCTGTAATCCCAGCACTTTGGGAGGCCGAGGCGGGCGGATCACGAGGTCAGGAGATCGAGACCATCCTGGCTAACACGGTGAAATCCGTCTCTACTAAAAATACAAAAAATTAGCCAGGTGTGGTGGCAGGCGCCTGTAGTCCTAGCTACTCGGGGGGCTGACACAGGAGAATGGCATGAACCTGGGAGGCGAAGCTTGCAGTGAGCCGAGATGGCGCCACTGCACTCCAGCCTGGGCAACAGAGCAAGACTCTGTCTCAAAAACAAAAAACAACCCCAAAAAAACTTGGAAATGTTGTAGCTCAGGTATCTCCATTATGATTGAAACCACCTTTGCAAAAAGTATGACAGTGAGAGAAACATGACATAGAAAAATTATGACAGGGAAAGAAATCTGACCTGATTCCATTTTGCTTCTAACCTCCAAGCTGCCTTTGTTCATTCTGGGCATAGACCAACCTAACCATGGGAGAAATTTAATTTACAGTTTGACTTTGAATCAAGGATAATAGGACTCCCTTTCTAAAGCTGAACTCCTGCTTGTCCCAGTACTGAAACCATCTTTGTAAGATCCCTGAAAGACCACGAGATTGGGATTATAGGAGGGGTCTGAAATCTGCTAAGATGTAGGCTTAGTTAAATAATAACCTGCCATTGTTCCATAGCTTGCTTTCTTATAATCCCTAATCATTCAGGATTCATGAATCCAGACTTCACAAGATTTGTGACTTCCCCAATTGCTCATATAGATACCCAAAGGGGGCCTTTTGAGATGTTTTTCAGACTATTGCATTCTTACAACTAACTCCATTTGGACCCATGACTCAGTACTCAACCCAGTCCTGTGGTCCCCACCCAAAGGCTGACTCAGCTCACGAGGACAGTTTTCCACACCCCTATGATTTTATCTTCAACCAATAAGCACTACCCATTGCTTAGCCCCTCCCGGCCAAATTATCCATGAAAACCCTAGCTTCCAAGCTTTCAGGAAGACTGATATGAGTAATAAACTCCTATCTCTTGCTTAGCTGGCTCTGTGTTTATTAAACGCTTTATTACAATACTTCTGTCTCAGTAAATTGGCTCTATCTGTGCAGTGGGGGATAAGAAGCCATCAGGCAATTACACGATTACTCCTTAATACTTAACCAACAGCAATACTCATAAAGCACTATTTCTAAATATTTATTCAACACAATCCCCAGAGGCCCAGTGGCATGAACCACAACACTCAAGTTCTTCAAACTGATACCTTAAACTTTTTGGGCTTTATTCACTTCCCACATATGATGGAAATCAAGTTTCACAGCTTCCCTTTAGGAAGTTGAAATTATTTCTGATTCATGCTGTAACTGCATCCAGTTCTCTCTCCTGCAGTATTTTTTCCTCAAGCCAAACGGGGCTTGTTGTGTTTTATCCTCATTCACACCATGTATTTCTACACTGTCACCCCTTTGTCCAAGCCATTCTTTTTGCCTGACATGCCCTTCTCATGGATGGATCTCTGCCTTCCCACAGTCCACTTATGCTTCAAAACGCCTCTAAAAATAAAAATATCAAAAAGACACCTGCACTTGTATGTTTATTGCAGCATTATTCACAATAGCAAAGATGTGGAATCCACCTAAGTGCCTATCAAGGGACGATTGGATTTTAAAAATGTGCTATGTAGAAACCATGAAATACTACTCAGCCATTAAAAAGAATGAAATAAAATCATGTCTTTTGTAGCAATGTGAATGGAACTGGAGGCCATAATCCTAGGTGAAATAGCTCAGGAACAGAAAGCCAAACACCGCACAGTCTCACTTGTAAGTGGGAGCTAATCAGTGCATACACATGGTCATACAGAGGGAATAACAGACATTGGAGACTACGAAAGGTGGGAGGCTGGGAGGGGGTGAGGACTGAAAAAGTACCTATTGGGTGTAATGTTCACTATTTGGGCGATGGGTACATGAAAAGCCCAGACTTCACCACTCCACAATATATTCCCTAAGAAACCTGCACTTGCACCCCCTAAATACATAGAACTACAAACAGAATTTAACCCAAAACCAACAGAAAAGCACAAAATGCTTCCAAATGCCAAATGTTTTATGCTGTGCTATGGAGCTGCGTGGTGTGGGGAACACATTCAAAATTCAGAGTTTTCATGTCTCCCTCAGCGGGTACTTTCTGCTGGGCTCCTTCTTGTCTCTGACAACCCGGATGCATGGAGAGTTCACACACGCACACACACACACACACACGTGTATAAATACATATACACATATTTATTACTACACATATACATATTTATAACTACATATATACATATATTTTTTTCACATGTCTATATCTGTCTGCTTGTCTATCCATCTCTGTATCCATCTACTTCTATTTATCCCTATCCATCTATCTATCCATTTCTCTCCATCTATACATATCTATTTATGTATCATGTATCCATCTATTGATCTATATCTATCTCTCCCTATCCATCTATCCATATATCTATCCATTTTTCTCTCCATCTATACATATCTATATTTATCATCTATGTATCCATCTATTCCTCTGTATCTGTCTATGTATCTATCATCTATCTATCTATTCCTATTCATCTGTTTCTTTCTCCATCTATACATATCTATCATCTATCTATCTTCTACTTATCTATTTGTCTCTCTACGCCTATCCATCTATTTCTCTCTCTCCATCTATACTATCTATCTATCTAGCATCTATCTATTTCTATCATCTATCTATCTATCGATCAATCTATCTATCTCACTTATTCTTCATGGCATGGCTTTGTGTCTTTTATCTTTAATTGATTCCAACAACACTCTGGGAATGAATGAACACACATGTTAAATAAATAAGAGAATGTCCCAGGATGCTACTGTCTGATTTTCTTCCAGGCCTATTGGCTGGTTGGGCCCATGCATGTAATGTCAAGGTTGGATATCTTGGCTGCTACGACATATTCCATTTGAGGAATAATTTAGAAATGTGGGCGCAAGATAAAAATGTCAGTCTGGCTCCTGGTTAACGGGTGTTTCTAATTAAGCCACGATATACAGTGCTCACAGCCAAATAACAGTGTGGCTCCGGCGATAACTCACCAAATAGTGTGTTGTCTTCATTATCTCATTCCCTGACATGTCCCTGATGAGTTTATAAATCCCTGTGGAATCATGGCCTTGATCTCTTTAATGAGGCCTTTAAAAACTGGGGCAAAATTATAGCAGCAGATAAGGTTGGCTCCGCTGTAGACCTACTTCATAAAGGTTTCTCCTCCCCCTAGTGAAATAAACACCATTTGCTAGACCCAGGAGTTTAATTCCATGTGAATTGGTCAGGGCATATGATTGAGTTAATTCTTCAAGCAGCAAAAGAATATTAAAAGTAGTTTCTGTCTTCCCTGACCTAGTGGGTAACTAGGTAACTAGAAATGGAAATATTCCTTTGCTCTAGTAAAGAGAAGGGTAGAGGACAATGGTTCACGCCTGTAATCTCAGCACTTTGGGAGGCCGAGGCAGGTGGGTCACCTGAGGTGAGATTCAAGACCAGCCTGGCCAACATGGTGAAACCCCATCTCTACTAAAAATACAAAAATTAGCTGGGCAAGGTGGCAGGTGCCTGTAATCCCAGCTACTCAGGAGGCTGAGGCAGGAGAATCACTTGAACCCAAGAGGCGGAGGTTGCAGTGAGCCAAGATGACACCACTGCACTCCAGCCTGGACGACAGAGTGAGACTCCATCTACAAAAAAAAAAAAATTGTACTTTTCGTAGAGGTGGGGTTTCACCCTGTTACCTAGGAAGGTCTCACACTCCTAAACAGCAGTGGTGTGATCACGGCTCACTGCAGCCTTTCCAGTAATTTTTCTGCATTTAAAAAAAACAGTTGAGGGCTGGCACAGTAACTCACACCTGTTAGCCCAGTACGTTGGGAAGCCAAGATGGGAGGATTGCTTGAGGTCAGGAGGTCGAGACCAGCCTAGTCAACATAACAAAACCACATCTCTATTTAAAAAAAAAAGAAAATAAAAAGAGGCTGGGCGCAGTGGCTCATGCCTGTAATCCCAGCACTTTGGGAGGCCTAGGCAGGTGGATCATCTGAGGCCTAGGCAGGTGGATCATCAGCTTGGGTGACGGAGTGAGACTTCGTTTCAAAAAAAAAAAAAAAAACAAGGCTGGGTGCAGTGTCTCACGCCTGTAATCCATATAGTAGCAAACTTTTAAAAAAAAATAAACCTTTGTTCCTATTTCAGATTGAGGTCAGGAGTTGGAGAGCAGCCTGACAAACACGGTGAAACCCCGTCTCTACTAAAAATATAACAACAACAAAAATTAGCTGGGCCTGGTGGCACGTGCCTGTAGTCCTAGCTACTTGCCAGGCTGAGGCAGGAGAATCACTTGAACCCAGGAGGTGGAGGTTGCAGTGAGCCGAGATTGCACCACTGCACTCCAGCCTGGGATACAGAGCAAGACTCCATCAAAAAAAAAAAAAAAGAAAGAAGAAAGAAAGAAAGAGAGAGAGAGGGAGACAGAGGGAGGGAGGGAGGGAGGGAAAGAGAGAGAGAGAGAGGGAGACAGAGGGAGGGAGGGAGGGAAAGAGAGAGAGAGAAAGAAAGAGAAAGAAAGAAAGAAAAAGAGAAAGAGAAAAAGAAAGAAAAGAAAGAAAGAAAGAAAACATAACAGTTGAGGTTAAATAAAGTAAATTTTTAATTTTTTTCACTTAGTATATCATTACTATCTTCTCTTACAATTAGAAATTTATAAAGTTTTTTAAAATGCCTACACAATAATCCTTTAGGTAAATCAACATAACTTACCAATTAATTTTTTATTGTTGAATGTTTCAGTTTCTTGAAACTTTTCCATATAATGGCCCGGGCATGGTGGCTTTACAGGTGGGATTATGCCTGTAGTCCCAGCACTTTGGGAGGCCAAGGTGGGCGGATCACGAGGTCAGGAGATTGAGACCATCCTGGCTAACACGGTGAAACCCCGTCTCTACTAAAAATATAAAAAATTAGCCAGGCGTGGTGACGGGCGCCTGTAGTCCCAGCTACTCGGGAGGCTGAGGCAGGACAATGGCGTAAACTCGGGAGGCAGAGATTGCAGTGAGCTGAGATTGCACCACTGCATTCCAGCCTGGGTGACAAGAGTGAGACTCCGTTTCAAAAAAAAAAAATCCATATAGTAGTGAACTTTTAAAAAAATAAATAAATATTTGTTCCCATTTCAGATTGTTTTCTTGCACTGGGATCAAGCTGAAAGTATTAACAATCAAAATACTTAGAATTTTGTTGATGAGTTAATGCTAATTATTTCTCAATCTCTACCACTTTTGGGCATGAGCCACCATGCCCGGCCAAAACTCCATTTTAAAAGCCCAATTTTTCACTTCCATTTGCTTCAGTGTTTTTCATCTGTTAAATGGAGTTAATAACAACACCTGCTACATCTACCTCTGGTGATTGTTTTTAGATATGTGATGAAGGGCTGGATGCAGTGGCTCACACCTGTAATTCCAACAATTTGGGAGGCTGAGGTGGGAGGATCACTTGAGCCCAGGAGTAAGACCATCCTGGGCAACACACACCGCATCTCTACTAAAAATTAAAAAAAAAAAATTAGCCCTTCATGGTAGCACACGATTGTAGTCCCAGCTGGTAGGGAGGTTGAGGCAGGAGGATCACTTGTGTGTTCGCTTTCCTAGCTAGTTGCTGTGGAAGGAGAATGCTTTCTTCATGGCCTCATCTGTCATTTCGTGTCCCTCTGAAGAAAACTAGTTTCCACTGTGTAACAGGCAGGCATGAAACTATCTAAAGCACAGTTCAGTCCTAAAAGGTCTGAGAGAACCGAATGATGTACTAGGTGAAGCAGTGCATTGTGGGAATCACAAAGCAAACAGTACTCCAGAAAGACAAATATCAGAAGCTTCCCCTTCCATTTTTTTTCTTTTTTTTTTTTTGAGACAGTGTCTTACTCTGTTGCCCAGGCTAGAGCGCAGTGGTGATCACAGCTCACTGCAGCCTTAAGCTCCTGGGCTCAAGCAATTCTCCCATCTCAGCCTCCTGAGTAGCTGGGACTACAAGTATGCACCACCATGCCTGGCTAACTTTTTGAATTTCTATAGTAATGGGATCTCACTATGTTGCCCAGGCTGGTCTCGAACTCCTGGCCTCAAGCAATTGTCCCACCTCGACCTCCCAAAGTGCTGAGATTACAGGTGTGAGCCACCTCACCTCGGCCCCCTTCTCCATATGCCTCCAGAAACATGTCCCTGGAGAGTAGCCTGCTCCCACACTGTCACTGGCTGTCATGGGGCCAATAAAATCTCCTGCGATTGTGTATCTCAGACATTTCTGTGTCTTTCATCCTCACCCTGGGACCCTAAAGGCAGAGGGCCCGAGTGTCAGTAACTCTGGTCCTCCCCTAAAGAGAAACGGAGATGGTGGCTCATCTAGGAAGTGGAGGAGCAGGGGGTTCCTGGTTCTCAGGCCACGTGTGATCTCTGCCCACCCAGGGCCTGCCCCAGCCTGCAGGTATTGCTGTGTGGTGGGAATACCCGCTTCCCTTGTGCATAGCCTTTGAGAGGGGATCGTGGCCTCAGCTTCACGGGTTCCTGGCCAGGGCCAAGCGCTCCTTCTGCAGAGGCCTGCATGCATCCTACCCCTTTGACTTGTATTTCCGTGGCTTCCCCTCCCCACCTGCCCCCCAGCCCTCCCTGACTGGCCAGCCCCTCAGTAGTCCTCCTCGGCCAGGGAGAGCAGCACGGCCTTGGGTGTGTTCTTGAAAAGGGTTGCCCAGCTCTGCTGCTGCTCCTTCCTCACCCAGGGGCCATAGATTCAGAAAGCGTAGGCGTCGATGAGCCGGCGCAGAGGCTGGAGGGTGTAGGGGTGGGTCTCGGATGACGATCTCCCGGGTCACCGGGTTCACCCGGTGGTACTGGTAGTAGCTCCGCACTGAAGCCACCACAGTCAGAGCGATCACCTGAAGGCCACGCGGAGAAGCTGGGCTGCAGCCCCCGCCCTGCCAGGCCCTGCCCCTCCAGCACAGGACTCTCTGGGCTCATTTGCCACGAAGCCTTCAGTGGCTTCTGCGGGGCCCTCCTAGTGTCCCCCACTTCCCACTTGGCCAGCATCCTCAGGGACGGAGCCAGTGGGCTGACACCTGCCATCTCTGAAGCCATCACAGGGCGGCTGGGAGGGGAGGGGTGGGTACTCTGGAAACCCGCGGGGTATAAGGACCCCTGGGGGAGGAGACGGCTTAGAGGTTTGCACTTGGGGAGCTGGCGGCAACTGCCACAGGGTCTGGGTCAGGAGGCTTCGTACCTTGAACTTCCCCCGGGGGCTGAAGTGCCGCACTTCCTCCACCACGTACTGCAGGAAGAATGGGTGTGCCAAGGCCTCTTCCGCTGTGCAGCAGCTCTGGGGTTGCACCAACAGGAATCGGGAGACCTGGGAGGGAAGGAGAGGGTACCCGAGAAACTTAAGGCAGGTCCCCTCCAGCATGTCAGGAGAGGCGGGGCCTCCCTGGGCAAGGGAGCCTGGCATCGCAGCCCTGAGCCCAGGAGCCAGTCGGCCTTCTCTCTCACCAGGTCCTTCATGGTGTCTGAGTAATCATCCTACTCAGGCGACCCAAACTGGTAGATGCTGCTCATGATCATCCTCAGCATCAGCATCTGCTTCTGGTGCCAGAAGGGTGGGGAGCCAGCCAGCAGCATGTACATGATGACGCCCGTGCTCCACCTGGACGTGAGAGGGCCCAGGGCCACTTACCCAGTGCCAGGGGCACCGACCCAGCCCTGCCTGCTTCCTCCCTCGCCCAGCCCAGGCGGGTGATCCTCCTCCTGGCGCACTCACATGTCCCCTCCTTCCGTAGCCCGGATGGTCCTCATTCATGGAGCACTCCATGATCTCAGGGCCAGGTAACTGGGGGTTCTGCAGACCTCTGCAGGAACAGTCATCATCAGGACAGGTCAGCAGGGCGCTCAGAAGAGGAAGTCCAGGACAGGCGCAGTGGCTCATGTTTATAATCCCAGCACTTTGGGAGGCCGAGGCAGGCAGATCACCTGAGGCCGGGAGTTAGAGACCAGCCTGGCCAACATGGCAAAACCCCATATCTACTAAAAATACAGAAATTAGCTGGGTGTGGTGGCACATGCCTGTAGTCCCAGCTACTCAGGAGGCTGAGGTAGGAGAATCGCTGGAACCTGGGAGGTGGAGGTTGCAGGGAGCCGAGATCACCCCACGACACTCCAGCCTGGGTGACAGAGTGAGACTCCGTCTCAAAAAACAAAACAAAGCAAAAAGTGGAGTCAGCTGAAATACATTTTCAAGTGTAATTTTTTTTTAAAGTTGATGAGATCCTTCTTAATAATATATGCCTCATATTAATGGCAGGTGTTTTTAATATAGTTGCTTCTGATCTCCTGAGCACACCCAGTGTCAGTGACTACCCTGAAACAGCATACCAAATGTGTGTTTGTGTTTGCCAGTATTCTTCCGGTGAAAGGGTCCAAAGCTTTTGCTAGATTTTCAAGGAGTCTATAATTCCCACTGTCCCCTAACACCCCAAAAATCTTTTTTAGGCTCCAGAAAAGAAAAAATCTAAAAATGATTTTTAATTGCTAACCTTTAGTAACTGAATATGTGTATTTAAGCAACTTAATATTATTCAACAATATAACTGTGATTGTAAATACATTAAATTAGAAATCAGAGAGAATTAAATATCTATTCCTACTTACATAACTCATCTATAAAATGTTTATTTTACTTTATCCTTGGGAAGGAGCAGGTAATTTTGCCACCTAAATTATTATTTAAATAACTCTAGGGGGAAAATAAGAGACTGCAGGGAAAACATGCAATGATGTTTCAAAATCTTCTTTTAGGCTGGGCACAGTGGCTCACACCTGTAATCCCAGCACTTTGGGAGGCCGAGGCAGGCAGATCACAAGATCAGGAGTTCGAAACCAGCTTGGCCAACATGGTGAAACCCCGTCTCTACTAAAAATACAAAAATTAGCTGGGCATGGTGGTGCAAGCCTGTAATCCCAGCTACTTGGTAGGCTGAGGCAGGAGAATTGCTTGAACCCAGGAGGCAGAGGTTGCAGTGAGCCAATATTGTATCACTGAACTCCAGCCTGGGTGACAGAGCAGGACTCCATCTCAAAGAAAAAGAAAAAAATCTTCTTTTAAATTCAAAATTTAAATATTAAAAATCCCTGTATAGTAAAAACTGCTATGTCTTTGGAAAAACAATCCCCCGCCTTACATGCCTTCAACTGTATCAAATCTAAAGGAACAAAAATTAGTGATTTAGCGCATTTAAAGTAAAGCATGCTAAAAGCTTCAATTAAAAGCAAATGCATAGCTTTCACAATTAAATTACTAAGGTATGTGCCCTAAATAAAAAAAAAATTACAGTAAAATTTGCTAAAGCTAATTTATTTCCCAAATTACTTTCATAATCATTACACTAAATCACTATGAAAATAAATATGCTGTGCGATTGTCTTCTGAAAGTCTGTTCAAAGTTCTAAACCTGCTAAATGTGTGTACTTTCTAAAAGAAATCTGCAATATCTAACAGCTAAGATACTGTAAGATTTTAGCCTTGTAAAAATAATCTGACCAAATATACTCAAATACCGTGAAAAAATGTTCATTCATGCATATTTAAAATGAATTTTTTGAAGTCTCTCACCAGTAAAAATTATCTTTCAAATTTTTAACTTTTAAACTAACACCTCACTTCTAGTCATCTTGATTAATTTTTAAAAAATCAAAACAAACAATTGTGCTTACAATATAGAAAATGTAGGGAGATCACTTTTTGTCTTCACATTTACTATTTTGTTCCAAGTAAAACCTTTTATTAAATGGCTGGAAAAACCATTTCAGTTATATCATTGTCTGCCTGCTTTTTAATAGGAAACTCTTACCCACACACATATAGTAGTAAAGCTTACAAACCTACCAGCGAAATTAAAAACCCAGACAAAGTAATGGAAAAAGCCTAGTAAAACAAGAAAAAGAAAATGGTAACAACATAACCTGAATATGAAACTAAATCCCCAAAGATTTAGCTCCTTCTAGGGTTGTCTTTATAAGGTTAAAATTCTTGCAAGCCACACCCCTTCATGTGACCAATAAAATTAGAGCCACCACAGAAGGATGACCTAGTCAAGTTCTACTTTGCTGCATTACACATGACCCACATTTGGAGTGTAATAAAAGACAATCATGTTTCATTTAAATTATGTGTGGTGGTCTTTCCTAAAGAACACAGTAAGCAAGTAGATTTACATACTTTTGCTCCAGTGGTTAGTAGGTCACTACGTGCAAAATTTTCCAAAGGAATTTCACTTAAATAATTTCAAAGATCAGCAGGGTGCGGTGGCTCACGCCTGTAATCCCAGCACTTTGGGAGGCTGAGGTGGGTGGATCACGAGGTCAGGAGATTGAGAGCATCCTGGCTAACACGGTGAAACCCCGTCTCTACTAAAAATACAAAAAAGTAGCTGGGTGAGGTGGTGGGCGCCTGTAGTCCCAACTGCTCGGGAGGCTGAGGCAGGAAAATGGCATGAACCTGGGAGGCGGAGGTTGCAGTGAGCCAAGATTGCTCCACTGCACTCCAGCCTGGGTGACAGAGCAAGACTCCATCTCAAAAAAAAAAAAAAAAATTTCAAAGATCAATAAAAATTTCCAAAAATTTTGAGTAATAATGGTTGCCAACATCTTGTTTTGCCAAGTAAGAGTATTAAAACCAAACATAAACAAAACTCCAACTACTATCATTATAATTTCATGAAAGGACACTTGAATAAAGAGTAAAAGATACATCTGAGTAAGTTTAATTTTTTAAAACAACTTGAAATTTTCAGAAAATTGTCTTTATTTCTATTTAGATCAATGAAAACTCTTGTCATGTATCAAGAATTCTGAGGATCTACCTTTGAAACTTGTATTTTTAGTCATTCACTTATAAAGTTTTCCCAAGATGACTGATGGAGAAGGCTATAAAGAAGAGAAAAATAAATTAACATAAAGGAAAGAGAGACTAGGGTTTGCCCCAACTTGGAGCAAGGTATCTATTGTCACAATTGGTACCAATGATAGACATCAGTTCTGAAAAAGAGTCACCAATCAAATGTGACTTTAAGTAAAGGGTACAAGGAAGATCAAGGAAAAAGGAGGCAGATAAAACTTCAAGAAGGACATTTAGCAAACAGAATAAAAAAGAGATGGCCCTCCTCTTATTGGGGATCACTTCCTTTAAGAGATCAGCAATCTGGATATGACCAACTCTTCTCCCCTTTCCTTTACAAACCCTTGCTGAATTTTCTTTGATTTCAGAGGTTACCATTTCTGTGGCTTCCAACCACCCACTAACCTCCATACAGGGATGCAAGATACATTCTCTAAGGATATAAGAAGCACTTAGATGGCTCCATACTTTCTTTGTCAGAAACAGGTAATTACTGGATAGCTGCTAAGAATAGCATCCACTTCTCCAGATCTAACCTTGAGACGAATTATAGCTGACTGGACAAGTTCAGCTAGTCTTCAGATTTAAACCACACAATCTAATTCTTCAGATTTAAACCACACAATCTAATTCTTGTTTTAAGTCCCTCTAAAATAGAATTGTTCTAGGACTCTTGACATAAAAGAAAGGCACATTTTCAGACATCTACACTTATATTTTTAATTTTAATTTTAATTTTTTATCTTGTTTATTATACTTTAACTTCTAGGGTACATGTGCACAACGTGCAGGTTTGTTACATATGTATACATGTGCCATGTTGGTGTGCTGTACCCATTAACTCGTCATTTAACATTAGGTATATCTCCTAATGCTATCCCTCCCCCCTCCCCCCACCCCACAACAGGCCCCGGTGTGTGATGTTCCCCTTCCTGTGTCCATGTTTTCTCATTGTTCAATTCCCACCTATGAGTGAGAATATGCGGTGTTTGGTTTTTTATTTCATGTTTCAATAGACTCTACAGTTTGCCCAAAACTACCTCAGAAAATTTAGATATAAGATAAATTGATCTACAGTCATGCATTGCTTAAAAATTGAGGCACATTCTGAGAAATTCATGTGTCATTGTGGGAACAACACAGAGTGTACTTACACAACCCTAGATAGTATAACCTACTACACACTTAGGCTCTATGGTATGACATCATAATATTATGGGAATTTGTCGTATATGCAGTCAGTCATTGACTGAAACATCGTTATATGGCACATGAATGTATTTTACTATTCAATATCTAACATCTTTAAAACCAAAGTGTGGCTTATATTTTAAAACCAAAGTGTGATTAGCACTTTGTGAAGCATACATTGCCAAAGATCAATTTAAGTATAAATTTTCAATAGGTTCACCTTCCATGCCAAAATTCTTGCAACTCTCAACCCCTCGTCACTACCACTGTCAAAGAATATATTGTTATGGAGAGTCACATGAGAGCAATACAGAAAGAACATTAAAAGAAGCCTAAACTCACACCTGCTTACTTCACTTATTTAAACATTAGTCTTTCTTTTCAGTTATTCATGGATATGTACTGAGCTATGAGGAAAAGCACCTTACTCTGCTAAAGCACCATAAGTTGTTAATGATTTTTAAAGAAAAATTTAACAAAAATATTCTTTGAAATTGCTAACATTTTCAAGACAATGTAAGATACAACCAATAGATAAAACTTCTAAGTGATTTCTTTCAGATTCAGTATGTGTTATTCAATGAAGTAGTAACAATCTAATTTATCAAATCATATCAAATATCTATTCCAATTACAGACATTCCCCAGTTGGTTTTATCTTCTGAAATGTTTATTTTCCTACTTATTATTAACATAAAATATTATGCTAGCTCCTGGAGCAATTTGCGTTTTAGCAATGCAAACATTTTTTATATTTGCATAGGCAAAGTATGGTCATGATTCCTCTCTTTAAGAGATATATTTCCAGTAGAATTCTATTTGTGTTTTCACCTGGGATATAGTTTGACTCACGTATCCACACAGTAGAATTTTGTATATGCAGAAAAAAACTTCATGATACTGTAAAGTTTACAATTTTTCTCTGAATTATCTTACCTGCATCCAACAGCACTACTTTAAAAAGCCTTATATGGCCAAGCACAGTGGCTCACGCCTGTAATCCCAGCACTTTGGAAGGCCGAGGCAGGCGGACCACGAGGTCAGCAGATCGAGACCATCCTGGCTAACATGGTGAAACCCGTCTCCACTAAACAAAATACAAAAAATTAGCTGGGCGTGATGGCAGGCGCCTGTATTCCCAGCTATTCGGGAGGCTGAGCACAGGAGAATGGCATGAACCCGGAGGTGGAGCTTGCAGTGAGCTGAGATCGCACCACTGCACTCCAGCCTGGGCGACAGAGTGAGACTCCGTCTCAAAAGAAAAAAAAAAGCCTTATATTTGAGACACGGGGACAAATAAACAATTCCTTATATCTACAACATAACAAACATTTTAAAAATATATTGAATAAGTACATATATTTAACAAAAAATATGTACTGGTAGTATTTTAACATAAAAATTATCAGTAGCTTTGTGTATGTGTTTCTTTTAATGAGTTAAAAAGTTCATCGTTACTGATAATGAGTTTAAAGTGAATTAAGATTTTATGAACAATATTCACTATGATGGATGCTTACATTTTTTGCCAAAGTTGCTCAATAAAGATTTTGCTCAAAAGAGATAAAAAGCCTTCCTTTTGTTCACATATTGAGGCTTACCTCAAACAGAATCTTGTATTTTAAATATTTAAGAAGGGACATTTTTCTATTCCATTATAAGGCATGTTAACCACTATGGAAAACACTATAGCTACTTTCAGAACTTGTCTTTCGTATACATGTAGTTGATCCTTTAGGATTTTCGTCTAATGGTAGATAACACCTAGCTACAAATGCCCATTATTTAAAATGGTTTTGTAATACAGATACGCACTGCATAATGACATTTCAGTCAACAAGGGACTGCATATATGATGGTGGCCCCTAGGAACTGAAAAATTCCTGCTGCCCGGTAGCATCTTGATGATCTTGACCCTGAGTAGGCCTAGGCTAATGTGTAAGTTTATGTCTTTATTTTTAACAAAAAAAAAGTTTGAAGTGAAAAAAGAAAGAACTTTTAAAATAGAAAAAAGCTTATAGAATAAAGATTATAAAGATAATATTTTTGTACATCTGTTCAATGTGTTTCTGTTTTAAGCTAAGTGTTACTACAAAAGAATCAAAAAGTTTTTTAAAATTTAAGTTACTATAAAAGTTACAGCAAAATAAGATTATTAAAGACAAATTTAAAAAATAAATTTAGTATAGCCCAAGTGTACAGTGTTAATAAAGTCCACAGTAGTGTACAGTAATGTCCTAGGCCTTCACATTCACTCACCACTCACTCACTGACTCATCCAGAGCAACTTCCTGTCCTGCAAGCTCCATTCACAACAAGTGCCCTATACACATATCCCATTTTTAATCTTTTATACTGTATTTTACTGCACCTTTTCTATGTTTAGATACACAAATACTTAACATTATGTTACAACTGTCTATGACATTCAGTACAGTAACACGCTATATAGGTTTATAGCCTACAAGCAATAGCTAGAGCACATAACCTAGGTGTGTAGAAGGCTCTACCATCTAGGTTTGTGTAGGTACACTCTATGATGTTTACAGAATGACGAAATAGCCCAATGACACATTTCTCAGAATATCCCCATTGTTAAGTGACATATGGTGTAATTATGATCTTCAGTAATGACAAATTTTTTAAAAGGAGGGCACAGACATGGTTACCAGCTTCCTCACACATCTCTTTTTTCGACCCCCACATAAAAACACCACAGCTTGAGATACAAGCTCAATAGGACAAAGCTACACAATTCGTAGTCACTTACACCACTCTAACAACCAAAAGAAGAAACCAAAACTCCAGCTAATTTACTCCCTGGAATAGGATTAGAGAAGGTAAGCAAGAATAAATTCATCTACATATTCCTTTTATTAAAGCCTGTCCTTTGTTTCCACACAATCTGTAAGTGAAAACTCCATCAAAATGGTTCATTCAAAAAAGTGTCTACTATTAACAAAGCATAACAATATACATTTATGCTGTTGTGCATAGAGAACATTATCCAAATTTTCTACTGAGGAGCCAGGAGAAATTTAATGAAAATGAAACAATATGATTATTGACTACAGAAAGAATACCTTTTTTGGAGAAAAAATATATACTTACTTAGTCAGCTGCCCTTTATTCTTGTTGTTATCAACTCCATTGTAAGTCACAGCTGCCAGTTTTCTGCTTCCATAGTTCTCGCAGTGGACATTGTTAGTAACATCTTTCAAGTCCTGCATGTGTGTTCTGTCATAAATAAACAGCAAGAGTTTGCTTCTGTTAATAGCTAGGGGGCATAAAGCTAAAAAAGCTTTAATATAAATTCAAAATTTTACCAAAACAAAAATTTCAGATTTAAAATTAACAAAAGACTATTGTTAAGGAAGGTAGCATTCATCTGTTTTCATTTACACTCAAAGTAGACCAATAAAAAATAAGCTAACTTGACACCAAATTTAGATTCCATAGAGATTTTAAGACCCATAGCAAGGACTTCATGACTAAAACACCGAAAGCAGTGGCAACAAAAGCCAAAATTGACAAATGGGATCTAATTAAACTAAAGAGCTTCTGCACAGCAAAAGAAACTACCATCAGAGTGAACAGGCAACCTACAGAATGGGAGAAAATTTTTGCAATCTACCCACCTGACAAAAGGCTAATATCCAGAATCTACAAAGAACTCAAACAAATTTACAAGAAAAAGCAAACAACTCCATCAAAAAGTAGGCAAAGGATATGAACAGACACTTTTCAAAAGAAGACACCTATGCAGCCAACAGACACATGAAAAAATGCTCATCATCACTGGTCATCAGGGAAATGCAAATGAAAACCACAATGAGATACCATCTCACACCAGTTAGAATGGCAATCATTGAAGTCAGGAAACAGCAGATGCTAGAGGGGGTGTGGAGAAATAGGAACACTTTTACACTGTTGGTGGGAGTGTAAATTAGTTCAACCATTGTGGAAGTCAGTGTGGTGATTCCTCAAGGATCTAGAACTAGAAATACCATTTGACCTAGCCATCCCATTACTGGGTATATACCCAAAGGATTATAAATCATGCTACTATAAATCATGCACACGTATGTTTATTGTGGCACTATTCACAATAGCAAAGATGGAACCAACCAAAATGTCCACCAATGATAGACTGGATTAAGAAAATGTGGCACATATACACCATGAAATACTATGCAGCCATAAAAAAGGATGAGTTCATGTCCTTTGTAGGGACATGGATGAAGCTGGAAACCATCATTCTCAGCAAACTATCACAAGGACAGAAAACCAAACACTGTATATTCTCACTCATAGGTGAGAATTGAACAATGAGATCACTTGGACACAAGGCGGGGAACGTCACACACGGGGGCCTGACAAGAGGTGGAGGGCTGGGGAAGGGATAGCATTAGGAGAAATACCTAATGTAAATGATGAGTTGATGGGTGCAGCAAACCAACATGGCACATGTATACCTATGTATCAAACCTGCACGTTGTGCACATGTACCCTAGAACTCAAAAGTATAATAAAAAAAAAGAAAAGAAAAAGAAAAGAGAAAGAGAAATGGGCATAGGAGGGAAGACTTTCTTCTAGGGCATTTGAGATTGTCAAGCCCAGATGACAGGCACCACCTTTCCACCTTATGCCTCATTAATGGAAACAACACAAAGCCCAGATCTAAGGCAGAGCTTCCCAACTATGGGCCTGCATCTCAATCTTCACCTTCCAGGAACCAGGCAGTGTCTTCTGGGCTGATTACTTCCAGTTTACCTCATTGTGATGTCCAAATATTATAGCTCCCCTCTCCATGATGATCATGGAAAATATCAGTGGCTCCAAATTCCAATTGTTTCACCTTAGAAAACAAATCTGAGAATCCCCCTACCACCAAGCACAGTACCTGGATACAACAGGCACTCAATAAATATTTGCTCAGCCAATGCAAGGATAAATGAATGAAATTCCTCATCCCTGTATTCATTTCTGAATACGTGCTGGTGAAAATCTAGCTCTAAACATCTTTCAGATTTAGTACATTGAGGTATGAAAAAGAAAAAATAAAAGGACGATGCAAACGAAGTCAGGAGCTGGCACAGAAAGTGCAATCAGATTCTGCTTCCCCTGTAATTAAGAGTGCCCAATGCCGCTGACTTAGGCGATGACAGCGTGCAGCTTGCCTGCCCGCCCTGGGCGCCTGGGAGGGCGGGCAGCCCTCAGGATGCCGCTGCACAACACGTTCGCCACCTTATCAAGAATTCCACAGCCACAGGAAGATTTTTCACCCCGCCATAACCCCCGCGGGCTGCCCTGTGCTGTCACATGTCCCCGCTGCTCAGAGAGAGAAAGCCACTAGGGAGGCCCTCAATGGAAATATTACCCCCTATCCAGGCTAGCATGGGCTTGATCGCCCCTGATTATTTCTGATCACTGTCACTGGGCCAAGAGCACAGCGAAGTCAAGAAAGAAATGGCCTTATTAGTGAGAACGCAGCGGTATGGGTAGGCAGTGGCGTGGAGGACCTGCTTTTGTGAGGGCAGTGAAGAGAGGGGAAGGAGTGGTGTCTTTATATTGAGATATTTTGAGATTCCTGCTTTCTCCACTCACTTCAACTGCCCAAATAGGTTCTGCAGGTTCCGGAAGGTTCTAGAACTTGTACAGGACCGAACCTACAGCTTCTCATGGAACAAACCCAGAACCAAGAAAATCTGGCGGAAATCACCTTGTTTAACTCCTTTGAGGTCTAGACCAGAAATTAAATAGTGCTTAATCTGTTACTTTAAAGAAGCCTAGTTCTAACTTTACCTCAGCTCGCTCCCTCTTTTGCCTAGGATAGGAAGGGTGGGTGCAAATGGTCAGCTCCCTGTAGGTCAGCCTCTTGGAGCCCTAAGTTTCCTGCCACTTCTATGCACTATGGGCTTTGCCCAGGGTGGGATCCTCAGCCCAGGGACCTTGTTTGTCCTCCGCCTCTTGATGCTGGTGCCTGCTGCCCAGCCACATACCCTCAGATTCATTTTTAAAGAAACGTCAACAGCTGTTAAATGGCAAATGAGCCTTTCAAAGAGGTGGGATGACTTTGAAAAAGGGCTTGAGGACAGCAGTCGACCTCTGACCGTCTCCCCTCAGATGCCCTCTCCATCCCACGCTCTCTCCCTGTCCCCGACCTCTGCTTTCCCAGCGAGCCTGCCTGCTCTTCAACGCTCCTCCCTGCCCGCTTGTGCTGTCTCAACACCTCCCATGTTGCTTGGTTCCTAAAATAACATAGAGGAAAACTTTTTTTTTTTTTTTTTTGAGACGGAGTCTCCCTCTGTCGCCAGGCTGGAGTGCAGTGGTGCAATCTCGGCTCCTTGCAACCTCCGCCACCTGGGTTCAAGTGATTCTCCTGCCTCGGCCTCCTGAGTAGCTGGGACTACAGGCGTGTGTCACCACACCTGGCTACTTTTTGTATTTTTTTTTTTTGAGACGGAGTCTGGCTCTGTCGCCCAGCCTGGAGTGCAGTGGAATGATCTCTGCTCACTGCAAGCTCAGCCTCAGGGTTCATGCCATTCTCCTGCCTCAGCCTCCTGAGTAGCTGGGACTACAGGCGCCCGCCACCACGCCCTGCTAATTTTTTGTATTTTTAGTAGAGACGGGGTTTCACCGTGTTAGCCAGGACCTTGACCATCTCTTGACCTTGTGATCCACCCGCCTCGGCCTCCCAAAGTGCTGGGATTACAGGCGTGAGCCACTGCGCCCGGCCAAAAATATTTTTTTAAATAAAGAAAATAAATCCTCGGCTGGGTGCGGTGGCTCACGCCTGTAATCCCAGCACTTTGGGAGGTGGAAGCGGGCAGATCACAAGGTCAGGAGATCGAGACCATCCTGGCTAACACGGTGAAACCCCGTCTCTACTAAAGATAAAAAAATTAGCCTGGCGTGGCGGCATGCGCCTGTAGTCCCAGCTGCTGGGGAGGCTGAGGCAGGAGAATGGTGTGAACCCGGGAGGCGGAGCTTGCAGTGAGCCGAGATTGTGCCACTGCGCTCCAGCCTGGGCAACCGAGCAAGACTCTGTTTCAAAAAAAATAAAACCCCATAAATCTCCCAAAGCAGTTACTGAAGGATGACCTTTCTATGAAAGAGTGTTCTTTATATTATCTATTTAAATACTAGACAAGAAACTGTAGATTAGCTACTACTGAAGCTCATAAAATCTAAAAGAAACTGCCTTTTAGCAATATTACTAAGGTAATATGTGAGTTTTTATTAATACATAATAATATATTTCAGATCACATATCAAGTTGTTTTCAAACTAGGGAATTTTAGAATAAATTTCTGTTTCTTCGAATTGTCTAGGTGAATGTGGTATTTTGGTTAAACAAATTTTTGTTTATAGCATTTCTATCATATATAAAATCAGTACATATGAGATAAATCCACAATACATATGGGATGATGTCATCATTATTTAATAATTCAAGACACTGAAGATACCCTCAGCTGCTCTATGGATATCCTTTACCAATGCAGTGTTCTTGGATATACGTGGGGTGGCAATACTCTGTATTGTCAGTCCTCCCTCTTTTCATCATGTATTCTATTTCAAACTTCCTATATCTGCCATCATTCATCTTCACCACGTTACTAAAACTCCCTTCTGGGAGACAAACATAAAGGTGTATTGTTGGCTGGGTGTGGTGGCTCACGCCTGTAATCCCAGCACTTTGGGATGCCAAGGCATGTGGATTACATGAGCTGAGGAGTTTGAGACCAGCATGGCCAACATGGTGGAACCCCATCTCTACTAAAAATACAAAAATCAGCCAGGTGTGGTGGTGGGCACCTGTAATCCCAGCTGCTTGGGAGGCTGAGGCAGGAGAATTGCTTGAACCCAGGAGGTGGAGGTTGCAGTAAGCCAAGATCGTGCACTGCACTCCAGCCTGGGTACAAGAGTGAGACTCCATCTCAAAAAAAAAGTGTATCATTGTACATTTTTATCATTCCTTACATCCAGAAAACCCTTACTGTTACTTTACAATCCAGCTTCTTGAATCTCCCCCTTTGTGAATAAAATGTGATATTCAATTACTCTGATTCATATCGTACTGACATTTGCATGCAACTCTCTGATAGTTCACTCCCCTTAGTCCTAAGTCTGGGTTTTCCAAAAATCTCATCTCCCAGACTCTGTCCCTTGATAAATTCATGTTCTCTTATAGCCACAACAGTTACTTCTAAAGCTCTACCACTCCACTTCGGGCACGTCAGGCAAAATAAATAAGCAGGTGGGATCAAGATTTTACAGCACAATTTTGCAGGTAATTTTAAATCTCAAGCCCTATGAAGGTTACCCAAAAAATCCTATAATAGAGAGGAACATTAAAAAGGAGAAATAAGATATTCACTTCGCAAAATTACTCCTTTGGGATTCTAGTTACTAAACTCCATCTTGCAGTTTGATATGTATGAGTTACTGCCCAGAATATACAGACAGTCCTTCCATCCTGTGCACTGGGATGATCACTTCCACTTCTTCAAATCCAGCTAAAAGCATCACTGCCTCCATGAAGCCTACTCCAGCCAGAATTGTTCACTTGCCTCCTCTCTGCTCATGTCCTATATATTACACAAGCAGAGGTCACCAACAGTATTTTTCATCAACAGTTTAGAGCAGTGCTGCCAAATAAAAATACCATGTCAATCATACAAGTAATTTAAAATTTTCTTAGTAGCCACTTTTAAAATAGGAAAAAGGTGAAATTAATCAATTTTATTTAACCTGATACATCCAAAACATGATCACTACAGTATACGATCAATATAAAAAATTATGGAGATTTTTTTCCATGCTCAGTCTTAGAAATCGGTGGTATATTTTATATTTGCAGAACATCACAATTCAGACTACCCACATTTCAAAGATTAATAGCCGTATGTGGCTACAGGCTGCTGTACTATTTAATAAAAAGTGCATATCTAGAGTCTAGCCCTTTGCTCTATAAAGTGTGATCTACCATCCAGCAGCATCAGCATCACCTGGGATCTTGTTAGAAATGTAGAAACACAGCCCATCTCAGAACTACTAGAAGAACTAAATTTAACAGGATGCCCAGGATTGGAATGCATAGCAAAGACTGAGAAGCAGTAAATTAGATCACATATACCTTGGGAGTCTTACAGAATTGCTATTGCTATTCAACTATGATATGGCATTACCCCACTGACTAATATAGAACACTGTATTTAAATAACAATAGCTTTTCTATGAATCATGTTTTCTCTACACTGTCCAATGCAATTTTCTGAAATGATGAAAATCTTCGTATATGTGCTGCACAAAATGGCAGCCACTTGCCACATGTGGCTGTTGAGCACTTGAAATGTATCTGGAGCAAAAGAGAAATTGCATTTTTAATTTAATTCATTTAACTGATGTAAACATTTGGCAAATGACTATCATACTAGATAGTACAACTCCAGGAGAATTGGTTACTATGTCACAGTTTCATCTCTAGGAGAGTCCTTAGGACAAATTTGGAAAGTTCTAGTCAAGATAATTCTTCTGATTAACTGTACTTCTTTTTTTTAATGTTATGAAGTCATATTTACCATCTTACACTGGCTAAGGGCAAATTTGCATCTTACCTCTAAGGAAGGATAATAAAAGTTACAACATGTGCTTTGTATGTATTAATATTATTCCAGCTTATCATCAATTAACAATACTAATATCCATACCTGTACAGTCTTTTTAGTTCTATGAGAAGGACCTGGGTACTCTGGAGAATACAAATCTGTGAGGAATAATGAGTTGATTAATGTCGACTTTCCCAATCCAGATTCCCCTAAAAGAAATAAGGGAAAATATCTGTTAAACTCACCCATTTTACCCAACCTTAAATATTCAACAGATGCTATAATCCAACTTGCTTTATGCAAGTACTTCTTGGTGAGACAATGAAATGACATTAGAAAATATGCTACAAAGAGTATCTTGTCCTCAGTTTCTTAGCTATCAAATTAGACTCATGTTTCCAAGGATTCTTTTCAGCCTTCTAATTATACTTATATTCATTAAAAGTAATGTATCTAATAATTTACATTTTTAACAGTAATGTGTTCCCAAGGAAAAACTTCAGTCATTTAAAAAAAAATCCAAGTTGGATTATGTATCACTGCTTCAGTGAAATAAAGTTTTTCTTTATTAATAGACAATAATGGATGACCAAAAGAAATCATGCAGCTACAAAAAGCAAAAATCTGCTAATACAAAGAATAATTAATCACAATGAACATCTCCACATAAAATTCTAAATCACAAAAAATACTTTCTAATTTAGCCACCCATCAGCCTAAACATAAGGGTGCTTCTCCATAAACCAGAATCCAAAAAAATCTTAGGTAATTACTTTTTCTACCACTTCTACTCGAGGTAGACAGGAAGGAAGCTACGGCATGATTTCCACTCTGATCACATACTCTTTTTTGACTCTCCATGTCTAGTCCAATATACATAGTCTAGTGTATAGTAACTATTACAAGTATACCAAAATATAAATGGCTTCAAGGTATATATAACCTAAGGTTAAAACAAATTAGAATTCATATTATGATAATTAACATGGCACAGAGTTAAAGTATTTACTGTTAAAAATTCACTTAGAATAATAGGCATGTTTAGCCTAAGTAACCGATGGCACAATACTTATATGTCTAGGAGGAATTCTTTTTATATTAGCTTTCAAAAGAGATAATAAGATCCTTTCCACATGGTTTGGGCTTACCCCTTTGACTTAGAGCATGCCACTTTTTACTAGATGTAAAAATGCCATAAAGGTCTAAGTCACAGGAAAGTAACACGGGTTGGCCACACCTGATTCTTTCTTAACTCTTACACCTTGAAGGCAGAAAGACTAGAATAAAACCCAAGCATTTGGATGTTACCAGAAATATCTATAATATTTCCTTTTGGAAACATAAATGAAAATTTTAGTACATACAACGTTTTGGGAAATTAAAAACAAAAGTATGCTAATTAAAATATTAACACTGTACTCAATAAATCATGTTTAGAGGGCTTTTTTTCAGTTTTTTCCCTTTTTATTTGTGGTGAGGAGTGGGGGAACAAGACGATGCAGGACAAAGGGAAAAGAGAGAGGAAGAAAAATAAAAGTCTGAAAGGTAACACAGTAAAATGTAAAATGGTGGCTACTCTGGGGTTAGTACAATGAGGGTGAGATTTTTTTCTTAGTTTGTTATACTTCTGGGGGCTGCAAACTTCCTTCAACATGATTCTATTATTTTCATAAGTTAAAAAGCATTATTGAGTGGCATCAGCAAAACGGCAAATTAAAAAGCTCGAAGACTCATTCCCTCACAGAAACCCCAAAAACAACCAGAAACTAGTTGAATTAACCTTACAGGACCTGTGAAAAACAGTCAAATGTCTATAGCAACAAAGCAAATGCCCAATTGAGAAAAAAAAAAACATGTAAAACTTTTGTGACATTTTTCTGTGATCTTGTCCCACCCCTTCTGCAGTTTATCTGGGTCTGGAGGAGGCAGCAAACCAACTCCCATTTCATTCCCTTCAAATGGGCGGGAAGAGTGCAGACCAAACTCGTAACATTTTACCCTCTCTGGTCGGCCAGAAGGACTGATTCCTGTTTACCTAACTGGCACCTCATCCGGTAAGAGAAGCAATGGGCGCCATTTAAGAAAGCTGCAAGGCTACACAATATGTTTACACTATAAGGAACTAGAAAAAGAAGAGCAAACTAAACTCAAAGCTAGAAAAACAAGAAAAAAATAAAGATTAGAGCAGAGATAAATAGAAGAGATTTTTAAGAGTAGAAATCGGGCCGAGCATGGCGACTCACGCCTGTAATCCCAGCATTTTGGGAGGCTGAGAAGGGTGGATCACCTGAGGTCAGGAGTTCAAGACCAGCCTGACCAACATGGTGAAACCCTGTCTCTACTAAAAATACAAAATTAGCTGGGTGTGGTGGTGCGTGCCTGTAATCTCAGCTACTTGGGAGGCTAAGGCAGAAGAATCGCTTGAGCCCAGGAGGCGGAGGTTGCAGTGAGCCGAGATCGCGTCACTGCACTCCAGCCTGGGCAACAAGAGTAAAACTCTGTCTCAAAAAAAAAGAAAGAAAGAAAAAGAAAAGAATAGAAATCAGCCGGGCTCAGTGGCTCATGCCTGTAATCCCAGTACTTCGGGAGGCTGAGATGGGCAGATCACGGGGTCAGGAGATTGAGACCATCCTGCCCAACATGGTGAAACCCCGTCTCTACTAAAAATACAAAAATTAGCTGGGCGTGGCGGCACGTGCCTATAATCCCAGCTACTCGGGAGGCTGAGGCAGGAGAATTGCTTGAACCAGGGAGGCGGAGGTTGCAGTGAGCCGGGATCGCGCCACTGCACGCACTCCAGCCTGGCGACAGGGCTAGACTCCGTCTCAAAACAAACAAACAAACAAACAAAATAGAAATCAACAAAACCAATTGTTCTTAAAAAGAATAAACGAAATTGACCACCGATAAACTAGATTCAGAATAAAAGAGAGACTCAAATTACTAAAATCAGAAATAAAAGTGGGGGCTGGGCATGGTGGCTGACGCCTGTAATCTTAGAATTTTGGGAGGCCGAGGTGGGGGGATCTTTTCAGCTCAGGAGTTCAAGACCGGCCTGGGCAACGTGGCAAAACCCTGTCTCTACTAAAAATACAAAAAAAATTACCCGGTCGTGGTGGCACATGTCTGTAATCCCAGCTACTCAGGAGGCTGAAGCAAGAAAATTGCTTGAACCCGGGCGGCGGAGGCTGCAGTGAGCCGAGATCGCACCACTGCACTCCAGCCTGGGTGACAGAAAGAGACTCTGTCTCAAAAAAAAGAAATAAAAGTGGTTCATGATTTTCCTAGTTAAGGACTGGACTGTTTGCCACCACCCCACCCCCCGCTTTTTTGAGTAACTTCCCCTTTTGGAAACAGTGATGAAGGTTTCTCCCTTTATTCTAAACAGTGTGTGTACCTTGTAGTACTATCTGCCATCAAATTTCTAAATGCTTTCTGCTTTTTTAATACTCTTTAAAAATTAGCAAATACATAGTTATACTTTCAGTTAAGATTATATTTTTTCCCACTGGATTTTTTCTTTATCTTTTAAATTCTTAACATTGACTATGTGAAGTAATACGCTGTATACCCTGAACTCAGCTATGAGGTATTTAACATATCATGGGATATATAAATAAATTAACTTCCATCAATTCCTAGACTACTTACACTGAAATTATGGACCAAAGCTTTCTAATTCAATTCCCAAGTGGTATTAAAACCAAACTGTATTGTATTTCAAGAAATTTTATCCACGGTTACAAAAGTTTAAAAACTTATCAAACAAGTGGGAAAACTGCAATTTAAAGATAAATGATTAGGTTTCCTATTTTTTTAAGACCAACTACAATGTGAACCATAACTACACTAACTGGGTGTTCTCTATCAAAGTCAACACTGCAAACAACAAAGGGTATCATCTGGCCAAGAAAAAGATAATTTCTGATTCCAATTCAACACAGCTCCTGTGTAACAGGTGTTTCTCTAGTTCTCAGCTCCACATTTATGCTTGAGTTATTTCTATGCTAGTTGTAGTTTTCTTTTTAAGTTGCCTCTGGGCAAAGTAAACCTTTCATAACAGATTGAGAACTGTTCCATTTCCTCAACTTTAAGATACAATTTTGCCCCCCAATATTTCTAAAAACAAATGTCTCATAATCAAAATGTAATTGACTGTACTATTTAACCTCCCTCAAATCAAATTTGATTATATGTTTCAGAGTAGATCTTATCTTAGAATCAAGGAAGCAGGAAAATCAAAGCATTTCTTCCCCTAGAATTGAATTCAATTAGAAAAGCCAAATCAATAAGACCTTAATTATTTTGTCCTATAATTGAGAACTTTATATTTAATTCTTAGAACAATTTATTCTGAACTAAAGGGATTTCTATTTCCTTCTAAATTGGAAGACCCAAAGAAACAGAAGCCTTTAACACAAACTTGGATGAGAAATAAGGAAAGTAACCAAGACCATCTCCCACCTTGAGGCTCATGAGGTGAAACAAAAGCTCCCGCTTGAGAGAGTTATATGCCACAGGGGAAATGACCCTCAAAGAGACAAGTTTCATTCAGAGTAAGGAGGCAGGAAAAATGGGTACCAAAAAGTAGTTGAAAACTCAGTCTGCTTTTTCTGGTTCTGTACATAAGGAGCTTGGAAGTTGCCACTCCATTCTAAGAAGTAAAAAACTGAACAGATCTCATCTTTAAGAGCAGTATCCAATCTTTAAGAGCAGTGAGGACACAAGGCAATGATCCAGCAATTGCTCTTCTTGATGTTTACCCAGCTAAGTTAAAAACTTAGATCCACAGAAAGTCTTGCACACAGGTATTTGCAGCAGCTTTATTTATATTTGCCAAGATGTGGGAGCAATCACAATGTCCTTCAGTAGTCGAATGGATAAATACACTGTGGTACATCCAGGAAATGGAATATCACTCAGCACCAAAAAGAAATTAGCTAACAAGCCATGAAAAGACATGAACCAATGTATACTGGTAAGTGAAAGAAGCCAGTCCAGAAAGAATACATACTGTATAATTCCGTTATTATAATTCCATAATTATAGTGAGCAAGATACTTGCATTTTTGGTTTTCTTACATATCGAATTAGTATAAGAGTATGAACTATGAGGAATAAATTAGATAATATATGTGAAATCTAAGCACAGTGCCTGGTACACATTAAGTGCTCAATAAGTAGTTGCATTATTTCTGTGATTCATTTAAGGAAATTAGAAAGACTTGAAAGTTTGATATGACAGAAGCAAGAATATAAATAACAAAATTTTTAAAAACACTTAAGGCAAAAACTTGGAAACAATGGGAAGTTAGCAAATTCCACGTTAAAAGACTAATAGGTCTTTTGGATATGGACAAATCAAGTGCTTAAAAAGTAAAATGATTGAAATAATATGCTTAATTGTCAAATATATACACAGAAATTTCTACCCAGAGAATAAACATATTTTTGAAACCTATGGAATACTTCAATAAGCTGATCCTATGTAAGGCTACACAGAAAAATAAATCAATACTGGAACCTACAGATCATATTTTCTGAAGGTAGTGAAATTAAAAATTAACAAAAAATAATGTAATCCATCTGCCTACTTACATATCTCTCTAACTCTTCTTATTTGAAAATTACTCAAATACAAACAAAATGAGTATTACACATAAAAAACTAAGATATGTGACTAAAGTATTCAGAGAAAAACCCATGCTTAAAATAAGCCTAAAGAAAATAACTCGACCATCAGTGTGGTTCTTGGTGAAACTGTAAACTGGTACAGCTTTTCTGAAGAATAATTTGGTAATCTATCAAAATTTAAATCTACATGCCTTTTGACCCAGGGTTTCACTTTCAGAAATGTATATTACAGAAGCATTTATATGTATGCCTAGAAATCCAAGGAACCTAAGCACTGTTTGTAACTATAAGCATCCATCTTCATTAATAGCTGACTGTATAAATCATGATAAAGATATTTTAGAATACCACATAATTGCAAAGAATATGCAGACAGGAATATATGTACAGTATATTCAGTGACAGGGAAAAACAGTCACAGAACAGTACTTATAGCACGGCACTGTTTACACACACAAAAATTGACATGGGAATGCCTGGCGTATATAAAAGTATAAAAAAAATGGCAAAAGACTTGCACCAGTTTAATGCTTATCTCTAGAGACAGGACTGGAAATGAAGGCAGGAGAAAAAAGGAAACTCACCTTTTACTAAATGTCTTTAGAATTTAGTTTCTTAAAAATAAAAATGTATATTGTATAAACTTTTCTTTCTTTGGGAGGCTGAGGGGAGGGTAATAATAAAAGGGAATATACCAAGTTTCTAATAGTGTTTATTTCTAGATGGAAAAGGTAGTGAAACATTTAAATTTTCTTTCTTTGTATATCAGTTTTTCTACAAGAACCATAAATTATATAATATTTAATTTTTACTTTTAACTCTTTAAAGGGGTTGATAATATGTTATACTACAAAGAGGTCAAGAAGAATGCCTGAGAACAGGCTACCTGCAAATATAATGATTGGGAGTACTGGGATAAGAGTTAAGAGAAAAATGAGTATTGAGTCCAGTAAGATACTACAGAGCAAATGAAAGGGAAGCATCAGGCGCAGGTTACTGCAGATGCTGACCACTACAGATCCAGACAGCTGTACTGCAGGAATTCTCAATCTTGGCACTACTGACATTTTGGGTTGGACAATTCTTTATTGTGAGGAGTGTCTTGTTCGTTGAAGGACGCTTGGCAGCATCCCTGGCCTTCACCCATTAGATGCCAGTTAGCCTCCCTCCTCCCCAGCTGTGACAACCAAAAATGCTTCCAGACATTGACAAATTTCCCCTGGGGAGCATTTTTCAAATTTTGAATCCCCAAATCATCTAGCACTGATACCACTATGCATGGAAAATAATGACAGTGACAGCCAGTAAGTTGTAAATTATTCTGTGTGCCAGTATTTTACAAGCATTGACTTAGTCAACCTTTATAATCCCATGAGATTGATACTACAGGTTGTGTATCACTTATCCAAAATGCTTGGGACCAGAAGCGTTTTGGATTTGGCTTTTTCAAATTTTAGAATATTTGCATTGCTCATCAGTTCAGCATCCCTAATCTGAAAATCCAAAATCCAAAAATTGGTTCAATGAGCATTTCCTTTGAGTATGATGTCAGCATTCAAAGTTTCAAACTTCGGAGTATTTGAGATTTCAGATTTTTGGATTAGGGATATTCAATCTGTATCATTATTGTTACCATTTGGAAACAAAATGAAATAACTTGCTGGTGCCAAATAGTTAATAAGGGGTAATGTCAGTATTTGACACTAGGCAGCATGTTCTACTGCCTTTCTAAATACCCACTCTCATTTATCCATTAAAGACTCTGTCCCCACATTCCCAAGTACCTCCCTAATCTGGTTAACCAGGTTGGACCATATCTGACATGGGATATTTTACCAGTATCTTCATTAACAATAATACTTAATATTTTTATTCAATAACTATAAGAAAGACACTGAGCTGGGCACTTTACATGCATTCAATGACTGCAATAATTACAAAACTCTGCATAAGACTCTTTACACAATTTTACAGATAAGTAAGCAAACAAAACCTCTGAGAAGTAACTTGCCAATGACAAATATCTCTACCAAGTAGCAGAGCTACAGCTCAATCTGAATGGCAAATCTCATGTCCTTAATCATACTATACTTCCCAGACTCTGAGCAGATGAAAGGAACATGCTTCTTGACCTCTTTGTCCTGACCCACTTAGTCTTTTTTTTTTTTTTTTTTTTGAGAAGGGTCTCACTCTGTCGCCCAGGTTGAAGTAAGTGGCACAATCACAGCTTACTGCAACTTCTGCCTGCTGGGCTCAAGTGATCCTCCCACCTCAGCCTCCCAAGTAGCTGAGACTACAGGTGCATGCCACCATGTCCAGCTAATACGTTTCTAAGAGATGAGGTCTCACTATGTTGTCCAGGCTGGTCTCAAACTCATGGATTCAAGCAATCCTCCCGCCTCAGCCTCCCAAAGTGCTGGGATTACATGTGTGAGCACCAGGGCCACTGCTTTTACTGCACTACCCACAATGAGTTTCAAATGGAAAAGTAAAGGATAAAGCAATTCAAAATTTAGAAGAGGAAGAAGAGAGAAACTAAGTTCAATAGCCTTTAATCTTGTCAGACTGAGTACTTCTACCTACCCCTGGTATCAAGTCCCACATCTGTCCTGAAACTAAATCCTAACCTCTTTAGCAGGCTGAGAAAGAGGGAAAAAAGAACCTTTTACAAGATATGATAATAGATCTATGTCCTTTCAAGAATAACACTGATTCAGTGAATATTCTTCTAAAGTACAGTCAAAACCCATTGAGCAAGCTCATACAGATGAGATATTTGTAGGTTATTGTATTGTCTTAATGATTCTAGTGTCATAACACAGAGGTTACCAAAATGTCATTCAAATAAGCCTGATAAAATGCAGTTTATTTCCCATAAGCAAAGTCACCTTACTCAAATCACTGTGACTGTATGACATTGCTATGGGAGCTCTAAAAGCAAACTATTGTGTAATGAGTGAGAAGTCCTTTTACTTGGTAGCAGAGGAAAATACAGCACCTGAGAAATATGAAAATAGTTTGGTAATACTATTCTTCCCTGGAAATTTTTCCTAAGAAGTACCCTGAAGGTGTAAATTAAGTGCTTCCTTAAGTATCACATACCCTTAATCTATCTCATTTTTTTTTTCAAAAGTACCAATAATTGTGAGAAAGTAGTTGTGTAACTTTGAAAAAGTCTAGGGGCAAAGGTTATAGTAGTCCATTAGAGCTTAAAATTTCCTTGAAATCTCTTATCTCAGTTCCATCAATAAATTTGTCTTGTGACCTTGGGTAAACCATAACTTCTGTGTGTCAGCGCCCTTATCTATGAAATGCAGATAACAGCAGTACCTACAAAAACACAGAGTGGTTGTGAGGAATAAGTGATCTCATTAGAATCATACCTTGGCACAGTGGACACTTCAATATCAATCATAGGTAGTTGCAATGGAATATATTTTATTACTATTCATGTTTTCTCACAGAAAAAGAAAGGACCCTAGTGTAACTACTAAGAATAAGGGTCAAAGGTGAAGTAGACAGCCTTAAGAAGGGAATAAACATTTGAAACAGGGATGCAGGGGGATGGAGTAGAAGAGTAAGGTTGGCAATTTATTGACACTAAAGGGTACTGGCCTCAAAATAAATAAAAAGGAATGTTGAAAGCAGTGAGGCTCTGCCTGAGTTTGGACATTAATATTAATTTCTACTCACATTTAGTAGATAATATTTACTTCCATAGCAAAATGTCAGATGGCCTATAATTACAAGACAAAATATAGCAGCCTTGTTCTAATAACCTCAAAGTGACTTATAACTACAAGTGATCCTTTCTCATTGGCATTACTAAAGGGAGGAAGTAGTGTCATTAATGCAAAAGAATAGAGAACTATAATCAGTCCTATCAAATCAAACTCTACTTAAACACAAAATCTGTGGAAACAACCCAAATCCAGTGTACTTCTGCATTATTAAGAAAACATTTAAGAATAATAGAGTTCAGAATAATATATATACTGGCTTAAGAAAAACCTACTCAAGATAAAAAGACTATCTGTAACATTTCGTATTTCTTCAAACTAATATTTTAATAAACACAATATTTTTTAATGTTCCAAATTAATGTCTATTTTACATTTATTTTGACTTTGAAATGCACTATACATGTTTTGCAACAATGTCGTTATCATTCCCTCATTTTACTGCAGCTTAAGGGTAAATAACTGGATTAAAAATTTCTTTGTTCTCGTTAAAACAAAATATAATATTTACAATTTAAGGTGTTACTCTATGAAAATAATGAAACAAGAGTAACTAGAGTCAGTAATACAACACTGTACGTTAACCTAATAAGCAGGTTAAAATAACACATGTCTTTCTCATCTTTGAGGTCTCACTGATGAAAGCCATGTATTTCATCACTCTTCATGAATGTTAAATTTCAAGCCTAACAATAAAATATTCATCAAATATTTGTTCATAAGGTTTTGAAGAAAGTCACAATAATATCTGTTTATAATAGCTAATGTCAGGTTTCTTCAGGTCTTTGGGATTGGGCTCCTACAGTATTTATAATAAAAGGATCTGAGAAGTCCTGCTTTAAAGATAATTGCTTATCTTTGCTTTACTCAGCATCTCAACTTTATATCCGTTTCTTATTAATCTCTAGATTTTCTGAGACTAAAAGTAGTAGTATCTGACACTTTATAAGTGATCATTAAATTTTTATCAAATAAATGAATGAGGAATGCAAAGATACGATGTAGTCTTTGCCCTTAAAAAGTTTAGTATGGTAGAAGAAGTAAGATATGCAAACAAACAACGAACAAATAAACAAGGCAGAACTTTATCAAGACCATGAATGAGATACCCCAAAGAGAAAGAATTTCAGGAAACTGAGAAATCACACCAGCCTGGAAAGGAGGTCACATTTCAATGAGGCTTTGAAAGATGGAGTATCATTTCAATAAGCATTTCAACTTTCTGGGATATCTGCAGATACAAGGGGCAACTTTTACCATTTTGTAGCAATTGTATAGAAAAGAAAGCAAAGGATTTTTAGAAACAGAATCTTTAAGTCCTTTCAGAATGTTTTACCATGTTAGGGTTGAGGCAAGAGGAAAGCCTCAGAGGAGCTGGTGATAACATTGTGGAGCTTTTCTATCTTGTTCCTCTAACTCCTTCCTTCGTTTTTCTCCTGGGTTTTGAAATCAATTTTGTTCAAATTCAAATCCTAGTTCAATCACATACAAGTATGTGACCTTGATCAAGATACTTACTCTATTAATTAAATGCACAGGGCTTGACATTTTAAAAAGCACCTCAAATGAAACCTATTATTAAGAGATGAGACAACAGCAAACTATGGTTCTTAACTAAAATACATATTAGTGTCATCCCAGGAGCTACTTCAAAATAGATGAATATTCCATCCTTGACCCAAAGCCCAGAATATCTAGGCAAGTGTTTCCAGGAATACTTTGAAGAAGCTTCCCAAAATGATTTGAAAGGTAGATAAAATTAAGAAATTCTTATGTTCATGTTGTTCTCTCCATAAAAAGAAAATTAAGAAATTCTAGTAAATAAAGGATGACATAGGGCAACATGCCAGATTACATCAACATTTAAAGGTGGCCCATAGGAAAGGATCCTAATAAAGCAGCTTCAACACAACCAGGTAAACCAGGAGGCAGCAGCACAAAAAGTGAGGGAGAGTTTCAAGGAAAAATGGTCAATAATGCCAAATAAGTTAAAGAAAAATACAATCAGAATGCCTTTTACTGACCTTTAATAAAAGTAGTTTTGCATTAAGGGGAGAAGCCAAATGGTGATAAATTAAGTACTGGATGGGAAATTTAAAAGTAGAGGTTTATTTTTTCTTTGCATCTGGCTATAAAATGACGAAAAGATACCACACCAAGATGTTTTGCCAAGGGAGGGCGCTATTCTTTGTTTTACTTTTTAATAAGCTTAATCTGGTGAAGATTTAATCTGTGAAGAACAGGCGTCCCCAACCCCCAGTCCGTGGCCTGTTAGGAACCGGGCCACACAGTAGGAGGTGAGTGGTGGTGAGCTTTACTGCTGGAGCTCCGCCTCCTGTCAGATCAGCGGCAGCATCAGACTCTCAAAGGAATGCAAACCCTGCTGTGCACTGCGCATGTGAGGGATCTAAGTTGCGTCCTCCTTATAAGAATCTAATGCCTCATGATCAGTTTCATCCTGAAACCATCCATCACCCATCCCCCGCCCCCACACACACACCCACACACACCCTGGCAGAAAAATTGTCTTCCATAAAACCAGTCCCTGGTGCCAAAAAACTGGGAGCTGCTGGTCTAGACTACATTAGATACCAATCATTTTCAAGGCATCCCATACATATATTGATCTGGAGTTTGCTATAAGACAATTTCATCTCCTCAAAATCTATTAGTATATCCTTTAACATACACACTGATGTACGTGCTAACACTAAAAGGCAAGCTAAATAGGCTCTATATAACCTGGCCCTGCAATTATCTTAAAAGAAGTTTACTTATTCTAATTACTGTAATTGCACCAGTACTAAGAACTAAGTAACAATTGTGCTGTGTAGCTAGTAGCAAACATTCCAACCAGCTGCTCAATAATTACCTCATTTGCCAATTCAAACAGCTTTCACTTGCTACATGTCGGAGGCTGGGAGGCGCTAAGAGGTATGTTATGATCTTTCTTGCTATACTCAGAAATAAAAGCATTCCTTATACAACCCAGTTCAAGGGGACAGCTTCGTTGTTAAATCATGATGTTACCAGAGAAATCCTTGCAGCCTACTCAGAATATTTTCATCATGATTTAGAAAATGATTATCCCAATTTTGTAGTAAAAGGTATTGCCTGACCTAGGTTAGGGTCTGCAGCGTTTCCTAAGATATATACCAAGTTTCTGTAAGTTCTTTTGCTAAACTGAAAAGAGTTCAAATTGACAGTTTAGATACTGTCTCTGAGCTGTCCCTCAATGTTCCTCGAAATTCTTCCCATTACCTGAAATTCTAATTGATCATTCAATACACATTCCCCCTTAAAAATCAAGTATTTTTGTGAATACTGTTAGTCTTTCAGATCCTGGAATAAGACTTTCCCTCTAATTTCTATTTTGGGCAAGCATTAATTAAGAAAGAAAGAGTTTTAATTTGGAAGAAAATAGGGCTAGTTTTGAATTACATGAATCAGAAAAAGTAGATTTTGCAGAAACATACCAAAGGGCTCTCTAAAAGTAGAGGGCAACTTACAGCTGGCCATAGGGCACGCTAGAGCGTAAGTAAAGGAGAAATATCAGGAAAATAGATATTATTTTACCTGGATATCTAACGGATAGAAGAGGGGAAGCAAGGTGTTGATTTATTCTTGATCAGGTAGCATGTTCTATAGAGTGGTTCTAAGAAGTGGCTTTCAAAGCAGAAGTGGGTAGGTTTTAACTGTTTGAATTAGATAACCTATAGATTCTTTTAAGTTCTTACTTTCTTTAAATCTCATATACCAAAATATATCCCCTAAGGACCAGGGGTGAACTATATGAATCATGCCAGTGATTATGTGAATTATATCTCACTGATATTTCTTTTTTTATTATTATTATACTTTAAGTTTTAGGGTACATGTGCACAACGTGCAGGTTAGTTACATATGTATACATGTGCCATGTTGGTGTGCTGCACCCATTAACTCGTCATTAACATTAGGTATATCTCCTAATGCTATCCCTCCCCCGACCCCACAACAGGCCCCAGTGTGTGATGTTCCCCTTCCTGTGTCCATGTGTTCTCATTGTTCAATTCCCACCTATGAGTGAGAATATGCGGTGTTTGGTTTTTTGTCCTTGCGATAGTTTGCTGAGAATGATGGTTTCAAGCTTCATCCATGTCCCTACAAAGGGCATGAACTCATCATTTTTTATGGCTGCATAGTATTCCATGGTGTATATGTGTCACATTTTCTTAATCCTGTCTATCATTGTTGGACATTTGGCTTGGTTCCAAGTCTTTGTTATTGTGAATAGTGCCGCAATAAACATGTGTGCATGTGTCTTTATAGCAGCATGATTTATAATCCTTTGGGTATATACCCAGTAATGGGATGGCAGGGTCAAATGGTATTTCTAGTTCTAGATCCCTGAGGAATCATCACACTGACTTTCACAATGGTTGAACTAGTTTACAGTCCCACCAACAGTGTAAAAGTGTTCCTGTTTCTCCACATCCTCTCTAGCACCTGTTGTTTCCTGACTTTTTAAGGACTGCCATTCTAACTGGTGTGAGGTGGTATCTCATTGTGGTTTTGATTTGCATTTCTCTGATGGCCAGTGATGACGAACATTTTTTCATGTGTCTGTTGGCTGCATAAATATCTTCTTTTCAGAAGTGTCTGTTCATATCCTTCACCCAGTTGTTGATGGGGTTGTATGTTTTTTTCTTGTAAATTTGTTTGAGTTCATTGTAGATTCTGGATATTAGCCCTTTGTCAGATGAGTAGATTGCAAAAATTTTCTCCTGTTCTGTAGGTTGCCTGTTCACTCTGATGGTAGTTTCTTTTGCTTTGCAGAAGCTCTTTAGTTTAATTAGATCCCATTTGTCAATTTTGGCTTTTGTTGCCATTGCTTTTGGTGTTTTAGACATGAAGTCCTTGCCCATGCCTATGTCCTGAATGGTATTGCCTAGGTTTTCTTCTAGGGTTTTTATGGTTTTAGGTCTAACATTTAAGTCTTTAATCCATCTTGAATTAATTTTTGTATAAGGTTTAAGGAAGGGATCCAGTTTCAGCTTTCTACCTATGGCTAGCCAGTTTTCCCAGCACCATTTATTAAATAGGGAATCCTTTCCCCATTTCTTGTTTTTGTCAGGTTTGTCAAAGATCAGAGGGTGGTAGATATGCAGCATTATTTCTGAGGGCTCTGTTCTGTTCCATTGGTCTATATCTCTGTTTTGGTACCAGTACCATGCTGTTTTGTTTACTGTAGCCTTGTAGTATAGTTTGAAGTCAGGTAGCATCTCACTGATATTTCTTTAAAAATAAATGAGTACTGCACTCATTTATTTTTAAGTTACAACATTCACAAGAAATATAACAATGAAACTGTCATTAGTGTTGTGACTATACTTAATAAAAAGCTAGGCAAAAAAAGTTTTGAAAAGACTTCTGACACTAAAAAAGTTGCAAGTACAAAATTTCAGAATAAAGAACAGTACTTTTTTTAAAATTTCAAATAAGTAATCAAAGGCACATAAATTAAAATGTAATATCTTTGTCTAATACTGAATTAGTAAATACCAAATTTGACATTTAAAAGAGATTTCCGAGCAGCTGCGGACCTCGCCAAGACAATGCAGACTCCACTGACTATTCCTGTGCCCGTGCTCCAGTTACCCTGGGGCCCTGATGGCCTCAGCCTTGGCTTTGCCCCGATGGATGCTGGGGCAGTTGAAGCCAGAGGCTCCTGAAATCCAAGAGTGTCCCATACTCAAGAATCGCAGGAATCCCAGGAGCAGTGGGCTCGAGCTGCCCTTTGGGAACGTTACCTCCACAGCATGCTGGCCATGGAGTATCAACAAGTGAGCTTCATTCACATTGTACAACTATGTGCACATGGCTGCCCATTTCAGAACCACCAATCTGGACATGGCCAGCTTCTACGTGTCACAGCTCAGCTGCAGATTCCCATAGGTGAGCAGAGGTGCTGCTCTAATGTAATGACATAATTTCATATACCTTCAAGCCATAAAGATCTGTGCTCATCTTTCGGCTTGGGTCTAAGCCACAGTATCCCAGGCCTCCCAATTTTCCTGAGCCAGGAAATCTGGGCCTCATGGAGTTATGGGCCCCCTTGGAATTCTGAGCCAAGCTCCAATCAACTCTGGACTCCTGAGACCTCCTGGGTCTAGTCAGTAAAATTCTGCAACTCAAGGAATTCTAGGTCCCATTGGAAGGAATGATTTACCTCAAAGAACTCTGAACTCTCCAGATGTATAGGCCTGATGCCATTTCCTAAAGTCTGAGGCTTGGGGGTGGGGTAATACAGGTGGGCAAATTACAGAGTGGGAAGTTATTTATTGAAGAGGTTGCAAAGTTCAGCCACCCTGAAGATACTCCCCATTGCTTCTCTCCTCCTAAAGAACCAACTTCTCCAGGAAAATAAAAGAGATTTCCACTCCATACTGGCAAGGATGAGATACATATGGGCATTCACACACTATAGAAACTGTATTAGTTGGTATGACATTTTCAGTTAACCTCCTTTACCATGCCATCTACTTCTAGGAATGAAACACACAGAGAAAAACACTGCAGTAATATTTTAACAATAAAGAAGTGTGTGTGTGGTGGCAGGGGGAGACTTTCCAGGTGCAACAATGGGAGGTAGGCTAAGCTTATCATGATACACCTATAAAAATATTATTCAGCCATTGAAAATTAGTTTTTAAAGTTCTGACACACAGAAATGCTTGCCATAGCATTAGATGAAGAAAGTATACAAAATGAATATGCTATTACAACTATGCCTAAGATGCAGAAAATATAACAAAATTTAACGATGGTGATGTCCTCTTAAAATGCCATATACTCCTTCATATTTTTTTTTTTTTGAGATGGAGTCTCGCTGTCACCCAGTCTGGAGTGCAGTGGCACGATCTTAGCTTACTGCAGGCTCTGCCCCCCGGGGTTCACGCCATTCTGCTGCCTCAGCCTCCTGAGTAGCTGGGACTACAGGTGCCCGCCACCTCGCCTGGCTAATTTTTTGTATTTTTAGTAGAGACGGGGTTTCACCGTGTTAGCCAGGATGGTCTCGATCTCCTGACCTCGTGATCCACCTGCCTCAGCCTCCCAAAGTGCTGGGATTAGAGGCATGAACTACCGTGCCCGGCCTCATATTACTTTTCTAATCAAAAAACATTTTGTAACAAGTCCTAGTTTTTATAGGAAGAAAATTTCAAGCCATATATCTGAATATCTGTTACATCAAAAAACAGGAGTTATCTAAATATCCAACTACATTTCAAACAAATATATAATTCATGTTGATTCAACAAGAAAGGCAAACATCCACATATAAAAAATCAGGCTCAAAATTTCAAACTAAAACTTTTTTTAAAGTTTATTAACTTTTAATAAAAGCAATCCCTAAGATTCTTTCTATCACTGATATTAAATACCTGATACAGTCAAGGGAAAGCAATATACTCAAAAGGTTTGCAAGGAGTAGCATTAATATTCAGCAACTACAAAGCAAGTGCACCCTTCAGACTAAATAGTCATGTGACATAAAAAACTTGAGCACAATATTTACCTGCACAGAATTTAAGAAGCCAAGCTACACATCTAAACCATGTTTTAAAAAGGAAAAGAATAAGTTATCAACCATCTTTTAAATCTGACTCTCAGCAGAAAAGAGCTTTGCCCAGCAATCTGTACTGAATTACAAAGAGCACACATTTGCCCCAAATGTTTGTAACCAAAAAAGTTCAACCAAAACAGAAGTCCAAAGTAAGGATTAATGAAATATTTAGCTTATTAATTGTACATCATTGACTACCATCCCTGCTTTCCCTTTTCTGCATTCCTCGTTTTGGATCTTAAAACTAAGTCATGAAAATGCACAAATAAAAATATGTTTAAAATTAACATTTATACAATTTACAGATTTACTAGGTATTTTACATATGTAATATATATACTAAGTACATTCACATAGACAATTATCTCAAGCCCTCTGTGAGGCAGGGGTAGTCACTCATAGTGCACAGCATTCCTGTGTAAGTATCTCCACTCTACCACCTTCCCACACCCACAGGTTCTTAGGGAACCCTACCACAGCTCTTTTTTATTTATTTATTTATGAGACGGAGTCTCGCTCTGTGGCCCAGGCTGGAGTGCAGCGGCGGATCTCTGCTCAATGCAAGCTCCGCCTGTCGGGTTCACGCCATTCTCCTGCCTCAACCTCTCGAGTAGCTGGGACTACAGGTGCCCACCACGACGCCCGGCAAATTTTTTTGTAATTTTAGTAGAGACGGGGTTTCACTGTGTTAGCCAGGATAGTCTCCATCTCCTGACCTCGTGATCTGCCTGCCTCGGCCTCCCAAAGTGTTTTATTTTTATTTTTAATATTTTTTTAGAAATGGGGTCTCACTCTGTTGCCAAGGCTCATCTCGAACTCCTAGGCTCAAGCAATCCTCCTACCTGGGCCTTCCAAAGTGCTGGAATTACATACATGAATGAGCCTGGCCTTCTTTTACTTTTTTGTAATCAAAGTGCAGTGTTTGGCTTAGAAAAGACTAGGTAAGGCTCGGAGCGATGGCTCATGCTTGTAATCCCAGCCAAGGTGGGCGGATCACTTGAAGTCAGGAGTTCAAGATCAGCCTGGCCAACATGGCGAAACCCTGTCTCTACTATAAATACAAAAATTAGCCTGTTGTGGTGGTGCACGCCTGTAGTCCCAGCTACTTGAGAGGCTGAGGCAGGAGAATCGCTTGAACCTAGGGGGGCGGAGGTTGCAGTGAGCCGAGATCATGCCATTGCCCTCTAGCCTGGGCAACAAACCGAGACTCCATCTCAAAAAAAAAAAAAAAAAAAAAAAAAAAAAAGGCTAGGTAAATATTTGTTGAGAAAAGGAAAGAGATTCGGCCAGGCGCGGTGGCTCATGCCTGTAATCCCAGCACTTTGGGAGGGCGAGGCGGGCGGATCACGAGGTCAGGAGAAGGAGACTATCCTGGCTAACACGGTGAAACCCCATCTGTACTAAAAATACAAAAAAAAAAAAAAATTAGGCGGGCGTAGTGGCGGGCGCCTATAGTCCCAGTTACTTGGGAGGCGGAGGCAAGAGAATGCCCTGAACCTGGGAGGCGGAGCTTGCAGTGAGCGGAGATCACGCCACTGCACTGCAGCCTGGGCGACACAGACAGACTCCATCTCCAAAAAAGAAAAAAAAAGAAAAGCAAAGTGAGATTCAAAGTGATCTGTCCAGGGTCATACAGCTTGTTTGTGATAGAAATTGAAGTTTTAAACTAGACTAAGTATGATATTCTTTTCAGTGTGACAGCTGCGGCACTGAGTATTATACAGTAGATATAAAGTTAGTTTAAATACAGAAGGCTTATTTTCATGGTGTGACAAAAACATAAGTCAAAAACGTGAATAAAATAAGTTCTTTTACAAAATTGCCAAAATAAACTGTAAATTCCAAATTTATACACAATAGTGAGTTACTGGTTTCAAGATTCTAATCAATCCTATCAGACTAATAAAGTTAGCACATAAATCCAAATAAAAACTCCTGACTATTTACATGGCACTTTAAATGTACATTACTACAGCATTTATGCAATTAAACATAATTAGTAGTGTGCATTTTCCTGGAAATTCCTTTGAGGGTAGAAGTAATCATTTTCATTTTCATGTCATCTGCTTGATCAGTAATTCTTAGCACTTACACTGCTGATGTACATAAAGTTAATTACTAATCATTCAATTAAAATTTATCCTCTGAACCAGGACAAGCATGCTATGGAAGAGCTCATCCTTTATGTTATTGTTGTAATTATTTCCATCTGTAACATAATAAACAATTTATAGCATTCTATCATTAAAAACTTGAGTTAGTTAAGAATGAACTACAAATCTTCACATTTGATTCTTTGATATGCACAATTAGCTTGTATTTATCATCTGCTTACTTAAAGAATTCTGGGCAGTGCAAGAAACAGAAGCCCCAAAGTCTAAAACTTTCTTCCTTCTAAATATCAGCCTATTTGTTTCAACTGTTAGTAAATTTGGGGGACATCCTACTTAGTTTATCAAAATAATATTATCAATGAAAACTCTGTAACACTTGTACGCATAGGCAGATAATTTTAATTTCCAAGCTAAGTTTTTCCAGAGCTTTTTATCTCCATTACTTTTTTCTATGGCAGTCCAAAATTACAATTTTACTAATGTTTCTACCTTTTTAGGCATCAAAAAAAACTATTCTATTCACATATCAATTAATTCTATGGTACAGTTAAATATTGGGTTTTAAACACTTCAAAATTACTTCGGCTCTTTCTTTTCCACATTTCTTCCTAAAAATTCAGTCCAAAAGTCATTACGTGAGACTGAGAAAGGTAGGTGTCCATGCTGGAGAGAAAACCACAGTGGCCCAGAACAGGGTATTACAGCCTGCAGAATGAGGAAACGTTTCTAATAGAGCGTGAGAAGAATGGACTAGCATGAGATGTCTGAGTTAAAAAGGATGAGGGGGCATCCATATGAGAAGAATGGCCTGGCATGAGACATCACAGCACAAGAGAGGTAAGCAGGGCCACTGCCTCCCCCTTAATTACACTAATCCACCTGCAATTAACTAATCCATCACCTCCCTCAGGTTCTTCCCTGATATTTTTCAGAGAAGAAAGGGAAGAACCTAAAGGAGATGATGGATTAATTACTCGAGAATTGATAAAGTAAGTACACATATGGAGGATAATGGTATCTCACCATCAGAAAGACAATACAAATATAGGAGGGATGAAAATTAGGGCCCCTCTAATGATGAACTGAAATTGGAGATTGAAGTGTACACTTATATTTTTCAATACACACACACACACACACACACACACAGACATATATATGTAAATGTGTGTGTCTGTGTGTGTATAACATACATTTGTTACTTTCTGATATTGATGGTATATTATGGCTATATAGGAGAATATCCTTAAAGAAGAGAAATATACTAAGGTATTTAGAGGGACAAAAGAGAAGCATCCGTCTCAAATATCTTTAAAAAAGTTATATACTGTACTTGTAACTTTTGTTTAGAATTGTTTCAAAATTTAAAATTAACACATTATTTTCAGCACAGTAATCACTATAAATGATGATGCACACTTTTAATTATATAAAGTACTTTGTACCTACAATTTTCAATATTTTAGGTAGATAACCTCTTTGAGATTCTAAATATGTAATCTGTCTCCAGAATATAAAGACATGATAAAAATCTCAATTATATTTCAGAAAGTTTGGCAAGTCAGTGAACCCATTCAACATCCCCCTTCCCTGCTAAAAATTTGACCCACAGACTTCAGAACCCTAGCCACTGCTTTAAATTCTCACTCCTATATAATGAAATAGACCAAGAAAAACCCCAAGACCTAGATATAAATACATAAAAATTATTACTTAAAATGTGGGTGGTTTTTTTTTTTCTTCACAAAGTTTGGGCCGGGCACGGTGGCTCACGCCTGTAATCCCAGCCCACTTTGGGAGGCCGAAGCAGGTGGATCACCTGAGGTCAGGAGTTCGAGAGGAGCCTGGCCAATGTGGTGAAACCCTGTCTCTACTAAAAATACAAAAATTAGCCGGGCGTGGTGGTGGGCGCCTGTAGTCCCAGCTACTTGGGAGGCTGAGGCAGGAGAATTGCTTGAACCTGGGAGGTGGAGGTTGCAGCGAGCTGAGATCATGCCATTGCACTCCAACCTGGGTGACAAGAGTGAGACTCCATCTCAAAAAAAAAAAAAAGAAAAAAAGTTTGAGTAAAATTATCAAGGTTGGCAAATTTACCACTACAAAGGTCTTTCATGGGAGACAGGTTATACCTTCCCAATCTTTAAAATAATTCTAAGGTTCTGTAGCTCAATAGTGAAACAAATAACGATATCCTGGCATAAAACTATCTTTCAGACAAAATCCACCTGCTGTGTATAAAAAAATGTAATAATTGAAAACTTCCTGCCTTGGGAGAGAATAAACCTGATTCGTAATACAAAAACCACTCAATCTACAAATGCGTTGAACAGAAAGATGGACTAAATATAAAGAGGGAACTTCTGACCTCCTTTGGTGCTAGACTGCCTGTAGTCATAGCTAGGCAGGAGGTGATATTATTATCTCATATTTAAAATTATATTTCAGGCATATGTGATACAGTCACCTAAGAAAAAGATGGACCCACTTGACCCACAGTAGTATTTGGCCTCCATGCCCTAGGCTAGGAAAGATTTAGAAATTACCCATTGTGGATAAAGAAAGAGCAGTCTTCCTTGCCAAGATGAAAACTACATAATAAATGAGTCTCCTATGTGAGAATTACATTTCCACCCGTAAAGAAGTTGAACTGACATGTATTCCCTTGATGCCCTTGTCTTCTATTCAGTGCTCAGTTCTTTTAAAATTTAATGTTGACAGACTATGTGGCCTTCACATTTCTGTCCCAACATCTAGCTAATTAAAATTAACTAATGTGATATCATTTTTACTTCAGTACACCTATCCAATCAATCTTGAGTATATTCAAAACCAAGAGAAAAATTTCTGTAGGTCTGACAAGCATGGCTATCCTTACCTCTCTGGGTAAGGTGGCTCACATCTGTAATCCTAGCACTTTGTGAGGCCGAGGCAGGTAGATTGTTTCAGCTCAGGATACCCAGACCAGCCTGTGCAATAAAGTGAAACCGTGTCTCTAAAAAAAATACAAAAATTAGCTGGGCATGGTGGCACCTATAGTCCCAGCCACTCTAGAAATAGCTACTGTAGAAAATATTTGCAAATTATGTATCTGATAAGGCATATCTGATAAGGCTTTTTCTTTCCATTGCAAGGGTAATGGTGAGGTGGGAGGCTCTGGTGGGAGGATTGTTTGAGTGTGGGTGGCAGAGGTTGCTGTGAGCTGAGATCGTGCCACTGTGCTCCAGCCTAGGTGACAGAGCCAGGCCCTGTGCCCCACAAAAAAAAAAATTTGTAACTCTATGCTTAACCTTTTCCATTAGCAGTTTCTACCAGCAAAATAAATCTCTTTTCCACCACCACCAAAGATTTTTCCACATCTTTGCCAACACTTGTTCTGGCTGTCTTTTTAAATTTCAGCCACTCTGGTAGGTGTGGCATGGTATCTCACTGTGGTTTTGATTTTCATGTCCCTGATGGCAAATGGTGCTGAGCATCGTTTTATGTGCTTATTGGCCGTATGTTTATCTGCCTTGGCAAAATGTTCATTCAGACCCTTTGCTAACTGTTTTACTTGGGTCATTTTTTAAATAAAATTATTAACTTGTAAGAGTTTAACAGATATGTCTTATCAGAAATGTAATTTGCAAATATTTTCTCCCATTTTATGGGTTGTCTTTTTACTTTCTTATGGTGTCCTGTGAAGGACACACACGTATGCTCGGTCTCTCTCTCTCTCTCTCTCTCTCTCTCTCTCTCTCTCTCTCTCTCTCAAAACTTTTGGACCAAAGAGGGAAGTATAACTGTGATTTATTAAGCAGCCCCATTGAGGGCTAACAGCACATTTCTGACCACTTTGTATGCTGGTGCCAGCCGGGGGTGCCCCAGCGGTTGCTCCCTGGGGTGTCTGCTTCAGGGCTGCTGCAAGGGTGCAGGGCAGGGCTCCTTCAGCTGGGAAACCATGGAATAGTTGGCAGCTGCTTTGTACGTCTTGAGAGACAAAAGAAAGCTCAAAATCAAGAGCAAACACTGGGTTTGCACTGAAAAGAAATATATCATTTCCTTGAAGAGAAAAATTCAAGATGTGAAAAATGGAAGCAAGGAAAGAAGAACTATGAAGAGAAGAGAGATTAGAATACCAACAGCATAGATCATTTCATGTCCCAATTATCTCCAAGTTCTTCCACCTTCTGGGATCACCAGCTGTTTTAACACCCAAAATATATGAAAGCTATGTGTTGTAATCTGTAGGGTAACCGTTAAAGGAACAGGATCTATAACTTGGCAAGAGAGGAAAAAGCTAGGATGGTAAAAAAGTCTATCAATCCAAAAGGCAAGAAAAAAGAGAAAAAGAAACATGCTGGCATATTATTATAATTATTGTATTATTTGTTATTCCTGTTAATTTTTTACTGTGCCTAATTTATATATTAAACTTTTTCACAGCTATGTATGTATAGAGAAAAATACATCTGTGGTTTCAGGCATCCACTGAGGGTCTTGGAACATAATCCTTCCCCCAGATAAGGAGGTCCTACTGTAATTATATTATATGTCATATTAAGTATATATTAATTCTACTAGGTAGCAGCCACATTATATATTAATTATATTAAATATATATCATACAGATTTATTTTAAGGAATTGACTCATAATAGAAGAGGCTAGCAGGCTGGAGATTCAGGAAAGACTTGTAATTCAAGTCCAAAGGCAATCTGCCAGAGAATTCCCTCTTGCTTGGGGGAGGTCAGCTTTTTATTCTATTCAAATTTTTGATGAAAATAGAAAGCAAAGAGTATATTAACTATATTATACAAACTAAATGCTCCAATTAAAATACAAAAATTATAAAACCTAATAATAAAAAACCTAAATTATATAATGTTTAAAAGAGACATTTTTAAGCTTAAGGATATAGAAAATTTGAAAATAAAAGAATAGAATAAAATAAGCCATTAAAATACTAGTGTAACACTGATGTGGAAATCTGACAAAGCACACAAAAAAGAAAATAATTTTAACTGCAAAATTTTAAAATCCAAGCAAAGAGAAAGCAGCATATGTTATAATTATATCACAACATGATCAAGTAAGGCATACTTCAAAAATATAACAAAAAAAATTTAAACATGGCCCATTATTAGGAAACATACTAATAAAAATCCTCACGAAAAATAATTCAAAATCTAAAAAGCCATATGATAAGCCTGATGAATATTGGTTTACAGAACTGATTTTCTAGAAAACAGGTTTATAAAACTGGTTTTCTTTAAAAAGGCAATCTTGGGGAAATAACCCATTTACTCCATTTTTTTTTTTTTTTGAGATGGAGTTTTGCTCTTGTCGCCCAGACTGGAGTGCAATGGCACGATCTCGGCTCACTGCAACCTTTGCTTCCCAGGTTCAACAGAGTCTCCTACCTCAGCCTCCCGAGTAGCTGGGATTACAGGCACCTACCACCATCACGCCCAGCTAATTTTTTTGTATTTTTCATAGAAATGGTGTTTCACTATGTTGGCCAGTCTGGTCTCGAACTCCTGACGTCATGATCTGCCCAACTCAGCCTCCCAAAGTGCTGGGATTACAGGCGTGAGCCACCTTTGGGAAGATATCCAGTAGTGAGATTGCTATTTGAACGGCAGTTCTGTTTTTATTTCTTTGAGAAATCTCCATAATGTTTTCTGTAAGGGTTGTAATAATTTACATTCCCACCAACAGTGTATAAGCATTCCCTTTTCTCTGCATCCTCATCAATATCTTTGGTTTTCTGACTTTTAATTTTAAATTTATTTTTTATTTTTATAGATATGCGGGTCTGATGTTGCCTAGGCGGGTCTCGAACTCCTGACCTCAAGTGATCTGCCCACCTCGGCCTCCCAAAGTGCAGAATTATAGGTGCAAATCACCACACCTGACTGTTTTCTGACTTTTTACTAATAGCATGTGCTGGGTGCGGTGGCTCACACCTGTAATCCCTGCAGTTTGGGAGGCAGAGGCAGGTGGATCACTTGAGGTCAGGAGTTTGAGACCAGCCTGGCCAACATGGTGAAACTCCGTCTCTACTAAAAGTACAAAATTTAGCTGGGTGTGGTAGCAGGCGCCTGTAATCCCAGCTACTCAGGAGGCTGAGGCAGAAGAATCACTTGAACCCAGGAGGCAGTAGTTGCAATGAGTCGACATTGCACCACTACACTCCAGCCTGCATGACAGAGCAAGATTCCCTAATAATAATAATAATAATAATAGCACATGCTGTTCTGCAGCATGACCTTAACATTGCTCCCATGGTGAGGTCGGGTCTGTGCTCCCTCCCCTTGAATTCAAGAAGGTCTGTGACTGGCAGAAGTGATTCAAGGTAGGTCATGAAAGGGGACACCATTTCTCCGTGGTCCTCCTGGGATGCTTGCTCTTTGAACCCAGCCACCATGCTGTGAGGAAGCCCAGATCACAGGGAGAGGCCACATTTTGATGTTCCAATCAACAGTCCCAGCACAGGTTTCAGATGACAGCCAACATCAGTTTCCAGACATGGGACTGAAGAAGGCTTTGCGAAGACTCCAGCCCAGCCACTACGACAGCATGAGAGACCCCTACTGACCATCACCTACCTGAACCCATCAACTCCCAGAACCATGAAAAAAAAAACTTTTTTTTTTTTTTTTGAGAGGGAGTCTTTCTCTGTCCCCCAGGCTGGAGTGCAGTGGCGCAATCTGGGCTCACTGCAAGCTCCACCTCCCAGGTTCTTGCCATTCTCCTGCCTCAGCCTCCTGAGTAGCTGGGACTACAGGAGCCGACCACTACCCAGCTAAATTTGTAGTTTTAGTAGACACAGGGTTTCACCGTGTTAGCCAGGATGGTTTCGATCTGACCTCGTGATCTGCCCACCTCGCCCTCCCAAAGTGCTGGGATTACAGGCGTGAGCCACTGTGCCTGGCCTTTTAAAAAAAAAAAAAAATGAGTTTCACTCTTGTTGTCCAGGTTGGGGTGCAATGGTGTGATCTCGGCTCATGGCAATCTCTGCCTCCAAGGTTCAAGTGATTCTCCTGCCTCAGCCTCCTGAGTAGCTGCAATTACAGGCGTCTGCCACCACACCCGGCTAATTTTGTATTTTTAATAGAGACAGGATTTCTTCATGTTGGTCATGCTGGTCTCGAACTCCCGACCTCAGGTGATCCACCTGCCTTGGTCTCCCAAAGTGCTGAGATTACAGGTGTGAGCCACTGCGCCCAGCAAGATTGCTATTTTAAGTGCCTAAAGTTTTGGGGTTATATATTATGCAGTAAGAGTAACTTAAACATCCTCCTTTCCTTCTAGCTTTTTGAATCTCTTAGTCATCAAACCTAGTCTCTCTCTGAAGACCTGGTCTGCTTTAATCAATGTTTTCCCCATAGACCCAGCGAGAGGTAGGTGGAGTTATCTTCCTACTCTTCATGGCTGCTCAGAACCCACCTCCCGGGTTCTCGCCATTCTCCTGCCTCAGCCTCCTGAGTAGCTGGGACTACAGGCGCACCTACCTGAACCCATCAACTCCCAGAACCATGAAAAAAAAACTTTTTTTTTTTTTTGAGAGGGAGTCTTTCTCTGTCCCCCAGGCTGGAGTGCAGTGGCGCAATCTGGGCTCACTGCAAGCTCCACCTCCCAGGTTCTTGCCATTCTCCTGCCTCAGCCTCCTGAGTAGCTGGGACTACAGGAGCCGACCACTACCCAGCTAAATTTGTAGTTTTAGTAGAGACAGGGTTTCACCGTGTTAGCCAGGATGCCCGGCTAATATTTTGTATTTTTAGTAGAGATTGGGTTTTGCCATGTTGGCCAGGCTGGTCTCGAACTCCTGATCTTGAGTGATCTGCCCCCCTCAGCCTTCCAATGTGTTGGGATTACAGGCGTGAGCCACTGTGCCCTGTTAGTTTTCATAATTTTCTTTACTTCCCTCTGTGGTGGGAGAACTGGCTTCAGAGAAAGCCATCCTGGACAGGTGAGGTGGCCCCACCAGGAACAGGTTTCAATCAGGTGTTTTGGAGGCAGTAATGCCCATGCACCCTGGTGAGAAGGGGCATGGCGTGAACATCAGGAACCAGACTTCACCCTGGAGAAGGAGAGGCCACAGGTGAGGCTGAAGGAGCAGTTCTCACAAATGATCCTGTGGGCACTGGGGCCACACCACGCACCTTGGTGCACAAGTGTCAATGTGGCTCAGAGTGGGGTAGAGGACTCAGGGTATTAAAAGCATCAAGGAATCCAGGGGAGAGCCACCGCACCCAACTTTACTTTCACCCACAGGCTGATGCAGCCCGAGGAAATGTTACGCCACAAGGACCTCAATTCTACACACAGAACCTGTTCGCCAGGCCCTTGCCACAAAATGGGGGCTGCCAAGCCTTGTTAGAATACCTGAGACTCAGAGGAAAATAATTTTTCTTGAGACAAGTTCTTGCTCTGTCACCCAGGCTGGAGTGTAGTGGTATGATCATAGTTCACTGCAGCCTCTATCTCCCAGGCTCAAGCCATCCTCCTACCTCAGTGCCCCAAGTAGCCAGAACCACAGGTGTACACCACTATGCCCAGCTAAGAAAATAATTTAAACATTTAATTAGTTTATTTATTATTAGTTTTTTGTTTTTTTTTTTGTTTTTTTTTTTTACACAGAGTCCCTCTCTGTCATCCAGGCTGGAGTGCAGTGGCACAATCTTAGCTCACAGCAACTTCTGTCTCCTGGGTTTAAGCGATTCTCCTGCCTCAGCCTCCCGAGTAGCTGGGATTACAGGCGTGTGCCACAACACCCGGATCATTTCTGTAGTTTTAGTAGAGACAGAGTTTCACCATGTTGGCCAGGTTGATCTCGAACTCCTGACCTCAGGTAATCCTCCTGCCTTGTCCTCTCAAATTGCTAGGATTATAGGCATGAGCCACTGCACTCAGCCTAATTTAAACATTTTAAAATCTTGTTTAAATTTTGAAATAAAATCTCAAGTTGGTTTTTAAAAAACTCTGTCCGGGTTGTGATGACTCACATTTGTAACTTCAGCACTTTGGGAGGCTGAGGTGGGAGGATCGCCCGGGAGTTCAAGACAGCCTGGGCAACATAGGGATACCCAGTATCTCTAAAAAAAATAATAATAATACAAAAATTAGCCAGGTGTAGTGGCAGGTGTCTGTGATCCCAGCTACTTTGGAGGCTGAGGCAGAAGGATTGCTTGAGCCTGGAAGGTCAAGGTTGCAGTGAGCTGAGATTGCACAACTGCACTCCAGTCCGGGCAACAGAGTGAGACCCTGACTCAAAAAAAAAAAATAGTGCTTAGTGCCACATGCCAGGAACCGCAATGACAACAAATCAGAAGGTTGTTGAGTCAGGGCCTACCAAGAGCTGGTGGGGAGTCTGACTGTAGGGACCCTGCCCTTTTCCAAAAGGTGGAGGTGCAGAGAAGCTCATAAGGATCACGGCTTCTCACCCTGGCCCTGAATCCACTCACATCAGCGGCTCTCTGCACAGCCAACCGGACAGCTCACACCAATAAATTAAACCTTCTTATTTCTTGCTGGGCACAGTGGCTCACACCTGTAATCCCAGCCCTTTGGAAGGCTGAAGTGAGAAGATTACTTGAGGCCAGAAGTTCAAGACCAGCCTAGGCAACATAGTGAGACCCTGCCTCTACAGAAAATTAGGTGAGAGTGGTGGCCTGTGTCTGTGGTCTCAGTTACTCAGGAGGCTGAGGCAGGAGGATCTCTTGAGCTCAGGAGGCTGCAATGAACTATTGCATTACTGCACTCCAGCCTGGAGGACAAAGCAAGACCTTGTCTCATAAAAAAAGAAGCAAGCCAGCAGGTCTAATCCAGACGTAAGAGGAGGGTATTGGCCAGGCACGGTGGCTCACGCCTGTGATCCCAGCACTTTGGGAGGCCGAGGTTGGAGGATCACGTGAGACCAGGAGTGCAAGACCAGCCTGGCCAAATGGTGAAACCCCATCTCTACTAAAAATACAAAAATTAGCTGGGCATGGTGGCACACACCTGTAATCCCAGCTACTCGGGAGGCTGAGGTATAAGAATCTCTTGAACCTGGGAGACGGTGGTGGCAGTGAGCCGAGATCGCACCACTGTACTCCAGTCTGGGCAACAGAGCAAGACTCTATCTCAAAAAAAAAATACAAAAATTAGCCAGATGTGGTGGCACATGTCTGTAATCCCAGCCAGATGCGAGGCTTAGGCAGGAGAATTGCTTGAACCCAGGAGGCGGAAGTTGCAGTGAGCCAAGATCACACTGCTGCACTCCAGCCTGTGTGACAGAGTGAGACTCTGTCTAAAAAAAATAAAATAAATTGAATTAAAAAGTTTTATTAATTTGCAATACTGAGTTTGCAAGAAGAGTGAACTGTGGTATGGTGACCAGCACACAGTATTTTAGAGTTCACAGCGTGCTCTCTGGGAAACTGTTTTAGCCAAAGTTGTGGCATCATCTCTGACCACTCACTTTATTCAAAAGACCTGGCTCAAAATGACTATTTATGGAAATCAACTCTAGCCTCGAAATACAAAACCAATGTAGTTCTAAAGGTATTCAAATGAAGGTAATTAAGTTTATTAAAAAGCAATGAAGGGCCAGGCACAATGTCTCACGCCTGCAATCCCAGCACTTTGGGAGGCTGAGGCAGCAGAAGGATCAATTGAGGCCAGGAGTTTGAGACCAGCCTGGGCAACATAGTAAGACCCTGTCTCTACAAAATAATTTTATTTTATTATAATTTTTATTTTTGGTTTTTGTTTGTTTTGTTTTGTTTTGTTTTGTTTTGTTTTGTTGAGATGGAGTTTCACTCTTGTTGCCCAGGCTGGAGTGCAGTGGTGTGATCTTAGCTCACTGAAACCTCCACCTCCTGGATTCAAGTGATTCTCCTGCCTCAGCCTGCAAAGCAGCTGGGATTATAGGCGTGCACCACCACACCTGGCTAATTTTTTGTATTTTTAGTAGAGCTGGGTTTCACCATGTTAGCCAGGCTGGTTTCAAACTCCTGATCTCAGGTGATCTGCCTGCCTCGGCCTCCCAAAGTACTGGGATTACAGGCATGAGCCACTTCCCCCAGCCCAAAATAATTTTTAAAATTAGCTGGACATGGTGGTTTATGCCTGTTGTCCCAGCTACTCTAGAGGCTGGGATGGGAGGATCGCTTGAGGCCAGAAGTTTGAGGTTGCAATGAGACAGGATTGCACCACTGCTCCCCAGCATGAGTGACAGGGAGAGATTTTGTCTCTAAAATGGAAATAAAGGAAGCAAGGAAGGGCTTCTCCTCCAAACACTACCACTTCATCTTGGGCAGTTACATGATTCCAGGAAACATGGAAAATCTACCTTGAGTACCTTTTTGGATGTATGCTAATGGGAAAACAAATCTCATTAATTAACTCATAGAACGGCTAAGAGGAAAGAATCTTAGGGGATGTGTGGTTTCACTCCCTAATTTTAAACATGAGGAAATTGGGTACCAAAGAGATGAAGTAACTCAGCAGGTAGAGAGAGAAGAGCCTCTCTTACCACAAGGGGTCTCTCATTGGAAAATGGGCAAAACTTGTTCCCTGCCTGCATTCTCCAAGATCGTAGCCAACATAGAATAGAAGTGTCTCCACTTCAGAGGACAACTGGTTTGTCCTTTGCCTTTTACACCCCTTTCAGCAAGCAGTATTTCTCAGCTTTGTGTTTGTGCAAACTCTTGAGTAGCACAAACTCCTGAGCTAAGAGACACTCCACTCTGTTTGCAATTGAGGGCAAAGGCTGGGATGCTTGGGCACAGCTCCAGGCTCCTTTCCCAGAAGTCTGGGGTGGCAGAAAAAAAAAGAATGTATTTTTCACACACTGAGTAGAGATGTGGCTCATCACGTAGAGGTAAATTGTTTTTTTCTTGAGATAGAGTTTTGCTCTTGTTGCCCAGGCGGGAGTGCAGTGGCACCATCTCAGTTCACTGAAACCTCCCCCTCCCGGGTTCAAGCTATTCTCCCACCTCAGCCTCTTGATTAGCTGGGATTATAGGCACCTGCCATGACACCCAGCTAAATTTTGTATTTTTAGTAGAGAAGGGGTTTCACCATGTTGGCCAGGCTGGTCTCGAACTCCTGATCTCAGGTGATCCAGCCGCCTCAGCCTCCCAAAGTGCTGGGATTACAAGGGTGATCCACCGCGCTCGGCCTTAGAGTTGGTATTTTATAAAGAATAGAAGTTTACATAGCTCACAATTTTAGATTATGGAAGTCCAAGAGCACGCCATTGACATCTGATGAGAATCAGATTTCCACATCACAAAATGGCCAAAGGCATGAGGATGACAGAAGGTGAACATAAGAGAGCTTACTTTTATAATAGACCCAATTTCCTGCCAGCTAACCCACTCTGGAAACAATGACATTAATTCATTCATGAGAGTAGATTCCCTCAAAACCTGATATCTTCTTAAAGGTCCAATTTATAATTTTATAATGATGACAGTTAAATTTCAGCATGAATTTTGAAGGGGGCATTCAAACCATAGCGATGCGTTTTTATTAGATAATTAAATTATTTGATATTTAAAAAATTATTGATTTGCCATGACTTTTAATGGCAAAAACCGCAATTACTTTTGCACCAACAAAATAATGTCTTTGGTTTTCTTTTCATGCTCTCTTTTCTTGTGTTTTCTAGTTTTTTTTTTTGCTTTTGTTATTATATGCTTTGATTCCCATTTCTTTTCTTTCTTTTGTTTTCTTTTTTTTTGTTTTTTTTTTTTGAGATAGAGTTTCACTCTCATTTTCCAGGCTAGAGTGCAATGGCACCAACTCAACCTCCATCTCCCAAGTTCAAGCAATTCTCCTTCCTCAGCCTCCCGAATAGCTGGGATTACAGGCACTTGCCACCACATCTGACTAATTTTGTATTTTAGTAGAGACGGATTTTCTCCATGTTGGTCAGGCTGGTCTCGAACTCCCGGCCTCAGGTGATCTGTCCATCTCCGCCTCCCAAAGTGCTGGGATTACAGGAATAAGCCACTGCGCCCGGCCGCTTGATTCCTTTTTCTTTTGTGTGTATAGTACAAATTTTCATTTAGTTACCAAGAGATTTACATAACACATCTCATAGATATAACACTCTAGCTTACGATAATAACAATTCTACTTCGATGCATAGAAAGACTCAACAGGTTTACTCTCTTCAATACACGATTTATATCGCACTTTACATTTTTTATATTGTGTATCTCATAATAAATTATTTAAGCTATATGTATTTTGGATACTTTTGTCTTGTAGCTTTTATCCCTAAGTTAAAAGTAATTCATGCACCACCATTACAGGTGTCATTAGTATTTTATTCATTTTTCTCCACTTATACCTAAATAATGATATAATTTAATTCCAATATTTATTTTATATATAATCTCACAGTATTCTAAAAAATTATATTGTTTTTGCTTTGGAATATTATTTTCTTGTGTTCATATGGTTGTATTGTAGATCTTATATTTTGTGTAATAGCAATAATATATTAATAACATAAATAACTTTACCTAGTATCTTTTAAATACTTTAAAAGCTTCCATTTTCATTAGACTTTTACTAATTCTTCTAATGTATTTTTTTGTGGAAATTTACTACTATACATTGTATGCCAATAATTAAAAATGCCAGATTTTCGTAAGTTCATAGTCATATTTGAAAACTGTAGTTATTTAAAGAATTATTTTCTGATACATCTATGCTAATATTCCATATTTTATAGGTCAACATGTTTTATTTTTGTTTTTAAGTCCATTATACTGCATTTTTTTCGTACAGGTTTCTTTTGATGATTAAATTGTATTTTTGTTTTTAACATTACATTTATGATGTGGAAGGTAATTTTCATTCGGTATTATTTATAAAAATGTGGTGTTTAACAGGGCTGGGCACGGTGGCTCACGCCTGTAACCCCAGCACTTTGGGAGGCTGAGGCGGGCAGATCACCTGAGGTTGGGAGTTTGAGACCAGCCTGACCAACATGCAGAAACCCCATCTCTACTAAAAATACAAAATTAGCTGGGCGTGGTGGTGCATGCCTGTAATCCCAGCTCCTTGGGAGGCTGAGGCAGGAGAATTGCTTGAACCTGGGAGGTGGAGGTTGCAGTGAGCCAAGATCATGCCATTGCACTCCAGCCTGGGCAACAAGAGTGAATCTCCGTCTTAAGAAAAAAAAAATGTGGTGTTTAACTCAAATATAAATCCCTGGGTTTCACTTGGAGCAAATTTTAAAAAACAAGTATAAGTCAGATATTTCTTGTTTTTGTTTGTTTGTTTGGATACGGAGTCTCGCTCTGTCACCCAGGCTGGAGTGCAGTGGTAGGATCCAGGCTCACTGCCACCTCTGCCTCCAGGTTCAAGCAATTCTCATGCCTCAGCCTCCTGAGTAGCTGGGGCTACAGGTGCGCACCACCATGCCTGGCTAATTTTTTGTATTTTTAGTAGAGATGGCATTTCACCATGCTGGCCAGGCTGGTCTTGAACTCCTGACCTCATCATCCACCTGGCTCAATCTCCCAAAGTGCTGGGATTACAGGCGTGATCCACCACGCCCAGCCCCGTAAGTCAGACATTTCTATTGCCTATAAAAGTTACTTATGTGATATTTGCGTGTATAAATATTGATCCATTTTCTTTATTAGTTATCTTGTTTATTTTTTTTCTCAGGTGGTTGTCAGTGTTCTATTGTCTGGATGAGTAGTCAGAAAGGCAGTCTAAAATTACTGTCTATTTATTGTTTGAATCTATGTTATTGTGTGAGAAAAACACTTGATATTTGAAGTAATTTTTGAAAAATGCAACTATTTTTTGAGAGTTGTAAATATTTGTGATTAAAAACATAAAATTACCATCTTAAACATTTTAAAGTTATATACTTAAGCTATATGTTTAGTACTTTTAAGTATATTTACATTATATGAAACAGATCTCTAGATAATTTTATCTTTAAAAAGTACAATCTAATGTTCAATAAACTGTCTTCTCCTTCTCTCTTTTCCGCGTCTGAAGAACATCACTTTACTTTCTGTTTTGTCTGTCTCTTTTTGGCTATCTTATTTTAGTCAACATATTTTTTCCTGCGTCTTTAATTTTAACAAATAAGTTATTCTCCTCTCAGTTCAGATTCATCAGGAAATTGAATCATATCCAGAAGAATTAAAACTAAGAGACTAATATGTTTGTTAAAGCAATGCAGGTTGTCATACTAATAAACCCTACAATTTCAAAGGCTTAGCAAAATAATACATTTTATGCACACACCACCTTCCCCTTTGGTTTACTTCTGGTTAAAAAAACTTCTTCATGATTATTTGGAGATTAGATTTTTTTCTAAATTTTCTATCCACATTCTCCTGTTTCTAAAGCCAATAGATCAAAAAAAGATGCAAAGAAGACACATTTGCTTTTTATCCACACATCACTTCCAGTCACTATGCTGAGCAGAGTCAAAGTGAGCAGAGCTCAGAATAGCAGTTTTCTGGCAGGACAGCCACTTCTTGGCAAAAAATGACACAATAAAAGCATAAATCTTTCATGGAAAGCTAACATGTTTTCAGCAAATTAAGCATATGCACGAATAAAATTCTTGTGGTAAAATAAAGATTCATTTTGTTGATTCTTAGTAAGCTCAGGTAATAGCAAATAAAAAGGCAGCAAATATAGAGCAAAAAAAATTATTTGAAATAGAAATAATGTGGATTAAGATATTCTGTCAATTAAAGTAAAAATATTTTTATCTCATACTAATCATCTTACCTATAGTCGTATAATATCAAATGCTACCTTTTATTAACAATTGTACTTCATATAAGTATTCCATTTATATCACCCTTCTTCACTGTTTCAATGCCTTCTGCACTTCATATCAGTGAAAAACAGGCTGGCTGGTACCAGGAAATGGATGTGGTGCTATTGCTACTTTAAGAGTAATGATGAAGAGCACTTGTCTGAATTGGTCCCATGTGGCAAACACTGTTATATGGTCTAAAGTAAACACATTTATTATTTTCTTCTAAATTTACTGATGAAATACAATTCTCAGCTAAGGAAGACTTGATCTCATTCAAATACATTTTGTGAAATTTGGTTGACATTTCAGTGTTTTTGACTTAAATGGCATATTGGAAATTTCTATGAATCCAAATAGAGTGTTATACACGAACAGTCTTTTATTAAAAACCTTTCTGGGTTGGGTGCAGTGGCTCATGCCTGCAATCCCAGCTACTCAGAAGGCTGAGGCAGAAGACTGACTTGAACCTGAGAGGCAGAGGTTGAGTTGAGCCGAGATCACGCCATTGCACTCCAGCATGGGCAACAAGAGTGAAACTCCGTCTCAAAAAGAAAAAAAAAAGGCTTTGTCTTAAGATTCATAAAATTTCTTCATAATATAGAAGAAATGTGTTAACTATGTTCCCAGTAATCAACTCTGAACACTGAGCATTCTCAGTTTCCAGTATTCACTCTGAGTCATTCAGAAAAATTGGTATCTCTGTAAGGAGTCAGAAAAATGTGTTTGGGGAAGGGTCACAACATTGCACATAAATGCTTTCTACCTGCACCTGTTAGGATCTTAATCTAATTGGTCTATCATTTGCATGGCTAGATAGTTACTGGATCTAATCATACTATTTTGTGTTTTGCAGATAATGACATCTGTTACCTATAAGTTTCATACAACAATTTGCTCAGCTGAAACATGAATCTTTTGCTAATTTACCCGAAATTGAGGGACTAGATTTGCAATTTCTAATCTTTCAATGTTAGAGCAAAGTAGAGAAGAGTAATGTGTGTATGTGGTATGCATTTTCTTACTTAACTATTAAAATTCTTCTCATATTGCCTTGGACACTTTAGACAGCCACCCAAAAAATATTCTCTACTCCTTTTTTTAGCCAGGATATTAGATTTCAAAAGGTCAAGGACTTAATAATTGGGCTAAGCCAAAATCTTGTCTTTGCTTCTTTCAAAGAGCATGGCAATTATGCCAAGCCATTGAAAGATGTGGATCTGATGACTTTTGATTTCAAATGCTTTTTCTAATTGTTTGCTCTAATTGTCTTATTGTGTTAATCTAAAAGAGAACCTATCTACATAACAACTTATGCATTCACGAAATGTTCATGTTACGATGATCAAAGTTCAATATTGTAGTATAGAATAGTAGAATAGTCTAAAATTAGAAAGTCAGATTATTATTAATAAATTCATTATTTTTTTCAACATTTTCCAATGTTGAAATTAAAGAATTGGCAAGGCTTTTTCATGATAAGTTCAATTCTAGGATAGTACTCACTGGTCTGCATGGTATTTTTTTCCTTTTTTTGGCAGGAGGGGATGGAGTTTTGCTCCTGTTGCCCAGGCTGGAGTGCAATGGCATGATCTTGGCTCACTGAAACCTTCACCTCCAGGGTTCAAGCCAGTCTCCTGCCTCAGCCTCTTGAGTAGCTGGGATTACAGGCATGCACCACCATGCCCGGCTAATTTTATATTTTTAGTAGAGACGGGGTTTCTCCATGTTGATCAGGCTGGTCTTGAACTCACAATCTCAGGTGATCCACCCACCTCGCCCTCCCAAAGTTCTAGGATAACAGGCATGAGCCACCGCACCCTGCAGCTATCTTTGTCATGAATTATGTAAATCCGAGTTACCAGAATGGTGCAGAAGTGCTAATGCAATCAGAATGAAAATGAATACGGCCTTGTTGGTAGACTATTGGTATCCCAGAGGCTGATCATTTACTTCAGCTGTGTAGACATTGCTTCATAACGCCAGGGAGCCCTTTCAACCAAGTTATCTTTATTTCCCATTGATGAGGTCATGTTCTGGTCTCTGTTTTTCTTAAGCTGTCCCAGATGAGGGGTGATTATTTCTTGCATAAATGAGATCCCTTCTTTTTCCTCTGCAATGAGATCCTCCTATTCTCCTTATTGAAAGTAATATGTTGAAGGCAGAAATGGAGACAATATACAAATATATATCTTGCCATGTGGCCACCATAAACACTTTATGACATTGCTTACCAAGAAGTTTGATTAATTTCAGGGAAGCAGGGATGTTTTCTATGATGTGCTCTTTCTCTTAAAGCACCTCTGATTAAGTTTAGCCTAATCAAGATAATCTCTCGTATGATAAAAAGGAAGCCAATACATTAGTAATATAAATACATGAATACTGTTTTGCCACAGTCACACACATTTTGTGATGCTCAAGAGAAAAGGATTACACAGCAGGTGTGCACTGAAGTGGGAACCTGAGGGTCATCTGAGAATTTTCCCTACCCACCTGAATAGATTTCTAAAATCACCTTTCAGTTGCTTTTGCTGTCTTTCTAAGTAAACAAAGATATCATCTGCAAATAATAATTAATTGAACTGCTTTTCAATTGTATTCATTAAAATAATTATCTTTTTCTGGCTTATATGAAGTATTTCTTATTTGTAATATACATTCACATATATACAAATATATAGCAATACAAATGTATCCATTTTCATTTTTGTTAAATTTTTAAGAATGGATGTTAAAGGTAACTTCTTTTCTGTTTGAAGTGTTTTTATTGTTTTATTCAAGAGTATTATCTCTGGAGTTAAAGTTGATACTGTTTTAATACTGGTTTTGCTATTGTGAGCAAGTTATTTCTCTCTCTGGCTCTTTTCTTTTTTTTTTTTTGTAAATTGAAAATAATAGTGACACCTTTGTTATTAAGTTACTTTGTCTATTAGTCCATTCTCACACTGCTGAAGAACACACCAAAGACTAGGTAAATTATAAAGGAAAGAGGTTTATTTGACTCACAGTTCAGCATGGCTGGGGAGGCCTCAAGAACCTTATGATAATGGGAGAAGGTGAAGGAGAAGCAGGTATCCTTTTCACTAGGTGACGGAGAGCAGGAAAAATTACCACTTATAAAACCATCCAAACTCATGAGAACTCACTCACTATCACAAGAACAGCATGAGTATCATTCTGCCTCTGGCCCCTTCCAAATCTCATGCCCTTTTTATATTTCAAAACCAAACATGCTTTCCCAACAGTCCCCCAAGTCTTAACTCAAGTTAGCATTAACCCAAAAGTCTAAGTCCAAAGTCTCATCTGAGACAAGGCAAATCCCTGCTACCTGTGAGCCTGTAAATCAAAAGCAAGTTAGTAACTTCCAAGATACAATGGAGGTACAGGCATTAGACAAATTCTCCCACTACAAATGGGAGAAATTGGCCAAAACCAAAGAGCTACAGGCCTCATGCAAGTTGGAATTCCAATGGGGCAGTCATTAAGTCTTAAAGCTCTGAGATGTTCTCATTTGACTCCATGTCTCACATGTGGGCCATGCTGATGCAATGGGTGGGCCCTCATGGCCTTGGGAAGCTCCTTTATGGACTGGAATTGTGTGCCTCTGGCTTTTCTAGGTGCACGGTGCAAGCTCATGGTGAATCTGTTATTTAGGGGTCTGGAGTATAGTGGCCTTCTCACAACTCCAGTAGGCAGCTTCAGTGGGGACTCTGCATGAGGGCTCCAACCCCACATTTCCCTTCTGCATTGCCCTAGCACAGGTTATCCTTGAGGGCTCTGCCCCTGTAGACTTCTGCCTGAACACCCAGGCATTTTTATACATCCTCTGAAATCTAGGCAGAGGTTTCTAGAGCTCAACTCTTGTCTTCTGTGCACATGCATGGCCAATATGACATGGAAGCCACCAAGGCTTGAGGATTGCACTTTCTGAAGGAACAACCCAAGCTGTACTTTGGCCCCTTTTAGCCACAGCTGGATCTGGAGCAGCTGGGATGCAGGGCACCAGCCCCAAGGCTTCATAAAGCAGTGGGGCCCTCCCTGGGCCTCGACCATGAAACCATTTTTTCCTCCTAGAGTTCCTGGCCTGTGATAGAAGAACCTGTCTCAGATCTTTGACATGACCTGAAGACATTTTCCCCATTGTCTTGGCTATTAACATTCAGCTTCTCTTTACTTTTGTAAATTTCTGCAGTGGCTTGATTTTCTTTCCAAAAAAATGGGGTTTTATATTCTACCTCATGGTCAGGTGCAAACTTTCCAAACTTTTATGTTCTGCTTCCATTTAAAAATTAAGTTTCTCATCTCCATCTGAGACAACCTCAGCCTGGACTTTATCATCTACATCACTATTAGCATTTGGGTCAAAAGCATTCAACAAGTCTCTAGGAAGTTCCAAACTTTCCCATATTTTTCTATTTTTTTCTGAGTTCTCTAAACTGTTTCAACCTCTGCCTATTACCCAGTTCCAAAGTCACTTCCACATTTTCAACTGTCTTTATAGCAGTGCCCCAAACTACCTGTATTAATTTTCTGTATTAGTTTGTTTTCACACTACTATTAAGTTACTACCAGAGAATGGGTAATCTATACAGAAAGGAAGTTTAATTTACTCACAATTCTGCATTGCTGGGGAGGTCTCAGGAAACCTACAGTTATGGTGGAAGGCAAAGGAGAAGCAAGTACCTTCTTTACTAGGCAGCAAGAGAGAGGCAGAGCAGAAAAAAACACCACTTATATAACCACCAGATCCTTTGATAACTCACTTACTATCATGAGAACAGCATGGGGGAAAATTACCCCCATATTCCAATCACCTCCCACCAAGTCCCTCCCTTGAAACATGGGGATTACAATTTGAGATAAGATTTGGGTGGGATAAAATTTTACAGTAACGAATTCAATACAAGTCACAGAATATAGATTTTTTTGAGAATCTCTGAGGTTTCCAGGTTTCTCTTTAATTATCCACCTTATTAAAATAATCTTTTTTGTTTCAATATTGTTCTTCTGTTCTGAAAATGCATACAAACACACACAAACACACTCAGTTGCTACATAACTTTCTTATATGTGTGTATATATATATGTATATATATTCATTTATTTTTTTAATGGTGTCTCGCTCTGTCATCCTGGCTGGAGTGCAGGTCTGCCACCTTGGCTCACTGCAACCTCTGCCTCCCAGGACCAAGCGATTCTCCTGCCCCAGCCTCCCTAGTTGCTGGGAATACAGGCATGTACCACCACGCCCAGCTAATTTTTTGTATTTTTAGTAGAGATGGGGTTGCACCATGTTGGCCAGGCTGGTCTTGAACTCCTGACCTCAAATTATCTGCCCCACTCAGCCTCACAAAGTGCTGAGATTACAGGCATGAGCCACAGTGCCTGGCTGATATATCTTTAGAGTAATATATTTGTATATATAACTCTATGTAAATCAAAACTAAAAGTCTGTTTTTGTTTGTCAGCAGAGAGGCCACATGTACAAAAAATATACAAAACAATTTTTTAAAAATATTTAATCAAGACTCAGAAATGTATATTAATTATACTCATGCAATTTTTATGACCATAAAATGACCCTATGGTTAGTAATAATTCAATTGTACATATTAAAATAAAACTGTATAATGAGCTTGTAATACAAAGGATAAATACGTGCTCGAGTTGAGGAATACCTCATATACGCTGCTGTGATAATTAACTAACGTATGCCTGTGTTAAAATATCTCATATATGCCATAAGTGTGTATGCACACTATCCACCCACAAAATTTTTTTAGAAATCTAAATAGGGTAAAAAAGAATACAAATTTGATCTATGAGAAAAAAATTATTCTACTTATTTGCAGTTTAAACCACTGGCAGGACAGGCATGGTGACCCACACTTGTAACCCCACCAATTTGGGGCACTGAGGTGGGTGGATCACCTGAGATCAGGAGTTAAAGACCAGCCTGGCCAACATGGTGAAACCCCATCTCTACTAAAAATACAAAAATTAGCCAGGCGTGGTGGAATGTGCATGTAGTCCCTGCTACTTGGCAGACTGAAGGCAGGAGAATCGCTTGGACCCAGGAGGTAAAGTTTGCAGTGAGCCGACATCATGCCACTGCACTCCAGCCTAAGCAACAGAGCAAGACTCCATTTCAAAACAAACAAACAAACAAACAAACAACACTGGCAAAAAAGAGATTACTAGAGATGTCATTCCCCTACATTAACAAATAGCACATTGTTACCATCTTTTACTTAGAACCTTAAGTAAAATGGGACCCATTAAATCTGATGACAAATTAACACTTCATTCAAAGCACAATAGTTTTAACACATTAAAAGCAACTTTGTTTAATGAAAAAATTAAGATGACACATAATCTTTAAAAAATTTTTAAATTTATTGCATTTTATTACATAAACGTACAATTGATAAAAAACAATCTCTCCTATCTCTGATGAAACAACTGATCAAATACTTTCACAAACAATAGGAAGAGTCAACATGACGGAATCTGAGACTTGAGTTACATTATTATTTGCTTTTCAGAAACTATTTTTTTATAGAAGAAAGAAACATACCTCGAAGGTAATTATGAATCTCGAAAAAAACTACTTCTTTAACATGTATATGGTGTTAGCTTTGGATCTCTTTTACACTGAACCCTCTGATTTAGTGTAATGTATGAAGTTTCAGTGCCTTCATTCTTTCTACTGTGACCCCTCAGATGTTTATATAGACTTAATTTTTGATTTAATATGTTTTCCCCATTTACTGGTTCTGCAAAAATATTTAGTACAAACTGGTGTTTTCTAAGCTGTAGGTTTTGAACAAATGTTTTTCACATTCATTACATGTTTAGACTTTCTCCCCAATATAAATTCTCTAATGTTCAACAACGTTTGAGCATCTTCTCAGATCTTCAAATTTTTCCTTTAATATAAAATGTGTACAATAAAATCTGTAATGGAAGTAAAGGTACAGCAATCCTCTTTAAGTTTGTATGTTTGTCTTCAGAATAACTGGTCTTTACTTTAAAGGCCTATATTTTCCAAAAGGTCTTTTTACAGTAATCACATTTATAATTTTTTTTTGAGACGGAGTCTTGCTCTGTCACCCAGGCTGTAGTGTAGTGGCTCTATCTCAGCTCACTGCAACCTCTGCCTCCCCGGTTCAAGCAATTCTCCTACCTCTGCCTGCCGAGTAGCTGGGATTACAGGTGCACGCCACCACACCCGGCTAGTTTTTCTATTTTTAGTAGGGATGGAGTTTCACCATGTTGGCCAGGCTGGTCTTGAACTCCTGACCTCATGATCCACCGACCTTGGCCTCCCAAAGTGCTGGAATTATAGGCATGAGCCAACACACCTGACCTATAATCCCTTTATTAAGTATAAACTTTCTGATATTGAGTAAGATGTGACCTGATATTAATGGCTTTTCACATTCTTTGTATTTGTACAATTTTTCTCTAGTATAAATGCTTTCCTGTACCATAAGGTGTGAGAATTTGTTAAAAGTTTTGCCACATTCTTCATATTTGTAGGAGTCTTCTTCAGTATAAACTATCTTACTACCATAACGTGTGACTACCATTTAAAGTCCTTGCTAAATTTAACACATTTCTAGAGTCTCTCACCAGTATGATTTCTCTTTTTTAGAAAAGTTTGAGGTGTGCTTAAATGCTCTGTCACAGTTTTATGTAAGCAGAGTTTCTCTCCAGTATAAAATTTTTTAGTGAGTAAGCATGGAGAACCAGTTAAAGGGTTTGCCACATTTTTTTCTACAATTGCAGGGTTTCTCTCCAATATCAATTATCTTACATTTATTCAGGTTTGAGGACTTTTTAAAGACATTACCATATTGCTTATTGCAGGGTTTCTCTTCAGTATTAATTCTCTTATGTATAATAAGGGTTCAAGACTAGTTAACAGCTTTACCACATTCTTTGCTTTTGTAGAGTTTCTCTCTAGAATGAATGATCAGATATTATGTAAGGCCTGAGATGTGCTTAAAGGTTTTGTCACTTTTTTTTTGTTTCTAGGGTCTCTGTAATATAAGTTCTCTTAGGCTTTGGGAGGCTGACAAAGGTGGATCACCTGAGGTCAGGAGTTCAAGACCAGCCTGGCCAACATGGTGAAACTCTATCTCTACTAAAAATACACAAATCAGCCAGTGTGGTGGCACACGCCTGTAATCCCAGCTACTCAGGAGGCTGAGGCAGGAGAATCGCTTGAACCTGGAAGGCAGAGGTTACAGTGAGCTGAGATCATGCCACTGCACTCCAGCCTGGGTGACACAGGGAGACTCCAACTCAAAAAAATTTTTTTAAAATAAATTCTCTTAGGTTTATTAAGGTTTGAGGGTTGGTTAAAGGCTTTGTTACATTTTTTTACATTTATAAAATTTCTGTCCAATATGAATTCTCTTACGTTCAATTAAGGTTTGGAACTGGTTAAAGGCTTGGCCACATTCTCTACATTTGTAGTGTTTTTTTCCAGTGTAAATTATTTTATGTATTATAAGGCCTGAGGGTGGACTTTGCCACATTATTCACATTTGTAGGGTTTCTCTCCAGTGTGAATTATCTTATGTTTAGCAAGACTTGAATGCCACTTAAAAGCTTGGTCACATTCTTCACATTTGTAGGGTTTCTCTCCAGTATGAATTCTCTTATGTTGCATAAGGGTTGAGGAGCAATTAAAGGCTTTGCCACATTCTTCACATGTGTAGGGTCTCTCTCCAGTGTGAATTCTCTTGTGGTCAGTGAGGGTTGAGGATAAGCTAAAGGCTTTGCCACATTCTTCACATTTGTAGGGTCTCTCTCCAGTATGAATTCTCTTGTGGTCAGTGAGGGTTGAGGATAAGCTAAAGACTTTGCCACACTCTTCACATTTGTAGGGTCTCTCTCCAGTATGAATTCTCTTGTGGATAGTAAGTGCTGAGGAGCGCCTAAAGTCTTGGCCACATTCTTCATATGTGTAGGGTTTCTCTCCAGTATGAATTCTCTTATGTCTAGTAAGGTTCGAGGATAAGCTAAAGGCTTGGCCACATTCTTCACAGGCATAGGGTTTTCTCTAGTATGAATTCTCTTATGTCTAGTAAGGTTTGAGGACCAGCTAAAGGCTTTGCCACATTCCTCACACCTGCAGGGTTTCTCTCCAGTATGAATTCTCTTGTGGTCAGTGAGGGTTGAGGATACGCTAAAGGCTTTGCCACATTCTTCACATTTGTAGGGTCTCCCTCCAGTATGAATTCTCTTGTGGTTAGTAAGTGCTGAGGAGCGCCTAAAGGCTTGGCCACATTCTTCACATGTGTAGGGTTTCTCTCCAGTATGAATTCTCTTATGTCTAGTAAGGTTTGCGGACCAGCTAAAGGCTTTGCCACATTCCTCACATCTATATGGTTTCTCTCCAGTATGAATTATTTTATGTGTAGTATGGTTTGAGGAGCAGTTAAAGGATTTGCCACATTCTTTGCATTTGTAGGACTTCTCCCTAGTATGAATTACCTGATGTTGATTTAGGTGTGAAAGCATGCAAAATGATTTGCCATATTTGTTACATTTGAAATGTTTCTTTCCAGTATATCTTGTTTTATCTCTATTGGAATTTGAAAATTTACCAAAGACTTTGACATATTTATGAGTCTGAAATATTTTGTTTTGGGTAGTTGACAAACATTGGTTAACTTCACTATAACCTCTTTGGGCACCTCACATTCACCCACACTTTTACAGCATTTTTTAAATTGTAATTTCTCATGTCCACATTTTCCATATGTTCTTGGTATTACTTTTTGGAGTGAATCTTTGATGCCCTGCTCTGGCTGAAGGTCTTGGGTGAAATGGGAATGCGTAACTGAAAGACACAAAAAGCACAAGTTACTCCACTTTCTGGACTCATATAAATGTATTCTACACATGAAATATATAAAATTACACAAGGTACATTAGCAAAATGCCATATCAAAATACCACAGGCCATAATTCCTTCATAGATGTATAAATGTAACAAAATCATAGTGATCAAAATACCTTTGTTGGAAATTTATAAATAAAGTAAGTGTGTGCACCATGTGAGCACGATGTCCAGAGCCATATAGAGAGAAAAGAAAGGTCTGCTACATTTACCCAACACAGCCCTTCCTCATGCCCAGTAGAAGAACATAGTGCCTTTAATAACAGCTTTAAGTCTTCTGAGCTCAAAAGTGAATGTTACAACCGCAGAAAGACTGCAGTATGATGGGTAGAAGATAGGTGTAGAACGTAGTTACTGACCACTAAGAAGAAATATGAAGAAGTCTTTTAATTGAAAAATAAATACAAATTGCAGACAAAACACATCCTGAGAACATGTTTGTGAGAATCCCAGAATCTCTACCAAAGACAATTGGTGTCATGCTATGAGAGGAAGGAGCTGCATTATAAAGATCATGAAAGGTAGTTTTATGTTAGTGTCTAAATCTCCAACAAAGATTACAATGTATATAAAACATGAGGACAACATGGTCCAATCAAAAAAATCAAAAATTTTGAAAAAGCAACTATAAAAATAAAGATGTACATCTTGATTTTTAAAATTTAAGATAATCCATATTATGCTCAATGAGAAAAATGGAAAACCAGACACCTAAATAAAATAAGAAAAATAAGAATACCAACAAAACTTGCAATAATAAAAATAAACAAGGTGGAGGTAAAAAAGAATAACTGAAAAAATTTAAAAGTAAGAAAAAAGTACGTAAAAAATGAAGAAGCTAAACAAACAAACTAGGATATACACAAAAAGATCCGCAACACAAATTTAAGCAAAGTTTCAAAAGTCACAAACCAGAAGATAATCTTGGGAGCTGCAAGATAAAAGTGAAGTATTATTTATAAGCATAGTCCTCTGAGACAACCAGTGAATTTGTAAACAGAAACCTTGCAGGTCAGAAAAGAACTGTGTAAAATGGTCAAAGGCTGAAAAAAATTTTCATGGTGAGAATAATAAAACCAGAAAAATGTACTACAACATAAAGAAAAATAAAACTCTTCCAGAATGAATAAATGCTGGAAAAGCACATAATCATTGTATGTGCCCTACATAAAATGCTGAAAAGAGGTCTTTCCACTTAAAACAACATGATGAAAAATATATGTAATCATATGAAAATACATAACTTTCTGAAAAACATATGCATATACAAAAAGTAAAATTCTGTGGCATTATTGTGATGGTGCAGAAAATACTTTTAGTTATTCTTTAAAATTTGAAAAATATAAGCATAAAAAACATAAAACATAAAAAGATATAATTAGCAACATCAATAAGAAGTATAGGGTAGATATAATGAGGACAAATTTTTCTATGCAACTGAAGTCATTTTTTTTTACCAGTTTAAAATATACTGTTGTAACATTTAAGATGTTTTACAGAATCTCCAATGTAGCACAAAGAAAAAATCTTTATAGACACACGAAAGCAAATGAGTCAATTACTAGCATGAGACAAAGATTGATATTATATAATGGTAAAATGAGTCCATTTACTAGGAATCTATAATTATTATGTCTATCTACATGTATATGCATATATAACATCAGGGCTTCAAAACATATAAAGCAAATATTGACAGAAATGAAGCAAGAAATAAAATAGCAACACAAAATTATAAACATTAAGACCTCCTTTTCAATAATAAATAAAAAATTTAAATAAAAGATCAATTAAAAAAACTGAAAACCTGAAGAATATTATATTGTGTATGAATTTATTTTGCATTGCTATAGAAAATAACCTCAGACTGGGTAATTCATAAAGAAAAAGATTTTTTGATTCACAGTTCAGTAGACTGCACAAGAAGTATATGCCAGCATCTGCTTCTGGTGAGGATATGAGGAAGCTTACAATTATAGTGGAAGGCAAAGAAGAACCAAACATGTCACATGGTGAAAGACGATGTGAGTGTGAGGTGGAGGAGCCAGGTTCCTTTAAGCAACCAGCTCTCATGTGAATTAATAGCGTGAGAACTCTATGATTGTGCCAAGTCATTCATGAGGGACTTGTCTCCATGATGCAAACAGCTCTCATTAGGCCCCACATCCAACAGTGGAGATTACATTTCAACATGCCATTTGGAGGGCATCTACACCATATCACAAACCAAATAGGCTAAACAGACATGTACAGAACTCTCCAGTCAAAAGCAAGTAGATACACAATATTCTTATTTGCACCTGGTGCATTCTGTTAGAACACATAAGTCTTGGTAAATTTCAAAAGATCAGCCAGGTGCAGTGGCTCACAGGTGTAATCCCAGCAGTTTGGGAGGCCAAGGTGGAAGAATCACTTGGGGCAAGAAGTTTGATACTAGCCTTGGGAACACAGTGAGACCCTGTCTCTACAAATAATTCAAAATTAGCTGAGCATTGTGGGGTATGCCTCCAATGCCAGCTGCTCAGTAGGCCAAGGTGAAAGGATTACTTGAGTTCAAGAGGTTGAGGCTGCAGTGAGCCAAGATTGTGCTACTGCACTACAGTCTGGGAAACAGAGTGAGAAACTCTGAGTCAAAAAAAAAATAAGAAGAGCAAAATCATACAGTATATGTTTTCTAACCCAAACTGAATAAAACTAAAAAGAAAAAAAGTAATACTGGCAAATCAAAAATACATGGAAATAAACACACTCTTCACTGTATTCTTGCACAGGGTCAAATAATTTAAATTAATTTAATATTTTTTCTCAAGGGCCAACATATTTAAGTGATGACTTAATTTGTTAAGACCCACAGTGGTGAACAAATTTAATATAATCTGTATCAAAATTCCAAAAGTATATTTATTCCTGAAATATTGTTTAAAATTTTTAAATTTTATTATGAACCAAATCTAGAGAAACACACATGAAAAACACAGAGGCACTATACTTCATAATTTCAAAACATAATAAAAAGCTGCAATAACAATAACTATGTGGTATTCACAAAAAGACAGATAAAGACATGATAGAACAAAATAGAAAGCCCAGCAATGAACTCTTCTGTGTATGACCAAATAATCTGCCTCAAGGTTGCCATGAGCAGACAATGGAGAAAATATAATCCCTTCAACAGATGATGTTGAAAACTGGACATCTACATTGAAAAAAATGAAGTTGAATGGTTTAATTGCATCACATACAAAAAATATTTTAAACAAAGTACTTAGACTAAGAAAAACCTAATGAAACTCTTAGAAAAAAAGTATAGTGCAAAGACATGACATTGGTCTTGGCACATTTTCTTAGATATGCCATCAAATGCATGCGCAACAAAGAGGAGAACAGAAAAATTTAATTGGGCTAAACTTCAAAATTTCTGCAATCAAATAAAACATTTAATAGAGTGACAGTGTCTCCCAAGAAATCGGTGACAATATTTGAAAATCACATGTGATAAGACTTAATATTGAGAATACATAAACTACTCCTAGAACTAGACAACAATAATTGAATTACTTGATTTAGAAATGGACAAATGAGCCAGGTGCGGTGGCTCACACGTGTGATCCCAGAACTTTGGGAGGCTGAGGTGGGCAGATCACCTGAGGTCAGGAATTCGAGACCAGCCTGACCAACATGGCGAAACCCATCCCTACTATAAATACAAAATTAGCTGGGTGTGGTGGCACATCCCTGATCCCAGCTACTCAGGGGGCTGAGGCAGGAGAAACATTTGAATCCAGGAGGCAGAGGTTGCTGTGAGCTGAAATCGTGCCATTGCTCTTGTTGCCTAGGAAACAAGAGTGAAACTCCGTCTCAAAAAAGAAAGAAATGGAAAAATGATTAAACTAAATTTTAATAAAAAAGATATACAAAGGGGAAGAAGCATTTGAAAGGTTGCACAAAATTAATAATTTATAGAAAAATGCAAAACATAATCACAAAACAAAATCACCTTACATCAATTAGGATGGCCACTATAAATTTTTTTAAAACACCAACTGTTGACGATGTAAAGAAATTGAAACCTATGTAAGTTGTTTTTTATGAGAAAAAAGATACAGCCATCATAAAAACATCATAAGCATTCTTTAAATAATCTAAAATGAAATTATTATATAATACAGCAATACCATTTATGAGTCTATATCTAAAATATGCAACACAGTAAAATGAAGGCATAAAAGGTACCCTGCTTGCATATCCCCCCACAGCAAGTGCAAGTGGGGGGATAACCAAGCCTCTAAATAAATAAATACATATAAAAAATTAAACAATTTGTAAAAAATTTGTAAAAACTTTAAAATATATTTCAAGGCTATAGTAATAAAAACAGAATGGCATGTGCAGAAAAATGGATGACCACCAATGAAAGAGAAACTACTATTCTCACACATCTTAGACATGATGCAAAAAAAAAATTTTAATGGTTTAGAGTTTTCCAAAAATATGCAGATATTAGTGTGTCCCCAAAAGCAATGGCAAAGCAGTCAGTTTGCGCAGTCCCTGATAACCTTTAAAGAAAACTTTGGCTCACACTGTGAACCTGAAGAAAGATTATTGAAGCAGAAGTGGAATCCTTAGAGACTTTAACAGCATGAGGCAGGAGGTGTCCCTATGTGAGAGCAAAAGGAAAAAATGACTTGAGCTTCTCAGAAACTCTTTTCATCAAAGGACAGCTCCCCAGACCACATTTTAAGGACTGGCTGCCTCCTTTATTTGTGTACCTCTCATCTGTCTCATCTGCTTCATTTGCTCTCACCTACCTGGGCGTTTGGCTACCATCTCATTTCTCTTTATATTCTGGGACTCTTTATTTTGCTCCAGACAGGTGATCAAGTCTGGCTTAGAGACAGCAATACCTGTTTTATTAAGAAAAAAAAGTAACATAGATCATGCTGAATTCTTTAATTACCAAATTAGTATTATGCTTAGAGGATATAATAGAAAATTCTAGAAAATTAATATTGATTCATAATAGAACTTTCTAAATATTCAGAAAATATTTTAAATTTGTAGGTCCTTAATTTCACTACTCAGTACTACTGAATCAAAAATTGGTGGCAGCAACTGAATTCTAATGTGTGGGCAACGATCTTTTATGCCATGGCATTTTTGGAATTCCCACTAACCTAGAGCAAAAGATACATAAGCTCAGGAAAGGCAAAAGTTCTGGTCAAGATAAAACATCTTGAAGAATTTGTTCTACAGCAATGAATCCCCAAGATTTTCTTAAAATTGGAGATCTAAAATTCATTCATGCAAAGCAGAAATTACCAAAAACATCTTAGAAAAGAGAAAAGCAATATATTAGGAATTATGTATTGAAGTTATCCTCACCCAGGGAGACCAAGTTTCTGTAGTTCTCTAACATCACATGTCTATATAAATTCCGCTGAGCACAATCCAGGCATTGCCATTCCTCCAGAGAGAATTCTATAGCTATGTCTCTGAATGTCAACAGTCCCTGGAAAACAAACAAACAAGCAAAACCACTCATGAACACACAAGCACTTACCACATGGCCATAGGCAGAGATTTTTATTTGACTCAAGTTAAAAAAGAGAGTAAAAAGAAGTGGTTCTCACTTACAAGAGTGACTAAAATTATTCAATAAGATAATTTTTAACACTGAAGTATTCTCTAACTCTGAGAAAAGAGGATAGCATAAGATCCACAATACCACTGTAGATTTGATACTTTTCTGGATGATACATTATAAAATTAAGGGCATCAACATGGACATGTCTTTTTCTTTTCTTCTTTTTTTTTGAGACCGAGTCTCACTCTGTTGCCCAAGCTGGAGTGCAGTGGTATGATCTTGGCTCAGTGCAACCTCCACCTCCCGGGTTCAATCGATTCTCCTGCCTCAGCCCCCTGAGTAGCTGGGACTACAGGCATGAGCCACCATGACTGGCTAATTTTTGTATTTTTAGTAGAGACGGGGTTTCTCCATGTGGACCTGGCAGGTCTTGCACTCCTCACCTCAGGTGATCCACCCACCTCAACCTCCCAAAGTGCTGGAATGGTAGGCATGAGCCACTGCACCTGGCCGGACATGTCCATTTTTGAGTGCTATATTTACATCATATAGAATAAGTTGTGTATATTTCTCAGATAGAAGAGTCATGATGAATTGGAAGATACCTCTCAAGTCTTAGTATGTGCAATAACTAAAGATCTTGTGAGATTTTGTTTCAGGAGATTTCGGAGGAAGTCTGAATTTCTGAATTTTTAGCAAGCTCACCAATGTTTCTAGCCTAGTAAGAATATTTTGTCAAATATCCAGTAAATGGCAGAGTTTGGGTTTTTCCCAGTTTCTCTCACCTGTAAATAAAGATAAGAGCCTTCATTTTTAAAAGACAAATATAAGCAAAAGTCATCTAAAAGGAAAGGACAGCTTCCAGATTAAATGCAACGGTTTATGCACTTCAGCTAGTAAATCTCCTAAGTGTCCTTAATAATTAAGAGAATAAGAATTAACTCTAGAGTGGAAAAAAATGTCATAGAGATCTTGAACCAAGTGAATAAAATTGTTATCAACTTTATTAGGACACATTTTTATTATGTGCTGATGCACACACAACACAGCATCACTGCTGTGGCATTTCTCTCCTCTCAGAAAAGTAAATTATAATCTACATTTAATTTTATTATATATATATATATATATATATTTTTTTTTTTTTTTTTTTTTTTTTTGAGACAGAGTCTCGCTGTGTCACCCAGGCTGGAGTGCAGTGGTGCCATCTCATCTCACTGCAACCTCAACTTCCTGAGTTCAAGCAATTCTCCTGCCTCAACCTCCCAAGTAGCTGGGATTACAGGTGCATGCACCATGCCTGGCTAATTTTTTTTTTTTTTAGTAGAGATGGTGTTCCACCATGTTGGTCAGGCTGGCCTTGAACTCCTGACCTCACGTGATCCGCCTGCCTCGGCCTCCCAATGTGCTGGCATTACAAGCCAAAGCCATTGCGCCTGGCCTAAATTTAATCATAAAGAAACATCAGTTTTATGCAAAGTTGAAGGTGCAGATAACTTCCCTGTTCTGCAATTTTTATTAGTAATTTTAAGGAGTCTTTCCTTAGCACCCTGGAAAGCAAGTATCTCCTAACAGTTTTTTCAGAACTTTCTGTATAATAAATGCCACCCTGTTTAAATGAGCATTTTCTAAACGCTGTTCTGCATGGAACTAATAGAGCACACAGATGAAACCTCAATATAACATGTTTCACTTTTCACTAATCTCCAAAGACAACGGTGTTTCCCCAATAGAAATCTTGAGTATCCACACCTTCTAATGTTCAACAGCTACAATGGGAACATTTTATATATCGTAGGTCATAAATTTGTGGTAAGAATTCTGCATGATATACAAGAATCCAAGATGAAGAGAAATGTATAGAATGCTATGGCATAGAGAAAACAAATATTTTTTTCAGAACCCCTTGACTATCATAAAAATCACAAAAAATAGTTGAAACAAACTCATTAGGGATCAACAGCACGAGTAGAGAAGTAAAACTTTGCAAGTTCTGAACACAAGGCATTCCAAAAGGCAGAGTGGACACTGCGCTTGATCTGAGACATGCTCACCTGAGAAAAAGTGATTTGTTTCTTTTCCTCCTCTTTCTCTGAAATGTATTTTCAGATAAGATGCTCTGGACATATCAAACCTGCATCTTGAGAATATGACTTTAAAGTGCAACCTATTCACCTGCTACCACCACACACACCCACGGGCGGAAGACCGAGACTTGCAGAAAACATTCACCCATTTTTGTTGTTTATAACTGAAAAGATTTAAGAGCAATGAGAGAACAATGAGCTTCTCCACAGCTATTAAAATATAAGTTTCTTTGTCTCTGCCCTCCCCTATCAGAAACCAGCAATTTTCTTTAGAGTAATGGGAACATGAACCGCACTGACCTCTTCCTACCAAACTGAAACAGGGCAGGCAGTGCAGCCTTCCTTTGAGGCAAAGGTTGAACTAAACTCTCCTGAATGTATCTTGAACCCCTCAAGTTTATAAATCACTTGGTAATCTTGGCCCCGCTCTATGCAACGTGATTCTGCAGGATCCAAAAGGGTCCAGGAATGGGCTTTTACAGCAAGTCCCCTGTAAATGCTGATTGTGCTTTCCCAGACACATTATTAGCATTAGCAAGAGAAAGCAGGCACAGCAGAGTCCCTTACACACACCACATTTGTCACAATACTAATACTTCTGCTACAAATAAAAACAACCAATTTCCACCCTGAAATGCTATATTTTTGTTGGCTTTTTTAAGTTTACAGGGACAACAGAAGACAGCAACGTCTGAGTGAATCTGCACCTGGGAAACCTGTACACATGTACTAATAAAACGTTTACTAAGCAGGTACTGTGTGCTCAGGAGCATGTCACAGAACACTGCGCTGGGAATAACACATTTTGTGATTTAATTTTCATAGCACCCTGGGAGTTGGTACTAAGTGCTGAATAATTTTTAGCATTTAGATTAAGAGCACAGCATTTTTATTTCTTCTTATCTTTCTCATTAATTTTAAAAAGAAAATGTATAGAATAATTCAATACAAAAAAAACATGTGAAAGGATGCATTTACATAAAAATGGAATAATCAGCTTCCAAATGGCTATTTTGGAAATAATGAAATTAAGGCAGAAATAAAATTTTTGAAACTAATTACAACCGAAATACAACATACCAGAATCTCAGGGTTAGAGCTAAGGCAGTGTTAAGAATAAAATGCATATCACTAAACATCCATATCAAAAAGTTAGAAAGATCTCAATTTAAAAATCTAATGTTACAATTAAAAGAATTTCAAAAGTAAGAGCAAACCAACTTCACAGCTCACAAAAGTCAAGAAATAACCAAAATCAGAGCCAAAATGAAGAAGTTTGAGACATAAATAACTATAAAAAGTTCAATGGGCCACGCATGTGCTGTGGCTCGCTCCTGTAATCCCAGCACTTTGGGAGGCCAGGGCGGGAAGATCACGAGTTCAGGAGTTTGAGACCAGCCTAGCCAACATGGTGAAAGCCCATCTCTACTAAAAACACAAAAATTAGCTGGCCGTGGTGGCACATGCCTGTAATCCCAGCTACTCGGGAGGCTGAGGCAGGAGAATTGCTTGAAACTGGAAGGCAGAGGTTGCAGTGAGCTGAGACCGCACCACTGCACTCCAGCCTGCGTGTAAGAGTGAAACTCTGTCTTAAAAAAAAAATTCAAAGGAACCAGAAGTTGATTCAATGTAAACATAATAAGATAGATAAAACACTAGACTGATGGGAAAAAAAGAAATAATTCAAATAAAAACAATTAGAATAAAAAGTAAAAACAAAAACAAAAACAGATGCTTGTGAGGTTGTGGAGAAATTGAATGCTTATATGCTGCTGGTGAAAGTATAAATTTATTTAACCATTGAGAAAAGCAGCTTGGCATTTTTTCAAAAACCTGAAAACAGAATTACCATTCCCAATCCCGCAATTGGGAACATACCCAGTGAATGTAAGTTTTTCTACCATGAACACACATGCACGCGTATGTTTATTACAGCACGATTCACAATAGCAAAAACAAGAAATAATCCTGTATGTCTTCAATGGTAGACTGGATAAGGAAAATGTGGTATGTAAACACCATGAAATAGGATGCAACTATAAGAAAGAACAACATCATGTACTTTGCAGCAACGTCGATGGAACTAGAGACCGTTATTTTTAGAAAACTAGTGCAGGAACAGAAAATAAAAAACTGTATGTTGTCACTTATAAGTGGGAGCAAAATAATGAGAACACGTGGACACAAATAAGAGAACAACAGACACTGAGGCTCAGTTCAGGGTAGAGGATCAGAGGATGAAGAAAATCAGAAAACAAATCTGTTGGGTACTATGCTTAGTACCTGAGTGATAAAATAATCTGTACACAAAAACTTCATGATATGATTTTACCTATACAACAAACCTGCACATGTACCCCTGAACCTAAAATAAAAGGTAAAAAAAAAAAAAAAAAATCGGCTGGGTGCGGTGGCTCACACCTGTAACCCCAGCCCATTGGGAGGCTGAGGCAGGCAGATCACCTGAGGCCAAAAGTTGGAGACCAACCTGGCCAACATGGTGAAATCCCGTCTCTACTACAAATACAAAAATTAGTTGGGCCTGGTGGCACACACCTGTAATTCCAGCCACTCGGGAGGCTAAGGCAGGACAATTACTTGAACCTGGGAGGCGGAGGTTGTAATGAGGTGAGATCGCACCACTGCACTCCAGCCTGGAGGACAGAGCGAGACTCCCTCTCAAAAAAAAAAAAAAAAAAAAAAAAAAAAGCATTTCTTGGAAATTACTATCTTGAAGAAAATATTCAAGCCTAGGCAACCACAGCCTGCCAATTAATCTCTGATGACATAACCAAGAAATTTTTACCTGGATCTCACAAATAAACTACATAACTGTACCAAACCAATTATTGAATCTGGTTTGCTTCGTCATGAAACTTATAACAGACTTTTCTTCAAGTCTCTCCCATGGATCACAACCCACAAACCATAGCTGGGCACTCTATGATTCTTGAATCACACTTTGATCAGATTCTCATTTTTAGAGTGACTCCCGTACATCTCTAAAAGGAAAAATGAGGAACTAAGGACCCCAGGACCACAGCTCTTTCCACTCATGAATCTTGCACCCTGAGTCAGGATTCTCCCCTGATGACTTTCCCATCCCTGTACAATCTGGGTGAGATGAGGCGCTGGGAGTGCAGAGCAAACCAGAGAGGCCTCCAGTCCAGGGTAAAGCCACTGCAGAGGAAAAAGACAGAAATCCCAGGGTCCCAGGCGCTGGCCCAGGCACCATCTTGCGGCTGGAGGGGACGAGAGCCGAGCTGGGCCAAAGACGATTTGGGTCGTCAGGCTCTGGAGCTGACTGCGAGAAAGTCTGGGACCTGCTACAGCCACTTTCTGCCGGTTCCAACCAGCCCCCACCCCTCTCTCACGATGACAGACCCAGCACTCACCATTTCCCGGCTTCCAGGGGGTCCCGGTCTTTTAGCCATAAATCTGCAGATACCTGCAGGACACAAGGACACATAGGCTTGGCCTCTAGGAGCAGAGGACACAGAGCAGTGAAGAGAAGAACTGCAGCTCTGGACGCAGAAAAACACAAAGGACCCGCAAAATTACGGAAGTAGCCTGTTCTTTCCAGCTGCATGCCTGATTGGACAGTTTCTAGACCACGGCTCCTGATTGGATAAGGTTTCAGGCCCCACCCTTCATGCCCTGAGTGAGGGAATATTTGATCAGACACTGGGCTGAGCGAAGCAAAAATAACAGCCTAGGCTGCAGCCTTCACAGGCAGGGCTTCTTCCTTGATCTGAGCCAGGCCAACTTCAGAGGATATTTGCATTTAACCTTGTGTATAATGTCATATGCATTTATAAATGATATATAATATTTATTCATAAATTGAAATAATGACAATTATTTTAAAATTTAGGATTTTATGCCCTTCCTTGCTGCGGATCCTTTGCAGTGATATGGTGTGACTTTCTGGCTCCACCCAAATCTAATCTCAAATTGTAATTCCCGTCCATGTGCGGTGGCTCACACCTATAATCCCAGCACTTTGGGAGGCCGAGGCGGGCAGGTCACTAGTTCAGGAGTTCGAGACAGGCCTGGCAAATACGGTGAAACCCCGTCAATACTAAAAATACAAAAATTAGCCAGGCGTGGCAGCGTGCCTGTTAGTCCCGGCTACTCGGGAGACTGAGGCAGGAGAATTGCTTGAACCCAGGGGGTGGAGGTTGCAGTGAGCCGAGATGGCGCCATTGCACTGCAGCCTGGGTGACACAGAGAGACTTCCTCTGAAAGAAAAAAAAAATTGTAATTCCCATTTGTCAGGGCAGGGACCGGGCAGGAGGTGATTGGATCATTGGTGTGGATTATCCTCATGCTGTTCTGGTAGTAGTAAGGGAGCTCTCAAGACACCTGATGGTTTAAAAATGTGGCACGTCCTCCCCGGTTCTCTCTCTTTTTCCACCATGTAAGATGTGCCTTGCTTTCCCTTCACCTTCTGTCATGGTCATGAATTTAAGTTTCCCAAGGATTCTGCAGCCATGTAGGGCTATGATTCAATTTACTTTAAAAAAAAAATTACGCGGTTTGAGCTATTTGTCTGTAGCAGTGTGAAAATGGACTAATACATGCGGACAGCCTGAGATTTCAGAAGGGAGGCAATCCTCTGCAGTAAAATATGAGCCACATGTAAATTTTTAATTTTCTAGTAGCCAAATGTTAAAAAAAAAAAAAAAAAAAGGTGGGGCCGGGCGCAGTGGCTCACGCCTGTAATCCCAGCACTTTGAGAGGCCGAGGTGGGGAACCACCTGAAGTCAGGAGTTCGAGACCAGCCTGGCTTACATGATGAAACCCCTGCTCTACCAAAAGTAGAAGAATTAGCTGGGCGTGGTGACAGGCATTTGTGATCCCAGCTACTAGGGAGGCTGAGACAGGAGAATCGCTTGAACCCAAGAGGCAGAGGTTGCAGTGAGCCGAGATCACACCACAGCACCCCAGCCTGGTGACAGAGAAACTCTGTCTCAAAATAAAAAAGAAAGAAACAGGTGGAATAACAGGTGGAATTGATTGCAACAACTTAATCAGCCCAATATATCCAAAATATTATTATTTTAATATGTGATTACTATGTAATGGTTAATAAAGCACATACATTTTTGAAGCTAAATCTCTGAATGTAATCTTGTATTTTACCTTTCTAGCACACTGAAGTTCACACTAGCCACATTCCAGCACCCTGTAGCTATGTCAGAGGCGTCTGAAGCAGAGAAACTGCATCTGGAATAGGTGCTGGGTAAAATGGGGCTGAGACCTACAGGACTGCATTTCCATGAGGCCCGGCTTTCTAAGTCACAGGATAAATAGAAGATTGGAACAAGATCCATTTTACAAAGACCTTGCTGATAAAACAGTTTGCAGTAAAGAAGCCACAAAAATCCACCGAAACCAAGGTGGGAATGAAAGGGACCTCTGGTTGTCCTCAGGAATCACTACACGCTAATTATAATGCATTAGCATGTGAAAGACATTCCCACCAGCGCCGTGACAGTTAACGAATGCCATGGCAACATCAGAAAGTTACCTTACATGGTCTAAAAAGAAGAGAAACACTCAGTTCTGGGAATTGCCCACGTCTTTCTTGTAAAACTCATGAATAATCCACCCCTTGGTTAGCATATACTCAAGAAGTAACTGTTAAGTATCCTTAGTTGAGCAGCCCACATTGCTGCTCTGCCTGGAGAGTAGCTATTCTTTTATTCCTCTACTTTCCCAATAAATTTGCTTTTGCTTTGTACTGCAGACTCACCCAAAACTCTTTCTTCTATCTTTTTTTTTTTTTTGTCTTTGAGACAGCATCCTGCTCTGTCACCCAGGCTGGAGTGCAGTGGCGCCATCTCGGCTCACTACAACATCTGCCTCCTGAGTTCAAGAGATTCTCCTGCCTCAGCCTCTGGAGTAGCTGGGATTACAGGCATGCGCCACCATGCCTGGCTAATTTTTTTATTTTTAGTAGAGATTGGGTTTCACCATGTTGCAAGGCTGGTCTCGAACTCCTGACCTCAAGTGATCCTCCCGCCTCTGCCTCCCAAATTGCCGGGATTACAGGCATAAGCCACTACCCCTGGTTCTAAATTATTTCTTGTACGAGATCCAAGAACCCAATCTTCATTTCTGAATTGGGGCCATTTCTGGAAGCTTCTTTTCAGTGAATTACAAAAGGATGATACTAAGGAAACCCGCAGCTCAAAGGAAATAGACTGAATTACCAATTGGCTAACTTTTTGTAAGTGGTGGCATACCCGGGTAAAGAATGGAATCGGGTTAGTAGCCCAATTTAGTGGAGTTAGAGTGTCTCCTAAGACAGATAAGATAAAAGGTCCCTTTTAATAAAAGGCAAGAACACTTGAAAAACTTGTGTTTGAGGTGCAACTTAGAAAGGTTAGAGTCTTTCCTAAGATTTAGGGGGTTAGAGGCCCCTCTCAGTAAAGTCCCTCTCAGTTAAGATTAGATTTGGCATTATGGAATATTAACCATTGCTGTCTTTGTGTTTGTTTGTTTTTTTGTTTGTTTTGAGACAGAGTCTCACTCTTGTCACTCAGGCTGGAGTGCAGTGGTGAGATCTTGGCTCACTGCAACCTCCACCTCCCAGGTTCAAGTGATTCTCCTTCCTCAGCCTCCCAAATAGCTGGGATTACAGGCGCCCACCACCACACCTGGCTAATTTTTGTATTTTTAGTAGAGACAGGGTTTCACCATGTTGGCCAGGCTGGTCTCGAACTCCTGACCTCAGCTGATCCACCTGCCTCAGCCTCCCAAAGTGCTGGGATTACAGGCATGAGCCACCGAACCAGGCCTTATCTTTGTATTAAGTTGCCTTGCACTTTTTGCTAATGGCTGTGGCTGACAGAATTAGGTGAGTACAGAATCATGGAACATGTGGAGATTTTTCCTCCCTAAAGTGGGAAACTTGAGAGCAGATGGGACTGCAAAAAAGATTCTTTCACAACCAACAAGCGGCCACCTAAACTTTTGATTCGGTGCAATGCTTGGGTCTTTCTCTGGCTTTCCTCAGCTCCTCACCTTTCCTGCCCTGCCATAGGCAATCTCTCTCTCTCTCTCTCTCTCTGTCTCTCTTTCCTTTCCTATCTTTTCTGTTACTCTAGGCCACCATCTTGCGCAGAGATCACATGTTGAAACTTCTGGTCAGAAGTCCCTGAAACAGGCCAGGCATGGTGACTCACGCCTGTAATCTCAGCACTTTGGGAGGCCGAGGTGGGCGGATCACCTGAGGTCATGAGTTGAAGACCAGCCTGGCCAACATGGCAAAACCTCGTCTCTACAAAAAATACAAAAATTAGCCAGGGTGGTGGCAGACACTTGCAGTTTCAGCTACTCAGTGGGCTGAGGCAGGGAGAATTGCTTGAACCTGGGAGGCAGAGGTTGCAGTGAGCTGAGTTCATGCTACTGCACTCCAGCCTGGGACACAGAGCAAGACTCAGTCTCAAAAAAAATACTCCCAAAGAAACAAAAAAGAAGTCCCTGAAACAAACAACAACAACAACAACAACAACAAAACAATGGATGAAGTTTCCCTCTTGTTTTATGTTCTTGGGAGCTTGACCTTGTAGCCATGTGGCAGTATTTTCTCTTGGTTTCTACCATCCAGCATACATAAATTTTGAAATTTATGTTATACTTAACTCTAAAAATGATCTTGAGCAGTTAAAAACCTTTGCAAGCTCAAAATTGGCTGCTGGAGGCTTCTTCTGGGAGACTCCAACGGAGACTGCTCAGTGCTGTAGCTCAGTAGTTGGGCTTTGCTGTCTCACAGTGGCAGCCTGGGTTCAGGGTTCAATTTCTAGCTTAGGAGATGAGTCCTTTCTGATTTGATATCTGTGTGAACATTTGTTGATTCTCTTCCCCTCCATGAAACATTTTGGATTTTCCTTTCTCTGAGCTACCTTTGAAGATTCTAGATTTTGTAAAAACTGCTTTGCCACCTTTTTGAAAATACCTTGTACACTTGTGGTTAGGTTCTTAACCTTAGTTAAAGCTTATTGGTTTCAGGAGGTGGAGGTTTCAGTGAGCCAAGTTTGGTCACTGCACTCCAGCCTGGGCGACAGTGGGAGACTCCATCACAAAACAAAACAAAACAAAACAAACAAAACAAAAAAAGGCTTATTTGTTTCACCTGTGACATTATGTTAGTAAAGTTCAAAAGCCAGAAATATTGGCAATTTGGCATGGCTAAAGTCAAGCAATGAGAGAATTAAATACATGTTTTCAGAAAGAGCATCATGGTTAAAAGCTGGCTTAATTATTATTATTATTTTATTTATTTATTTTGAGATGGAGTCTTGGTCTGTCACTCAGGCTGGAGTGCAATGGTGCAATCTTGGCTCACTGCAACCTCCACCTCCCGGGAATCAAGCAATTCCCCTGCCTCAGCCTCCTGAGTAGCAGGGATTACAGACACCCACCACCACACACGGCTAATTTTTGTACTTTTAGTAGAGACGGGGTTTCACCATGTTGGCCAGGCTGGTCTTGAATTCCTGACCTCAATTGATCTGCCTGCCTTGGTCTCACAAAGTGCTGGGATTACAGGCATGAGCCACAACACCTGGCCCAAAAGTCAGCTTAATTAATTGCAGATATTCAAGCTCCAACAGCTAGAAGTCCTTAGAAAAAACAGAGGAGGTGCCACAATAGGCATTTTGGGAGAAACATCTGTTTTCTTCATGAAACTCCAGGAATTGGAAGTGGATAGATCCCTCTCAAAGTCTAAGGCTCTGTTCCATTTTTGCTTTGCATTATCTGATGGTTTTTACTTTCTGGGGTATCAGAAATTACTTCACGTTACGAAAAAATTTAGATATGTAATAAGTAGGTAGGAAATATACATTCAGGGATGGCTAATGGCAGCTATGGGGGGATACTTGGCTTTTTGCATATTTGAATCAGAGAAGTGTGCTCTTGGCCACCTAGAAGGCATGGAAATGTCCCCGCCCCCCACTGACAGGTAAGATGCCAATGGGAGATGGGCTGATTCCCTCTTTTTGGGATCCAGGTTCTAGTATGAAAATAGGAGTCTTAATTTGCGGGGTGGGGGGGGGGGGCGCAAATCTGTTTTGCCTTCCAGCTGTGCCTACTTATTAAGCTGTTGAAATTGCTTAGTTTTTGCTTTCCTGGTCCTATTTATCCTATGGATCCATCTTAAAGCCAGGGTGGTAATCCAATTGAGAAACTGACAAATGAAAAATCTTACAGGTACTTGATCTTCTTCCAGCTGTGTATTTATATGTGTTGTGTGTGTAATATGAAGGAGATTTGATTAATTGGTTTAAAAATAATAAGAGCTCAAATCAAATATTTTATCAGAAAAATAGAAACCATGGTGTATTTTAGTTTACATCACTTTAGTAATCATTGGGAAATAAAAACAGTTTTACATGCTAGGTATGTAAAAAAAGTCAAATGTGTTTTCAGTAAAAGATTACAAGAAGTCATGGGAATGTAGATTACTTTTGTCCTAAATTAAAGGGTCAAAGGATTGTTTTAAATTAGATAAAACAGAGCTGAAGGATTAACCAAGTTGTGAAAAGTTCGTAAAAATTTACATCTGGTAAAAGAAATTCTGTGTGTTAACATATTGGCTAAAGTTAAAGGGGTATTCAGTTTTTTATAAATTGAACACTGGAATAAAAGTACAACTGGTTTTCTTTAGAGCACTACTCTGCTCTTTCACAAAAATTGTAAAGTATTATAAAAGGGTTATAGGAATCTTACCTTATTGTCAAACTGATTAAGACTAGATAGATTTGTCTATAAGGTTTTATTAAGAATTAGGTTTGACATCAATAGTACATTAATGCAAGGGTGAGATTTAGCTTTTCTTCATGAACAAGATTTTCATGTAATATTTTAAAAATGACATATTTTTGTCTGCCCTTTTGAATAAACTGGAGCAAAAGGAAAGGAAAAAAAGATTGTGTGGAAAGTGAAGTCTTCCCTCTATTAGTGAGTAAAGGTTTTTGTCTTTTTAAAATTTTTGAGTTATCATTTTGGTTAGTGAGTGACTTATGATAACCTGGGATTTGATATTTGACAAACCTTTAAAAAATCAAATTATAAATTATGTATTTTTCTTACCTAAATATCTTTTAGATATTAGGTCCTCTAAAATACAAAAATGACATTTGGCTTATTTCGTATAAAAATCAAACAGGAGGAAATGTCAGAAAGCATTGTCAGGCCGGGTGCAGTGGCTCACACCTGTAATCCGAGCACTTTGGGAGGTCAAGGAGGGTGGATCACCTGAGATCAGGAGTTAGAGACCAGCCTGGACAACATGGTGAAACCCTGTCTCTACTAAAAATACAAAAAAATTAGCCAGGCGTGGTGGCATGCACCTGTAATCCCAGCTACTCGGGAGGCTGAGGCAGGAGAATCACTTGAACCCAGGAGACGGAGGTTGCAGTAAGCAGAGATTGCAGCATTGCACTCCAGTCTGGGCAACAAGAGTGATACTCTATCTCAAAAAAAAAAAAAGGAAAGAAAGAAAATATTGTCAAATATGAAATGGTGTTTGGTTTTCCTTGGGCTGTATTTGTATAAATATGTTATTGGTATGTGATTCAAAAAAAGGGAAAATTCCCATAATTCCAATATAACTTAGTGTATGTTATTAATAGTAATAATTGTTATGTAAAATCATTGTATGCAACAGAAGTAACCAAAATCTGTCAATTGTAGCTTTAATAGTGGCTGTCCTAAGACTTCTTTGTCATCCACAGACAATTGTTGTCTTGTTTTAACGCTCTTTGAAAGGTGATTTATAATCAGGTTTAGGACGTTGACAGGTGCTCTTAAATGCAGGTTTCTGATAACTTTGGAAATTTTGGCAATAGAATAAAGAAAAAACTTTCAGAACTCTCATGGAGAGCTGAAATGTTCATCAATATCAAGCAGAACAGGAGATAACTGCGTGGAGTGAACTAATGTAAGACTAAAGTAATCTTTTTGACTTTGCTTAAAATATTGGTGATCCATTGTTTTGTTTTTCAGAGTCCTGGAAACTTTTATTTTGAGCTATTTACAGCTTTTAGCAATTGAGTAAAATATATTTCTGTAAACAAAATTTGGAGCACATTTGTTTCTATCTGTTTTCTCCAGAATTTGGAAACTATTTGTGAGTATTCTTAACTTATGGCAATATAATTTGTATAAGTGCAAAATAATGTTTTCTTCTGCAACAGGACACTGTTGGAGAAATTAGTTATTTTGCCAAGGCTTTGGCTGGAATGACGTGCTTTCCTTTAAGGAATCAAACTTGACTTATAGAGCCAATAAAAGCCCCTTGGGAAAACTGGCTTTATGCCTTGTCTACACAGTCCCTATACAGGGTTCCTAACCTGGGGTAAGTAAATAATGTCACTTTTTGACAGGTTCATGAGCCCCAAGTTATCCCGTGGTATCAAAAAAGAAATTTATGCAACTCATATTTGAGGGTATAGACTCATGGCTGGCTCAGCTTTAAAAAGTCTTATCTGAGATTCATTTTATGGAACAGTTTCATCAAATCCAATTTTTAAAACCTATGTAAAAATAATTATTCTTGCTGCACTTCGTACAAATAATCAGGCCAAGTATAATAAAGCAACTTGGTCATACCATGATTTGTCTTTAGTAAAATGGCAGACTGGGGAGAGTAAAAAATTATACTTTAAGAACTATGGTACATCTGTTATTAAATTCTAGATTTATCTGTTGTTGTTGAACTTTTTTTTGAAAGAAGTTGAACCTTTGAATAAGCCAATGACAAGTTCTAAAATTGAGGCAGTAATAAATAGCCTGCTAACCAGAAAAACCCAGGACCAGATGTTTTCACAGCCTAATTCTACCAGAGGTACAAAGAGGAGCTGGTACCATTTCTCTTCTGAAAGTATTCCAAACAATTGACAAAGAGGGACTCCTCCCTAACTCATTTAGTGAGGCCTGCATCATCCTGATACCAACACCTGACCCTGGTGGCGCTGGTGGTAGTGCAGCATGAGAGGGAGTGGGGATGGGGTTTATCCACGGGCCAGGGGTTAGAGGATTCCCTGGGCAGCACACTGCCTGGCTCCATTCTCTTCATTTTAGATATATTGGGAGGGTTTGACACACAGAGAAAGAGGAGACCCATCTCAATAAAGTGTGTGAATAGGGGACGGAAATCAAGGACCAATCTTTGGAGGAGGACTGCTTGTATCTAACTCTGAGAACAGACTGGGGCGGCATGGGATTGGAGGAGAGGAAGGAGCCTCTTAAGAGAAAGGCCCCAAGAGGCTGGGTCCCTGCTCCCTCCCTTCCCCACAAGGCCCCTTGAGCATCTTCCACCCAGGCCCTGTGAGTATCCTGTCCTTCCCTCTGTGTCTAGAAAATCAAAGTTCTCCAGGAGATGTAGCCACTCCAGGTGGCTGGAAAAAATGACTATTTTCAGCCCAAGGAGCAATTTTGGGTCTGCTTTCAGACAATGAAGTGGTTAAGTGAGAATGAGAGAAGAGGACCCAGTAAATTAGCAGAGGGGAGGAAAAGACTTTTTTGTGGCCAGCTACAGAGAGCCTGTGGCCATAGCTCCCTGGCCAGTGTCAGGTCCTGTTGCATAGTGACCCCTGGGGCACAAATATTCCAGCTGGGCAGGTACCGGGAGGGAGACCTGAGGTGTGACTCCTGGTAGCCTCACAGCTGCCTTAATGTCCTGCAGCTACAACCATTTCTGCCAGCGGCCGCCCCTATCCCAGCAGGCCAGCAGCTCATCCAGCACCTGTAGTGTCTGAGGCTCCACCAGAATGTGATTCAGGACATCAGCCCTGTACCATCCTTGACCTAGAGAGTGAGCCCCAGGGAACAACCTCGATGTGGGTGGCAACTTAGCTCCATGGTGTCTCTGTTACCAAAGACCAATTGCTCCTGCTGGTTGGGATTAGATCCCAGGACCTCTGCAGGTGATGTGGGTGAGCATGAGGCAGGCACCCCAATATTTGATGCTCTGGGGCTTAACACCTGCACAACAGGCAAATGGCACCCCCACTTGGCAGACACCCCAGTGAAGGTCAAAGCAGCCCTGAGTGGGGAAGACTCTGACCCAGAGCCTGGAGTCCCACCAGAGAATTCTCAAACCAGCGTCTAAAAACTCTTCCTCAAAATGGCTAGGGTTCAGTATTTGCAGCTTTGCCAACCCATGTCAATTGCAATGACTCAAATCTGCAGTTGCAGCGTGACAGCAGCCTCCCGCAGACAACCTGGGAATGAAGGTGCATGGCTGCAATCTCATAGAACTTTCCTTACAGGCACTGAAAACTCCAATTTCAAAACATCAAGTATGATTCTTCTTTTGGTTTGTTCGACCATTTGGAAATGTAAAATTCATCCTTGGCTCATGGGAGACAGGAAAGCAGGCAGGGACAGGCTGCACCTTGATGACCTCTGGCAGAAATGAAGCTCAGAGGAGGAGATGACAGGAGGGGGTGAGCCCAGCCCCCTCACAGCTGAGATTTACCCCAGGAGGGGTCCCTGCCAGCACCACCCTACTTATCCCTCATCTTGGCTTCAAGAGCAGTTCAGGTGAAGAGCAGGGGAACAGAAAAGACCTCAGCAACGAAAAGGAAGGAGATGCAGGGTTGGGCAGCCATGTGGATGGATGGCGCTCAACAGTGCATGCTACCACAGCCATTGTTTTTTATTTTTTATTTATTTTTTATTTTTTGAGACAGAGTCTTGCTCTGTCGCCCAGGCTGGAGTGCAGTGGGGTGATCTTGGCTCATTGCAACCTCCACCTGCCGGGCTCAAGCAATTCTCCTGCCTCAGCCTCCTGAGTAGCTGGGATTACAGGGGTGCACCACCATGCCTGGCTAATTTTGTAATTTTAGGAGAGACAGGGTTTCACCATATTGGCCAGACTGGTCTCAAGCTCCCGACCTCGTGCTCCGCCTGCTTTGGCCTCCCAAAGTGCTGGGTTTATAGGCATGAGCCACTGCACCCAGCCTAATTTTTATATTTTTAGTAGAGATGAGGTTTTGCCATGTTGGCCAGGCTGGTCTTGAACTCCCGACCACAGGTGATCCACTCGCCTTGGCCTCCCAAGTGCTAGGATTACAGGTGTGAGCCACTGCACCCGGCCAACAGCAGCCATTTACACCAAGTTGAGCAAGGCATGACCATCCCCAGGGGGACCATGGTGGGGGCTCTGTGGGATAGAGGACATGCTGTATTCTGCACTTATATGGACGCTCCACACAGCAGTCATTACAGAAAACACACCGGGTAAAAGGGCAGTATACAAATAGGACACCAGTACTGGCCAGTTGGGTCTCACTGGTCAGTGGGGTAACGAGGTCCAGGTGGGCCCACAAGGTGTGGCTGGTGGTCGGTTTCTGTCTGCAGGAAGCCTGGGACCCGTGTCTAACAGAGGAGGACCCAGGCTGGAGTGAGGAAGTCATCAGAGTCACCAGGTGAGGGGTCAGAGCTGGAAACAGAGCAGGCAGGGAGCCCTGGCCTCTCCCAGTGAGGGCTGAGAAGCTGGGGTGGGAACACAACCCATGGGCAGATGCACACAAGTGGTCCCTGGGCCCCTGCCGGTGCCCAGTGACTGCCCAGTTCCTAGGGAGCCACTGAGGCCTGAGACCCAGGGACACACCACCTGATCATCACCCCCAGGCCTTTCTGCCGAGACCAGACAATGCCCAGTGCAGGCAGGTGGTCTGGGATTGGAGTCTGGGGCAGGGGTGCATGTTCCTACCTGGCAGGTGCCCTGACCTAGACCTGCCTGAGCTGGCTGCACCATCACTTGTTATTCTGCCTATGTATGGCCTAGATTCAAAGGTCCAGCTGTCCATTCTGGCCACACCATTCCCTGGCTCCTCTGCCAGGCCCAATTGTGCCTGACCTACCTAAGCCAGCCCTACCTGCCCAGTGATCACAAGAATCCTGCCAGCCAGAAGGACTCACTTTTTTCCCCTGAAATATCCACAAGAGCCTGTCTTTTTTATTTATCTATTTATCGAGACGGAGTCTTGCTCTGTCACCCACGCTGGAGTGCAGTGGTATGATCTCGGAGGAGCCTGTCTTTTGCAGGGGCCACAGCTCAGGGCCAGCTTTCTGGAAGCCCCAGAGTCAGATGTACTCCTGTCCTGACTTCCAGCCTTCCAGTACTGGCTATCATGTCTTTTGGGGACCACTCAGCACTGGGAGCTGCCTGAGGCCCCCACATGGCAGAGAACATGCTGGTCATGACAGCCTCAGCCCAAGACCCTGGCCCAAGAGCAACAGCCAGTTGGTTCTAGTGTCTGGATGGTGACAACAGGTGAAGCCATCTGCACAAATACTGCCTTCAACCTGGTCCAGTGACAGACTAGGGGAGCCACAGAGCAGCCCCCAGGCCAGCCCTGCCCAGTGTTTCCATCAGTGTGGCATGAAAAAAGGACCCTGTACTCAGCCAAAAGCTGAGCCCTGACCTGCCCACCCACCCTGCCCACGAGGGACTCTGACTTCAGGCAGAGGCAGGCAGCAGAGCTGTCAACTTCTGTGATTCTATCCCAGGGCCCACAAGGTCCTCAGGAGACCCAAAAGGAGCTGAGCTGGGGGAGTCAGGGAGGGGCCTGCTGAGTGAAGGGCAGCGTGGGCCTGGGCGTGAGTCGGCACTAAGAGCACATGGCCTGGCTCCCACTGGAGAGGAGGCAGCAGGGGAGAGTCCTGCAGAGCCCTCACACACTCCACTCAGCTCCCAGGTACATGTAGTGCCCATAAGCCTCCCAGGAGACCCAGAAATGGTTCTTTCTTGGTCAAGAAAAGAGGCAACCCCACCCATACCCACACAGGCCCTGATGCCCACACACATCAGAGAACAAAGCTTTTGTGCCCAGGGTGGGGCAAAGGGGGAATATCCCCTCCTTCCCCCTGTGGATCCCATAACACTTGCTCCTCCTGGTGCTCCACCCCCACCCCACAGGGTGCTGACTGCAACCAAAGCGCCCCATGGAAAGAACAGCCCATGGATGGAGCCCAAGAGGCGCTATGTCCTGAACGGGCCGTGCTGGGTCTAAGGTGATATTTCCCAATCACAGAGTCTCTAACTTTGCCACCCACTGGCCCTGTGCTTCCGCTTCCCTTGGTGGCCCAGGGTAACAATCCCACTCTGAAGGCTGGAGGACCCACAGAGGCACCACCCCCAGTTAAATGGCTGCATTGTGAAAGGGGATGCACAAGAGACATTTCCTGCCTTGGGTCTCTTGCCTCAGGACTGATGTGCATCAGGCCACGGCCAGGCCAGCCTGCTGGAGAGGGCTGCGTTCCCTGTGCTCTGTGTGGGGAATGGTGTTCACAGTTCTGGGTCACTACCGTTGACTCCCCCAAGACACGGGGGCAGATGTGCTCCATTATATAAGCCTTGGGTCAATCCCAGAGAATGAGCATCAAATTCACTCCTGTCTGAAGCTGGCTGCCCCAAGGCATTTGGGTTTTGGGGTGAGATAAGGGTCTGGAGTCAGCATCAAAGTGTTCTGGTTTTGGAAACACATGAAGTTCTCTGCAGCTCTCTGAGGTACAGGAAATGGTGCTAGGTCTGTGCTTTAAAAAAGCCTAAGAGGAGGGGGTGCCTGGAAGGAATCCTGAAGCCAAGGGTAAGGGTTTCCACCTTTCCTACCTCCCCACCAGAGACATTCCACAAAGTCTCATGACAAACTCAGAATAGGAAAAAAAAAAAAAAAAAAAAAAAAAAAAAAAAAAAGGAGGCGGGGTGAAGGAAAGTGGAGGGGAGGGAGGGGGTAATAAGAGATTACAGGGGATCATCTGGCCCAATCCTGAAACACCCCTGCCATATGATGCCCTATCAGTCCTCTCAGACAGCTGAGGAATCTGAGGTCTGGAGGAGGCGCCTAGAGCCTCGACAGGCAGCTGGCAGCCTGGAGCCCCTGAGGTCCAGGCAGATTCCGCCACAAGCCTGAGCCAGAGGCAGCGGGACCCCAGTTCATTCACTTGGAAATCACTCAAGTTGACTGGGCCACTGCCCCTCCCCAGACCCTCCCCTTTCCCTTGTCAGGCAACAGCCTTCCTGCAAAGCTGCCAGGCTAGGGATGAGGATGCCTCGGTCCCCCTAGGAATTGGCTGTCCCCAGGGTGCAGGTGCCCGGCAGCTGCCCACCAGGCCACTTCTCTCTGCTTACTGCCTGGAGCCTGGAGCGCATGTGAGGAGCAGGTGGCTCACGGAGCGCTTAGCCCGGCCGCGTACTGTAGGCACTGCATTATGGGTACCATGGTACCCCTGCAGGTTAGGGTTGGCATACCCTTCCCCGGCTGACCCCACAAACCCTTCTCGAAGACCCACCACATTCCACCTGACCTTGACAGCCAGGGGCCCCACAGCCCTGGGACATTGGCCCGCTACCCTCCTCCTTGCGTTCAGCACCCCTGGGGGGGAGACCCATTAGCTCGCCAGGTAGGAAAGCAGGGTGGGGGCAGTGGTGACACTAGAGGGTGTCACCTTGTTGTGCCGAGCACTGGCGGGGGCTGGACATGAGCTCACACACTCACACTCACCCTCCAAAGTCCAACCTCTTGCTTTGGCCAAAGCTGGCCAGAAACTAGGGCCTGGGGACAGAGGAGATAGACGTCTCCGTGCCGGCTTCCTGCAGTGTCCCCACGGTTGGGTGTCGGTTCTGCCCCTGCAGGTGCCACATCAACTGCTGCACCCAGGTGGCTCCAGCCGCCATCTTCAGGAAGCGGGGGCAGCAAAACCGGGCACTGGCCCCACAGTGCCACTCACACCTGGCAACCACTTTCCACCCAGGCGCCCGTTCCGCCTCCTCAAAGCCTCAACCCGCTGAACCCAGGCCTTTGCCTTGTGCTGGCTGAGTCTTTCTTCACCTGCTGCTCTCCAGGAGCTTTGAGGAGGCGCTGGCCACAGGGGTCACAGCCAGGCAGAGCACAATGGTGCAGGCTGAGACGCCCAAGGCGGAGAGGGGATCTTAGCATCTTTAACTGGTGCCCTCCACTACCGGAAGGCATGCTGCCCCCCAGGCCCGTCTATGGCACCCGCAGAAGGAGGGTTATGAGAAGCAGGCTGCTCATTATAACTCCAGTTCTGGGCCCCTTAGACGTGGGATAGAGGGGGACAGGCAGAGCTGGGATGTGACTGTAATGGAGATGGGTCTGTCGAGGGCTGGCTGGGAGCTCCAGCCTCCTCTCTCCTTGGCAGGGGGCCTGAGGCCCATCCGCAGCTCTCTTTGACTCCTTTTATTCTGCAGAACACCCAGACCCCAGCCTTCTCATGGGAATCATAAGACGCATGAGGCCCAGGGTTCTTTCTGCCTCTTCCCAACCATGGTCTTTGTATTTCCCCCAAGGAGTGTCTAACTCCTTGAACAGAATTGCGGCCCAGAGATCTGTATGCTGTAGTCATTGAAATATGCCAAGGTTCTAGAAAAGCAACCACACAAAATGAAGTGCTTAATATTTCTATGTTAAATGAATGAATCCCAACCAGAACCTTCTTAGATATCTGAATGGGCACAGGACCCCTTTTCCAGCACTCAGGGACCCTGATCTGTCTCTATAACTGATGGCGACTAGCTGGAAAAAAGACCGTCACACTTTCTTTAAAATGGAAAACAGATTATTAATTTGTCTTGATGAATAAAACAGATTTGCTTTCTATGCGCTATTTTAAATACAGTGTAAAAAACGTGGCAAAGCCTTTATTGTTCACACTTTACTCAACATCAGATAATTCATGCTAGAGAAACACTATACACGTAATGGATGTAGAAGGAGTTTGATTTAAAATATAAACCTTAGAAATAACCAGAATTCATACGGAATTCTTCCATAGGGAAACTTTTCAGATGCAATAAATGTGAGGAAGTATTCAAAAATCAAGTCTAAATAAACATCGGAGAATTTCCACGAGAAAGTACAAAGGCACTACAATTTTAAAACTTTACATTAAACAAGAATATCTAATATAGAGACTAATCTAAAGTCAAAACAATTAGATAATTTATTTGTATGTTTCAATGAAGCAACGGCTTTGTATTTGAACAGGTATAATTATATATCAATGGATACTCGTTTTGTATTGTCATTATTTGCTTTTTTTTTTTTTAGAAACAACTATTATTGATGTAATTCAACTTTCCATTCAGTTGACCCTGTCCCTACATTCCTAGTGTTTATATGAAAACATGTGACCTACTGTTGCTGCATCAGAGCTGGGAGAGGCCATTCTACATGAATTTCTCCATGGAACCTTCATGGCAAACGTAAAATTAAGAAATAAAAACAAAAATAAAACTGCCAGGCACTGTGGCTCATGCCTGTAATCCCAGAACTTTGGAAGGCCGAGTCAGGTGGATCACCTGAGGCCAGGAGTTCAAGATTAGCCTGGCCAACATAGTGAAACCTCATCTCTACTAAAAATACAAAAAATTAGCCAGACGTGGTGGCAGGCACCTGTAATCCCAGCTACTTGGGAGGCTGAGTCAGGAGAATCGCTTGAACCCAGGAGGCAGAAGTTTCAGTGAGCAGAGATTGCATCATTGTACTCCAGCCTGGGCAACAGGAGTGAAACTCTGTCTCAAAAAAAAAAAAAAGAAAGAAAAAACAAATTTAAGGAGAGATCCTCTTTGTGGTTTACTTAAAGTCTGCATGAGGGAGGTGTTCTGGAAGTTATTCTTCTCTATTAAAGCAAGAGTGAAAAATCCTGAATTTCTGAAATAAATAATTTTACCAATCATCTCTCCTTGAAGGATAAAAAAGCTGGCCAGTCTATTAAAATACCAGTGTATTATAGTAAAAGTTTAAAGTCTTGAATATCATTCAGTGTGATAATTTTTTAAAAAATTACAGATACCAGAGAAAAGTAAAGATAACACCTCCATGAGAGGATTTTAATGTGTTTTAAATCAATGTTTCCTAAATAATTAACCTTAGTCTTTAAAAATGGAGAAAGGAAGTATCTAAGATAATTACATCAGAGAAAAAATAATGCTTATTCAGTGTTTGTGACTGTATTTTCACCAAGAAGAATATAGTGGATTTTGGAATGCCTTACTTAGACTATGTGTGAACTTAGTTTTAATTAATAAACTAAATGGTTTTCAATGTTTTGACACTGATGTGCAATAAATGAAATGGTATCCTGCCACCAATGTTAAACTATTTTCTTTAATCAAGATAACAATATACTATTGAGTAACACAGTGAAATGACTTATTTAGTAATCATTTGTTCAGAGAACTTAAAACAAATAATTTGGTGACTATTGTTGTCAAAAGTTTTATTTCATTTTTTTTAACCTTTTGGTAACTACAGGAAGATTATGCCAGTTATGATAAAGATCATATAGGAATGTGGTTGGCCAGGTGCAGTGGCTCACACCTGTAATCCCAGCACTTTGGGAGGCCGAAGCAGGTGGATCAAGAGGTCAGGAGTTCGAGACCTGCCTGGCCAATATGGTGAAACCCTGTCTGTACTAAAAATACAAAAATTAGCCAGGCATGGTGGTGCACACCTGTAGTCCCAGCTACTTGGGATGCCGAGGCAGAAGAATCACTTCAACCCGGGAGACGGAGGTTATAGTGAGCCAAGATAATGCCACTGCACTCCAGCCTGGGTGACAAAGTGAGACTCTGTCTCAAAAACAAACAAACAAACAAACAAACAAACAAAAAAAGATATAGGAATGTGATTGGAAGCCATAATTTCTGAATTTTAAATTATTATTTATAAAAATTTACTGAATGTTGGCTGGGCTCAGTGGCTCATGCCTGTAATCCCAGCACTTTGGGAGGCCGAGGTGGGTGGATCACGAGGTCAGGAGCTCAAGACCATCCTGGCCAAGATGGTGAAACCCTGTCTCTACTAAAGATAAAAAATATTAGCTGGGCGTGGTGGTGTGCCTGTAATCCCAGCTGCTTGGGTGGCTGAGGAAGGAGAATCACTTAAACCCACGCAGCAGAGTTTGCAGTGAGCCGAGATCACACCACTGCACTCCAGCCTGGGTGAGAGAGCACGACTCTGTCTCCAAAAAAAAAAAAAATTATCATCAAAAAGTGGGCAAAGGATATGAACAGACACTTCTTGAAAGAAGTCATATATGCAGCCAACAAATATGAAAAATTTCTCATCATTACTGGCCATTAGATAAATGCAATCAAAACCACAATCAGATACCATCTCATGCCAGTTAGACTGGTGATCATTAAAAAGTGAGGAAACAGCAGATGCTGGAGAGGACGTGGAGAAATAGGAATGCTTTTACACTGTTGGTGGGAGTGTAAATTAGTTCAACCATTGTGGAAGACAATGTGGCAATTCCTCAAGGATCTAGAACTAGAAATACCATTTGACCCAGCAATCCCATTACTGGGTGTATACCCAAAGGATTATAAATCATTCTACTATAAAGACACATGCACATGTATGTTTATTGAGGCACTGTTCACAATAGCAAAGACTTGGAACCAACCCAAATGCCCATCAATGATAGACTGGATGAAGAAAATGTGGCATATATACACAATGGAATACTATGCAGCCATAAAAAAGAATGAGTTCATGTCCTTTGCAGGGACGTGGATGAAGTTGGAAACCGTCATTCTCAGTAAACTAACACAAGAACAGAAAACGAAACATTGCATGTTCTCACTCATAAGTGGGAGCTGAACAATAAGAACACATGGACATAGGGAGGGGAACATCACACACTGGGGCCTGTCAGGCGGGTGGGGGGGCTAGGGGAGGGATAGCATTAGGAGGAATACCTAATGTAGATGACGGGTTGATGGGTGCAGCAAACCACCATGGCACGGGTATACCTATGCAACAAACCTGCACGTTCTTCATCCATGTCCCTGCAAAGAACATGAACTCATCCTTTTTTATGGCTGCATGGTATTTCATGGTGTGTATGTGCCACATTTTCTTTATCCAGTCTATCATTGATGGACATTTGGGTTGGCTACCATTCAGGACATAGGCATTGGCAAAGCCTTCATGTCTAAAACACCAAAAGCAATGGCAACAAAAGCCAAAATTGACAAACAGGATCCAATTATAGGTTTTAAATACCACATTCTGATCACTTAATTGAGGTGAGAGAAAAATAATGCAATAGTCCAGAGCATCAGATCAGGCAGTCAGCACTGTGGCAGATGTGGAGACAGATTAAACATGATGATGGTGTCCTTCTTAGAGAGGTAAATGAGGCCTATTCCAAATATATGTGTGTGTACATATATATATATATATATATATATATTTATATATATATATTTATATATATATATTTATATATATATATTTATATATATATTTATATATGTATTAATATATATATTTATATATATATTTATATATGTATTTATATATATATTTATATATATTTATATATATATTTATATATGTATTTATATATATATTTATATATATTTATATATATATTTATATATATATTTATATATATATATTTATATATACACACACACACACACACACACACACATATAGCAGACGCATTTGAAATTTGGGGTAGAAATTGAAGTGAGCTCTCTGTAATCACTCTGAGGTCTTAGGATAGCTAGCTACAAGTGGTGTCATCACGTGAACAAATGTGACAGAGATGAGATGGGGACTTGGGAAATATAAGTTTCTTTTTCTTTTCTTTTCTTTCTTTCTTTCTTTTTTTTTTTTTTTTTGAGACAGGGTCTCGCTCTGTCACCCAGGCTGGAGTGCAGTGGTGTGATCGCAGCTCACTGCAATCTCTGCCTCCCGGGTTCAAGCGATTCTCCTGCCTCAGCCTCCTGAGTAGCTGGGATTACAGGTGTGCACCACCACGCCAGACTAATATTTGTATTTTCAGTAGAGACGGGGTTTCACCATGTTGGCCAGGCTGGTCTCAAACTCCTGACCTCAAGTTATCCACCCACCTCGGCCTCCCAAAGTGCTGGGATTATAGGTTTGAGCCACCGACCCGGCCTAAATTGAGACAGCTTTAGAATGTTAAGCAGTGATAGAGTTTGGATGAGTTTCCCCGCCCAAATCTCACATCGAAATGTAATCCCCAATGTTGGTGGTGGAGCCTGGGGGGAGGTGATCGGATCGTGGGTGCGGATTTCTTCTGAATAGTTTAGCACCATCCCTCCTGGTACTGTCCTCCCAATAGTGAGTGAGTTCTCAGGAGATCTTGTCATTTAAAAGTGTATAGCACCCCCGTTGCCTGCTTTACAAGCTCCTGCTTCCCCTTCCACCATGATTTTAAGCTTCCTGAGGCCTCCCCAGAGGTAGATGCTGGTGTTTTGCTTTCTGTACAGCCTGTAGAACCGTGAGCCAATTAAACATCTTTTCTAATCAATTACCGAGTTTGAGGTGTTTCTTCATAGCAATTCAGGAACGGATTAATAGAGTTTATTTGCACAAACAGCAATTTATGAATCAGAGAGCACCAAGTTATGGTTTCTTTGGAGGCTCCAAGGAGGGTCTTGTAAAAAAGGTTTTTGTAAAGGGCATCAGAAAGAAAACCAAATTCAATATCTGATTGGTTACAGTTATATATTGCATTTGCACCCATCAGGTGGAAATGTCTTGGTCGTGTAATGAGAGCTTTATTGGCAGCTTGTGGTTGGTTAAGCCTAATTTTATTTTCTCAAAGTTAGTAATTTACAATAAATTCCTTTGATGTAGTTAGGTTTCCTTAGGAAGAATCCCAGGGCAGCATGGCCACTTCAGTGTAAGTGCCAGCTATTGAATTATTTTAACCCTCCACAGAGGGCCTGGTTTTCCTCGCATTTTTCAAATGTATGGCAAGCAGGGTCTCAAATCCATGACTGTTCTCCCAGCCTAACTGTTCTAGGCCCTGTGGAAAATTCTAACTTTCCAATTCCTTTCCCACATTCCCAAATGCCAACCGTTCTTCTCCAAATCACAACATTATCAACTATTAGTCTTTTATTTAGTTTTAAAACAGACACAGCATTTTAATTGTTTATTTTTGTTTCACGGCGTGGTGGATGGCTCTTCTAAAAATATGTGTCTGTTTGTGAACATTTCACATGACAGGGAAGCAAAGGGTAATCACCTGACACTCTGCTGTGACAAGTCTTCGCGCGTCTAATTTTCCCTAGGCACACACACCTTACCAGAATATCTCTGGGTGAAGGTTTCTTTTTGGAACCTTTGCAGGGTGATGTGTCCTCAGCCACTGTCCTGTTTTTTCCTGGTTCTGAATACTACAACCGTCTGGGGATGACCCAAGATACCCACAAGAGCCATGTCTCTTGGAGTGTCTAGTAAATATCAGTCCTTCTGTCAGCTTCCAGAGGAGAGTCTGAGATATTGGGTGGAGCCTCTCAGAGAAGCAGCTGGATGTCCTCATGCTGAGAGCAGTTTCCTGATATACCATTCCTCTAAAAAGCTAACTGCTTAAACATTAAAAAAATTTTTCCCTCAGACCCAGCTTTTATTCCTCGCAGACATATTGGTGGTCAGCCAATCAGGTGCTGGTATTGAGGGGAAAAGGCGCAAATGCATCTTTCCCTCTTGTTTCTCTCACGCTTGTGAAAGGAGAATATCCCTAAGTAGAAGTAAAACCCACCCTATTGAGGTAGTGTATGAACTTGCAAAGCCAAATACACATCAGACACACAGGGAGCAAGTGCATTGTCTTCTGAGAAGGTGGTGATCAAGTTCTTTAGTGAGCAGGATGTGGGGAGGAGATTCTCTCAAGTGATTGATACATGAATCCAATATGTCTGTGTTCCAGTGTGGTGATTCCTCAAGGACCTAGAACTAGAAATCCCATTTGACCCAACAATCCCATTACTGGATATACACCCAAAGGATTATAAATCATGCTACTCTAAAGACACATGCACACGTATGTTTATTGTGGCACTATTCACAATAGCAAAGACTTGAAACCAGACCAAATGTCCATCAATGATAGACTGGATAAAGAAAATGTGGCACATATACACCATGGAGTACTAGGCAGCCATAAAAAAGGGTGAGTTCATGTCCTTTGCAGGGACATGGATGAAGCTGGAAACCATCATTCTCAGCAAACTATCACAAGGACAGAAAACCAAACACCACATGTTCTCACTTACACGTGGGAGTTGAACAATGAGAACACTGGGACACAGGGCAGGGAATATCACACACTGGGGCCTGTCAGGGGGTGGGGGGCTGGGGGAGGGATAGCATTAGGAGAAATACCTAATGTAAATGATGTGTCGATGGGTGCAGCAAACCAACATGGCACATATATACCTATGTAACAAACCTTCATGTTGTGCACATGTACCCTAGAACTTAAAGTATAATAATGAAAAAAAAAATGTCTGTGTTCCAGTCAGCACCGCCTCTCCAGGTGTTCATCACCTTGAATATATTTGTTCAGTTATTTCAACTTCCGCCTTTCATTAACCATATACTGTATTTCATCATTAGAGCTTGAAAGATAAAAAAACACAAATGTTTTCTAAGAGAAAAACAGGTAGATTTGAGAGAAAAAAATCATATTCCATTGGTTAAAAATTCTCAGGTACTGCTTTTATTTTGCAGAGTGAGCGTAGTAAGATTCTGAGTTCTGTTCTGTTTTAGCATGATTTCAGACAGAGTCGCAGGACTTGGTTTTGGGAATGCTACCTTGGAAAAGAAATAGAGAAAATGTCTCTCTCTTTATGCCTGCATAAAAATAAATACATTTCTACAAGAAACTTACAGATTAACACATGAATTACAAACATTCATGAAAACGCCAGTTACACTCTTGTGCAGGGTGGAGAACTTGTGACAGTTGGTAACTCATTTTTTTCTAGATGAATTTCTACTTCATAGGGAATATTTTTATATATATGATAAAGAAGTATTTGCCACTATGCATACACCTCTTTGCTCAGCTAGCATATAACCTAAAGCAATATGATTGTCTAGTACAAGCTTAGCCAGTGAATCAGTAGCATTTTTGTTGAGCTACAATGAATACAACAGTTGCATCTGTAATTTTTTCCAAGGTTATAAAAATATTTTAAGTCATGTGTTCATGGGAACAACTCACCAAGGCAAAAGCATTTTTCCAGTAAAATGCATAAAGCTGTTTTCCTGAAAGCCAGGCAGATAATTAGCAGATTTCCTCCAAATGGAGTCTTCATCTAAAACAGATTGGTGGCCAAGCTTGGGGAAAAGTTTGAGAGAATTTGTCCAGTGCTGGGTTTCTTCGGAGCTGTGTATAAATAGAGGGGTGACCAAATATCCTAAAAGACATTGCCCTTCAACTTAGCAGCACAGGTAGTGGCCAAGAAAACCTAATATGGTTCCTTCCAACAGGTTTGCAGGGTATCTGTTTCTTCATAGAAATCTGGTTTAAAAGAAAAACTCAAATTTTATGATTGTATTTTTGTATGATTAGTATTAAAACTAATTTTAAGAAAAACCTTATAAATAGGTGTATCTAATCTCAATCAACTTTGACAATATAAGACTTCTATAAACCTTTTATAACTCTTTTAACTCTTTTCTCTTTTTTTATTCTCTTTCTCCAACTTTTTATATCCATTTAGTTTATCTCTCTTTTTTATTTTTTGAGACAGAGTCTCACTCTGTCATCCAGAATGGAGTGCAGTGCACCATCTCAGCTCACTGCAACCTCTGCTTCCCGGATTCAAGCGATTCTTCTGCTTCAGCCCCCTGAGTATTTGGGACTACAGGCGTGTGCCACCACGCCCGGCTAATTTTTTTTTTTTTTTTTTTTTTAGTAGAAAAGGGGTTTCACCATAGTGGCCAGGCTGGTCTCAAACTCCTGGCCTCATGATCCACCTGCCTCTGCCTCCAAAAATGCTAGGATTACAGGCATGAGCCACTGTGCCCTGTCGAGTTTATCTCATTTTCTTTGGCTTTTATTCTTTCAATTTTATGCAACCTTTAAATAAACTCTAAACTCACCAAAATTGCCTTTTAAGAAAAAATCACATCCTCATGTCTCCTTTTTAAAATAAATTTTTTCACCAAGAAACACATCTTATTTTCTTTGTACACTCTATGTAGAATTGTTTCTCTTCTTAACAATAGTTTTAGTTATATCTTAACCAGAATTTTAATTCTTAGTAATTTTAACTCATAGTGAAATTCTAAGAAGTAAGCAATTTTAACTATTAGTCATATACTAACAATTTATGAGTACATATTTTATGATTTTTTAGAAACGTAGGATTTTAAATGGAAACATCTTTTTTTTTTTTTTTGAGATGGAGTCTTGCTCTGTTGCCCAGGCTCGAGTGCAGTGGTGCAATCTCGGCTCACTGCAACCTCCACCTCTTGGGCTGAAGTGATTCTCCTACCTCAGCCTCCCGAGTAGCTGGGATCACAGACGAGTGCCACCATGCCCAACTAATTTTTCGTATTTTTAGTAGAGATGGGGTTTCACCATGTTTGCCAGGCTGGTTTTGAACTCCTGACCTTAAGTGATCTGCCTGCTTTGGCCTCTCAAAGTGCTGGGATTATAGCCGTGAGCCACTGCGCCCAGCAGGAAACATCTTTTAACGTGGAACAGGATGTATTTACTTACAGATCTAAATATCTTTTGTTTTTGTGAAATAAACCTTTAAGAAAACTTTATAAATAGGTGTATCTAATCTCAATCAACTTTGACCATACAAGATAAGATTTCTATAAACCTTTTATAACTCTTTTTCTCTTCTCTTTCTCCAAATTTTTATATCCACTTAGTTTATCTCTCTTTTTTATTTTATTTTTTTTATTTTTAGAGACAGACTCTCACTCTGTCGCCCAGAATGGAGTGCAGTGCGCCATCTCGGCTCACTGCAACCTCCGTCTCCCGGATTATATATATAAATTTGAGATGGAGTCTCACTCTGACACCCAGGATGGAGTGCAGTGGCACTATCTCTGCTCACTGCAACCTCCACCTCCCGGGTTCAAGCGACTTGCCTGCCTCAGCCTCCTGAGCAGCTGGGATTACAGGTTCCCACCACCACACCTGGGCAATTTTTGTATTTTCAGTAGAGACGGGGTTTCACGATGTTGGCTAGGCTGCTCTCGAACTCCTGACCTCAGGTGATCCACCCACCTCGGCCTCATTTAAGTTAATTTGATATCATGTAGATAATATACAAACACGTAGATAGACATATACATACATGTAGACACAAAATATAGCTTACACATGTATGTATCTAAAAGCCCTAGAGATGCAGGAGTTCATTGTAAAAGAGTAGAGCTTCAGACCTGAGAGCAACCTGTCCACCCACAACTCTTGGGGCTCCATGAGGAAAAATAGAGGTACCCTGCCAAAGACGGAGAAGCCTGTGGTGCTTTATCTGTGTTCTTCAAGGGGTCCAAGGCTGCTAGAAGTTTCCTTTAGGTTCTCTCACATGGTACCAAAAGGTCGCAAAAGGAAGATGAGATAGATAGAAGTAAACAGAAGAGTTAATTCTAGAAAAGGCCGTTTGAGAAGATTTAGGTTTCCAAAAAGCCAGTAAAGTTTTACATTATCCTTGGCAAAAATCATGTGAGCAAGAGAAGAGACAGAGGGAGCACACATAGTTAGCATGAGTTTAGGGAAAGAGGAATTGAGTTGACTGAGAAGCTTATATAAAAAAACCCACAGGCCTCAAATTAATATATACATAAATAGCCTGAATATCAGTTATAAGTGGACTTTTGACTGTAGAGCTCTTAAATTTTTTAAAATTAAATTTTAGCCAAGTAAATAGCAAACATTACTTGTTTTTTTCTTTCTAAAGTTTACATCAAGATGAAATTTTGGAGGTGGGACATTTCTGTTTACTGGAGGTCTAGGGTAATTACTATTTAAAGCTGTTTGTCTTCGGAAATTTTTAGTAAATGTTTTCTATCTTCCAAACCACAGTATATGGTTTTATTTATGTCAGGAGAGAAGGTTAAATGAAAAAAACAAAACAAAACATTTCTGTCACACTCTAAATATGAACCAAAATTTTAAATTAAAGGCGTACCTGAACTAGTGACTCAAAACCAACACAAATAAACATGTGTGAGACCAAATCCAAGAAGTCATGCATGGCTTTAACTAAAGCTCCAAAGAGAGCACAAAAAGCGTAGCTTTTCCATGATTAAAACACCTATTAAAAACAGCTTCCTGCAAATGGGGTGCAATCTACATTTTCAGGCCACATATTCTAGTGTCTCAACTTCTCAGTTTACCATCAACCCACAAAGGCCAGTCAGAAGATGGAAAGCAATGGTCGGTAAAACAGAAGAACAAAAAATTTCCATGGGGTAGAAAAGGTTCCAAATGTGTACTCCAAAAGTCCGAGAGTCATACAAATGATAGAAAACAAATAAATTCATCATTATAAATGTTTCTTGCCTAAGCTAGAGGTACTAACCGAGAAATAAAATTTTGAGGGTGAGTCTAAAAACCTTCAATTTTTTTTTCAATTTGATTTCAGCTGCAATGCTGTTTTGCTAATTACCTGGATGTTAACATTTCAAATACGTGGTAAGGTTTACATCTTTGAGGGACTGAGAAAGGCCTGGGAAAGGTTAAAGTATGTGTTGTAAATCCTGCAGCAAAGTCAAGCAGGCAATTTGAGCATGTAAAGGGTTTTCTTGAGGCAGTGAAAGAAGAGCCCTCTGAAAATGTTATGTAGTTATTATACAGTTAATAGTTATTCAACTTGGTCTTTAACTTGTCTGTGGCTGGATGTTGTTTATGGGTTACACTCTAATTCACAGTTTCAGATGTCATTTCACAATGTCTAAAAAATATGACCTATTGAATGTCTACTTTCATGAAGTTACTGACATAATTTTGCATCCAAAATTTTAAAATTTTAAATATTTTTCTATGGAATTTGAAAATAATATGTATGCTCTTTATACTACTTAATAATGCTATCCATTTGTTCATATAATAACTAATCAAACTGTCTTAAATGTTAATGAACACTCTTTATGTTTACTTATTTGTTGTATATAAAAAAAGTTTATTTTTTGACAGTTTAATGTCACCTAATATTATTTTTAATGTTTCAATTTCTCATTTACATGAATGTTTGTGTTGTTTATTTTAGTCTTACAGGTGTTATTTAAACTGTCTGTGCAAATGCCTTGGAATAGTGCGTAACACATCGTGAATTCTATGTACGTGTTCAGGGCTGTTTCATCACATTTTAATCTGTCATACCCTTCTTCATTTACCGTCATTTTGTGTTTGTCCTTATTCAAATTATGTTTGTGCCTTGACTTGACTACATATTCATGGAAGAGAGAAGGTAGACTCAGACTTCCATCCGGATTAAGCACAAAGTTAACTAACATATCTTCTTAGCTCACTTTAGATAGAATATTATATTTGTTTTATAATATAAATATGAATTTTAAGTACTGCATGAAGAATAATCTTCCCCATCTTACAAAAGAAGATCATCAGACATTGGATCATTCATGAATTACCCAAAGCTGTATTCTCTCAACAATTCTTTTTATTCTTACATCTTAACCTCCATGAAAATCTAGAGGCATGAAGTACTAGAAATTAGAAACAAATTTGCAGAAAAGCACAAATTCTCAAAATTAATCCAAGAAGAAAGAGAATATATTAATATACTTATAACAGGTAAAGACATTGACAAGATTCCTTCCCAGAAAAAAGGCTCAGATAGCTTCACTGGTAAATTCTACTAAACATTTAATGAATAATTAATACCAATTCTACACAAACACTTGCAAAATGTAAAAGGGAAAAGAAAACAATTCATTTGTTGAGGCCGGTATTACCCAGTAAACGAAACCACATGAAAGCATAAAAAAAAAAAAATGAGAGACCATTATTCTTCATAAGTATAGACCCAGAATTTTTTTTTTGAGATGGAGTTTTGCTCTTGTTGCCTAGGCTGCAGTGCCATGGCCCCATCTCAGCTCACTGTACCCTCTGCCTCCTGGGTTCAAGTGATTCTCCTGTCAGCCTCCTGAGTAGCTGGGATTACAGGCACCCGTTACTATGCCCGGCTAATGTTTGGTATTTTTTTTAGTAGAGACGGGGTTTCACCATGTTGGCCAGGCTGGTCTCAAACTCCTGACCTCAGGTGATCCGCCTGCCTTGGCCTCCCAAAGTGCTGAGATTACAGGCATGGGCCACCGCACCCAGCCTAGCAGTCTTTAAAAACTCTAGAAAACTGAATTCAGCAACACATAAAATGTTAGACAAAATGACCAAGTGGAATTATCTCACTAATGCAAATATCAGTCAATGTAATATACCATATTAATAGAATAGAGGACAAAACCATAATTATTTCAGTAGACACACAAAAGCATTGGATAAAATCCATTACTCATTAACAATAAAGCCTCCAGAAATCTAGGAATAGAAAAATCTGCTTAACCTCTCCTACAGGGCATCTATAAATCTTTCACACATTCCAGTAAAATATAATAGAGGACATATTGGTATGTCTTACTTTATGGTTTTAAAAATTAACAACGCATAATAAAGATAATGTATTTACCTAGAAAACAAACACTTTTCTAAAAACGTTTCTATTGCATGTGATAAAAGTGGAAATTAAGATAAAAAAGAGTAGTACTGTTGAGAATGACTAGGATTTGGTATCATTAATTTTCTTATTAGCAATTAAAATAGTATCAACAATTCTAACAAGACACAGGTGCATTCTCCCCAGCAAAAAGGCATGATGATCACATAAAATCCTTATGTTATACATAACAGAAAGTATTTTATATTTGAAACATATGGCAACATTGTCATAACTACATTCTACTAAAAATGTTGCACAATACATACTCCAAAAAATTAGAACTTTCCTTGGGGACATATGGTTTTTCTAAAGATAATTGTGTTCATTATTCTGATAAGCAATTCCTCCAAAGGTAAATGTGGCTATCTGGGATTCTGGGAATATCCTGAAAAGTTACATGTTCTAAAAATAGTTCCATTGAAAAAAAACACCATAAAGCCTAGACAATGTAGCAAGTGCTTAACTGCAGAGTTTAGTTCTAAGTGCTAAAGTAAAAAAAAGGGGCTGGGCATGGTGGCTCACACCTGTAATCCAAGCACTTTGGGAGGCTGAGGTGGGCAGATTACTTGAGTTCAGGAGGTCGAAACCAGCCTGGGCAACATGATGAAACCCTGTCTGCCCCTGAAAATACAAAAAAAAAAAAAAAAAATAGCCAGGCGTGGTGGTGGGTGCCTGTAATCCCAGCTACTCAGGAGGCTGAGGCAGGAGAATCGCTTGAACCCGGGAAGTGGAGGTTGCGGTGAGCCGAGATAGTGCAAATGCACTCCAGCCTGGGCAATAGAGTGAGACTCCATCTCAAAAAAATAAAACAAAGAAAGAAGCACAGGCAGCAGAAAGAAGGGAGGATGAGACAGTCCATCTGGCAGGGTGAGGCTTCCTACAATAGGTTGATAATAATAGGGGCATCATTTCTTGGGTTTTTACAGCTCTCAGGGGTAGATGTGGTGCCACACTAGAATCAAAGTAAGGGAGATGAACCTGACCAGCCTAACTAAAGCCAAAGGCCTCAAGGTTCTGCAAATCTAAGAAAAATGAGATAGAATATGAAGCCTGCAGTCAAAGTGAGATAAATAGGGAAGCTAGTCAGTCCGTGCCTTGGCTGATTTGGGAAGGAAGGCCAACTGTACTGATATGTTGGGGTTTGAATTGACCCGGAGTTTTTATAGAGAAAAATTTAATAAGTTAATTTAAATGTTTTCAGATTCATGTAGAGAAGAAAACAAAAATTCCAAGACAATTTTTTTTTTTTGAGGAAAAAACCCTCAACCCAAAAAACTGAAAATCTTATCAGTTCAGGCTTGTCAAGTATAATCACACAACGTAATTTTTTTAAATATGCAAAATAAAGGACACAAAAATTAATTTTGTTCAAAAATAACAACAATCATAAAACACTTGTACCAGTAGACTTCAAGGAATTCCGAGCAGACGTACAGAAAATATGTAAGCTAGGCATGGTGGCGCTTGCCTATAATCCCAGCATTTTGGGAGGCCAAGGCAGTAGAATCACTTGAGGCCAGGAGTTTTAGGCTAGCCTGGTCAACATAGCATAACGTAATTTCTATAAAAATACAAAAATAAAAATATATACATACATAGTTAAAATATTTAGATAAATATAAGGGATATGAGCAAAGTAAAAAATAGGAGCTAAAGTATAAGAAAAAGAATGAGCTAACAATGCCAGGTGCGGTGGCTCACGCCTGTAATCCCAGCACTTTGGAAGGCCGAGGCAAGCAGATCACGAGGTCAGGAGATCGAGACCATCCTGGCTAACACGATGAAATCCCATCTCTCCTACAAACACAAAAAGTTAGCTGGGCGCGGTGGCATGTGCCTGTAATCCCAGCTACTTGGGAGGCTGAGGCAGGAGAATTGCTTGAACCCGGGAGGTGGAGGTTGCAGTGAGCCAACATGGCGCCACTGCACTCAAGCTGGGCAACAGAGCGAGACTCCGTCAAACAGAAAAAAAAAAACATAGATGTCAGGACAAGGAGAAAAATGAGTGGAAAATATGCAAGTCAGAATAAGTTAAAAATGAAATAAGAGTGCTATGTCTAATGGTTTGTTGTTGTTGTTGTTTGGTTTTGGTTTGGTTTGGTTTTTGAGGTGGAGTCTCACTCTGTCGCCCAGGCTGGAGTGCAGTGGCACGATCTCGGCTCACTGCAACGTCCCCCTCCCGGGTTCAAGCGATTCTCCTGCCTCAGCCTCCTGAGTAGCTGGGACTACAGGCGCCGGCCACCACAGCCCAGCTCATTTTTGTATTTTTAGTAGAGACAGGTTTCACCATGTTGGCCAGTCTGGTCTTGAATTCCTGACATCAGGTGATCCACCCGCTTTGGCCTCCGAAAGCGCTAGGATTACAAATGTGAACCACCGCGCCTGGCCTTGTCTAATGATTTTTTGAACAAAATAGGGAAAATATGGCATGCTTAAACATTTTGAAGAACTAATAAAACATCAACCAAGGAAAGTACAAAAAATATCTAAAAACATCATAATAACTAAAAAGCTTAACACCAAAATGATTTAAAATCATTGAAATATAAAATGTGAATCAACTACAAAGCAACAAGAGATTTTTAACCCATATTTGGCATCTTCATAGAATTCACAAATCAATGGATATTATGTTCAAAGTTCTGAGTTAAAATATCTGTCAATTTTGAATTGCATCCCTAGTTAAAAATTTTTTAAGATCAAAGATAAAATGTAAAATAATTCATATAAGTAATACAAACTAAGTTTACTTCAGTTATTTACTTGTTTAATAAACTTATTAATTACATTAGTCATTACATAAATAAAATGCTGCTTCCTATTGTGAAACATATAATTTGTGAAGCATATAATGTTCAAAATTTTGTCTCTAAAACAGGTAACATTTTGAATGAAGAGAACAAAAATTTAATGATTGGTATAAAAATAAATTTCAGGAAAATGAAAGGTTTGTATGATGACATAATTAACATAATAGAAAGGACAGAAATCTCAATATTTGTTTTTACACATTTTGGAGGGAAAGTAACCCTGAGATATTAAAGTGCAGAAAATAATATTAATTATATTCTTGAGTTTTCAAACCCCTCTTTCCTTGGTACTTACAGAACATCCAGCACAGGCCCAGGATTCCCTGGGTGTTTCTGCCAAGGAGACTATCCAGCGGAATTAAAGCGGAAAGCCATGTGCACAAAGATGGATGGATGCTCACCTCTAAGAGATCAGTGGGTGCAGGTTGCAGAGGGAGTTGGGTGAGTGCAGTTTTTAGAGGGAGTTGTGTGGGTGCAGGTTGCAGAGGGAGTTGGCCCTTCTTGGAGGTCCAGGGAGGGGCTACAGGCACCATCCTTGAAGTGGGTCCTGGAACTCCACTGAGCCCTCCTGCCTACAGGGGCCTTAGAGGGTCCTGGGGGAGGCCAGCCTGGGTGCCCTGTCCTGTCCGTGGCCCCTGAGTCCTACCTCACCCGCTAGCTTTTTTTTTTTCTTACAGAGGAATCAGGGTGGCAACCCCAATGCAGCCTTGCTAGAGGAAGGATATCAAAAGTGTCAGGGTGATGGGAATAGCATTAAATCTATGAATTACTTTGGGCAGTGTGGTCATTTTCACGATATTGATTCTTCTTATCCATAAGCATGGAATATTTTTTCCATTTGTTTGTGTCCTCTCTTATTTCCTTGAGCAGTGGTTTGTAGTTCTCCCCGAAGAGGTCCTTCGTGTCCCTTGTGAATTGTATTCCTAGGTGTTTTATTCTCTTTGTAGCAATTGTAAATGGGATTTCATTCATTATTTGGACCTCTGCTTGTCTATTATTGGTGTGTAGGAATGCTTGTGATTTTTGCACATTGATTTCATATCCTGAGACTTTGTTGAAGTTGGTTATCAGCCCAAGGAGTTTTGGGGCTGAGACAATGGGGTTTTCTAAATATACAATCTTGTCGCCCGCAAACAGACAATTTGACTTCCTCTCTTCTTATTCGAATACCCTTTATTTCTTTCTCTTCCCTCACTGCCCTGGCCAGAACTTCCAATACTGTGTTGAATAGGAGTGGTGAAAGAGGGCTTCCTTGTCTTGTGCCAGTTTTCAAAGGGAATGCTTCCAGCTTTTTTGCCCATTCAGTATGATATTGGCTATGCGTTTGTCATAAATAGCTCTCATTATTTTGAAGTATGTTCCCTCAATACCTAGTTTATTCAGGGTTTTTAGCATGAAGGGGTGTTGAATTTTATTGAAGGCCTTTTCTGCATTTATTGAGATAATCATGTGGTTTTTGTGGTTGGTTCTGTTAATGTGATGGATTACATTTATTGATTTGCATATGTTAAACCAGCCTTGCATCTCAGGAATGAAGCTGACTTGATCGTGGTGGATAAGCTTTTTAATGTGCCACTGGATTTGGTCTGCCAGTATTTTATTGAGGATTTTTGCATCAATGTTCATCAGGGATATTGGCCTGAAATTTTCTTTGTTTGTTGTGTCTCTGCCAGGTTTTGGAATCAGGATGACACTGGCTTGATAAAATGAGTTAGGGAGGAGTCCTTCTTTTTCTGTTGTTTGGAATAGTTTCAGAAGGAATGGTACTAGCTCCTCTTTGTACCTCTGGTAGAATTCGACTCTGAATTGGTCTGGTCCTGCCTGGGCTTTTTTTTTTTTTTTTTGGTTGGTAGGCTATTAATTACTCCCTCAATTTCAGAACTTGTTATTAGTCTATTTAGAGATTCAACTTCTTCCGTGTTTAGTCTCGGGAGGATGTATGTGTCCAGGAATTTATCCATTTCTTCTAGATTTTCTAGCTTATTTTCGTAAAAATATTTATAGTATTCTCTGATGGTAGTTCATATTTCTGTGGGATCAGTGTTGATATCCCATTTATCACTTTTTATTGTGTCTCTTTGATTCTTCTCTCTTTTCCTTTTTATTAGTCTAGCTAGTGGTCTACCTATTTTGTTAATCTTTTCAAAAAACCAGCTCCTGGATTCATTGATTTTTTTAAGGCTTTTTTCATGTCTCTATCTCCTTTAGTTCTGCTCTGATCTTAGTTATTTCTTATCTTTTGCTAGCTTTTGAATTTGTTTGCTCTTGCTTCTCTAATGCTTCTAATTGTGATATTAGGGCATTGATTTTAGATCTTTCCTGCTTTCTGATGTGAGCATTTAGTGCTATAAATTTCCCTCTTAACACTGCTTTAGCTAGGTCCTAGAGATTTTGGCACATTGTGTCTTTGTTCTCTTTGGTTTCAAAGAACTTCTTTATCTCTGCCTTAATTTTTTTTATTTACCCAGTCGTCATTCAGGAGCAGATTGTTCAGTTTCCATGTAGTTTTGTAGTTTTGAGTGAGTTTCTTAATCCTGAGTTCTAATTTGATTGCACTGTGGTCTGAGAGACTGTTTGTTATGATTTCATTCTTTTTGCATTTGCTGAGGAATGTTTTACTTCCAATTATGTGGTCAATTTTAGAATAAGTGCTATGTGGTGCTGAGAAATATGTATATTCTGTTGATTTGGGGTGGGGAGTTATATAGATGTCTATTTGGTCTGCTTGGTCCAGAGCTGAGTTCAAGTCTTGAATATCCTTGTTAGTTTTCAGTCTCATTGCTCTGTCTAATATTGACAGTGGGGTGTTAAAGTCTCCTACTATTATTGTGTGGGAGTCTAATTCTCTCTGTAGGTCTCTAAGAACTTGTTTTATGAATCTGGGTGCTCCTGTATTGGGTGCATATATATTTAGGATAGTTAGTTCTTCTTGTTGCGTTGATCCCTTTACCACCACATAATGCCCTTCTTTGTCTTTTTTGGTCTTTGTTGGTTTAAAGTCTGTTTTATCAGAGACTAGGATTGCAACCCCTGCTTTTTTGTGTGTGTTCCATTTGGTTGGTAAATATTCTTCCATCCCTTTATTTTGAGCCTATGTGTGTCTTTGGATATAAAATGGGTGTCCTGAATACAGCACAGTGATGAGTCTTGACTCTTTGTCCAATTTGCCAGTCCATGTCTTTTAATTGGGGGCATTTAACCCATTTACATTTAAAGTTAATATTGTTATGCGTGAATTTGATCCTGGCATCATGATGCTAGCTGGTTATTTCACACATTAGTTGATGCAGTTCCTCATAGTGTCGCTGGTCTTTACATTTTGGTGTGTTTTTGCAGTGGCTGGTACCAGTTTTTTCCTTTCCATATTTAGTGCTTCCTTCAGAAGCTCTCGTAAGGCAGGCCTGGTGGTGACAAAATCCCTCAGCATTTGCTTGTCTGGAAAGGATTTTATTTCTTCTTCACTAATTAAGCTTAGTTAGGCTGGATATGAAATTCTGGGTTGAAAATTATTTTCTTTAAGAATGTTGAATATTGGCCCCCACTCTCTTCTGGCTTGTAGGGTTTCTGCAGAGAGATCCACTGTTAGTCTGACAGGCTTCTCTTTGCAGGTAATCTGACCTTTCTCTCTGGCTGCCCTTAACTTTTTTTCCTTTGTTTCAACCTTGGATAATCTGATGATTATGTGTCTTGGGGTTGCTCTTCTCGAGGAGTATCTTAGTGGTGTTCTCTGTATTTCCTGAATTTGAATGTTGGCCTGTCTTGCTAGGTTGGGGAAGTTCTCCTGCATAACATCCTGAAGTGTGTTTTCCAACTTGGTTCCATTCTCCCCATCAATGTCAGGTACACCAATCAATTGTACGTTTGGTCTTTTCACATAGTCCTATATTTCTTGGAGGCTTTGTTCCTTTTCATTCTTTTTTCTCTAATCTTGTCTCCCTACCTTATTTCAGTAAGTTGATCTTCAATCTCTGATATCCTTTCTTCCACTTGATCAATTTGGCTATTGATACTTGTGTATGCTTCACAAAGTTTTCATGCTGTGTTATTCAGCTCCATCTGGTCATTTATGTTATTCTCTAAGCTGGTGACTCTATAATAACTGTTGGTTATTACAGCAGTTCCTGTAGCCTCTTATCAAGGTTCCTAGCTTCCTTGCATTGGGTTAGAACATAGTCTTTTAGCTCAGAAGAGTTTTGTTATTACCCAACTTCTGAAGCCTACTTCTGTCAATTCATCAAACTCATTCTCCTTTCAGTTTTGTGCCCTTGCTGGAGAGGAGTTGTGATCATTTAGAGGAGAAGAGGCATCCTGGTTTTTGGAATTTTCAGTATTGTTACACTGGTTTTTCCTCATTTTGTGGATTTAGTTACCTTTGATCTTTGAGGCTGATGACCTTTGGCTTGGGTTTTTGCGTGGGGGTCCTTTTTGTTGATTTTGATGTTGTTGCTTTCTGTTTGTGAGTTTTTCTTCTAACAGTCAGGCCCCTCTTCTGCAGGTCTGCTGCAGTTTGCTGGAGGTCCACTCCAGACCCTGTTTGCCTGGGTGTCACCAGCAGAGGCTGCAGAACAGCAAAGATTGCTGCCTGCTCCTTCTTCTGGAAGCTTCGTCCCAGAGGGGGCACTGGCCTGATGCCAGCTGGGGCTCTCCTCTATGAGGTGTCTGTTGACTCCTGCTGGGAGGTCTCTCCCAGTCAGGAGGCATGGGGATCCGGGACCCACTTGAGGAGGCAGTCTAAGAGCTCGAGCGCTGTGCTGGGAGAATCCTCCTTTTCAGGATCTGCTGCTGTCTTCAGAGCCAGCAAGCAGAAATGTTTAAGTCCACTGAGGCTGTGCCCACAGCTGCCCCTTCCCCCAAGTGCTCTGTCCCAGGGAGATGGGAGTTTTATCTATAACCCCCTGACTGGGGCTGCTGCCTTTCTTTCAGAGATTCCCTGCCCAGTGAGGAGGAATCTAGAATGGCAGTCTGGCCACAACCGCTTTGCTGCACTCTGTTGAGTTCTGCTCAGTCCAAACTTTCCAGCCTCTTTAGCACTGTCAGAGAAAAACTGACTACTGAAGCCTCAGTAATGGTGGACACCCCTTCCCTTACCAAGCTCAATCATCCCAGGTTGACTTCAGACTGCTGTGCTGGCAGTGAGAATTTCGAGCCAGTGGTTCTTAGCTTGGTGGCCTCCATGGGAGTGGGACCCGCTTATCGAGACCACTTGGCGCCCTGGATTCAGTCCTCTTTCCAGGGGAGTGAACAGTTCTGTCTCGCTGGGGTTCCAGGTGCTACTGGAGTATGAAGAAAAAATTCCTGCAGCTATCTCGGTGTCTGCCCAAACAGCTGCCCAGTTTTGTGCTTGAAACCCAGGCCCCTGTTTGTATAGGCACACAAGGGAATCTCCTGCTCTGTGGATTGCAAAAACTGTGGGAAAAGCATAGTATCTGGACCGGATAGCACAGTGTCTCACCACTTCCCTTGGCTGGAGGAGGGAGTTCCCTGGCTCCTTGCACTTCCCGGGTGAGGTGATGCCCCAACCTGCTTCTGCTCGCCCTCCGTGGGCTGCATCCACTGCCTAACCAGTCCTAATGAGATGAACTGGATACCTCAGTTGGAAATGCAGAAATCACCCGCTTTCTGCATTGGTCTTGCTGGGAGCTGCAGACTGGAGCTGTTCCAAGCAACCCCACTTTCTCTCTTTTTGCTCCTCAAAGTCACTAAGGTCTTAAGAGCTAACACTGAAGATCAACTTTGTATTTGTATACATGTTTTATTACAGAAAATTTAAAACATATACAAAATAAAACAGTATAATACAACTGTTACCCAGGCTCAACAACCTGTGCCAAGTTTGTTTTATCCATACTTCAATGCATTTTCTTCCCAGACTTTATTATTATTTTTTTCTGAAATAAGATGTGTGCTAATTGAAGGTAAAATCTTGGCTGAGCACAATGGCTTAAGCCTGTGTAATTCCATCCTTTTGGAATGACAAGACAGGAGGCTCACTTGAGCGTCAGAGTTTAAGAGCAGCCTGGGCAACATAGTGAGACCACATGGCTACTAAAAATAAAAAAAAAAAAAAAATGAGGCATGATGGTGCATGCCTGTATTCCTAGCTACTTGGGATGCTGACATAGCAGGATCCCTTGAGTCTGGCAGGGTGAGGCTTTAGTGAGATGTGATTGGGCAGCTACACACAAGCCTGGGTGACAGTGAGACTGTCTCAAAAAAAAAAAAAAAGAAAGGTTTACTCTTAACTGTACCTTTTTAAACATCAGTACACATATATAAACAATTTTTCTTTTAAGAATAGAAGTACCCAAGTTAATAATCATTAACGTGAACCCATTTGTTACTCAGACTTTATCTTTTAATTAGTTTTTCTTTTTTAAAATAAGATGTGAGCTCATTGAAAGGACCAATCTTGGCCAGGCATAGTGGCTTGCATTTGTAATTCCATCCCTTTGGGAAGCCAGAGCTCACGAGTTTGAGACCAGCCTGAGCAACGTAACAAGACCTCACTGGGGCAACGTAGTGAGACATCATCTCTACAAACATTTTTTAAAAATTACTTGGGCATGATGGTGCACACTTGTAGTCCCAGCTATTTGGGATGCTGACATGGGAGGATCGCTCGAGCCTGGGAGGTCAAGGCTGCAGTGAGCTGTAATTGCACCACTACACTCCACCCTGAGTGACAGATTGAGACGCTGAGAAAAAAAGGTACAATCTTAACTGTACCTGTTTGACACATCAATACATCCATATAAACAATCCCTTTCGTAAAAATAAAAGTACCCCACTTAACAATATTGATATGCATGGGAATTACCTATACATTTTTTATTTCTTTTAGTTTGGATTTTTATTGAAAGGAAACACCTAGAAACATTACGTAAAATCTAGATTTTGAAAAAAATAGACCTGAACTTGGTTTGAGAATTTCAAAATAGACATGAGTTTTGTCTGAGAATTTGTCTTTCTAACAACATACAGATCTTACAGCACATGGTAGATACAAGGACTCTTTTATCTAAAATAAATAAAATTTGACGAATAAACATTTTAAAATTTGACCTGTGGCTAAAGGATGAATCAAAACACCTGTGCAATGGGTTATCTGTAGAAGTATATTTTAATGACAAACTATTAATAACCAAAAAAGTTATAATAATTTATTAACTAACATGAGCAAAATTCCTATTATGGTATCTATGAAAATGCTTTCTTAGAGTAAAATATTCTCTTATCTTGCAAGGGCACTGGTTAATAACAGCAAAGATTTGGAGGTCAATGTCTCATAAAGTAAGTAGCAGACCCCTTTCACACCCATAGCTGGCCTTCAGAGTTATCGAAAAAATGGTCATTTACACAAGAGCAGATAATTTTCTTAGGTTCTATTAAGTTTATATGTTAATGTTGTTACAAAATTTAACTCAGTTTTCTCATAAGATTATCTGACAAAATTTTATATGTTATAATATCACAATATATTATGTAATATCATGTAATATAATAAAATTTTGTCAGATACGGTGTCATATATATAATTTGTTATTTCATAAAACATATACAAAAAAACAAAATTTTATGTTATGATATCACAATGTATTATACCATATATTATATATGATTATATATCATGTATTATATTATGATATCACAATGTATTATGATATATATCGTATGTATAATACATGATATTATATCACAATATATTATGACATCATTATATATTATGTCTGACATATATTATGTCACAGTATATTATATTATATAATATATTATATTATATTATATTATATTATATTATGTTGCATTATATATTATATTATATAGTCCAGCTAATTGACATGGCCCAGCAGACTGCCCAGGGCATGAACTACCTCCATGCCAAGAATATCATCCAAGGTGATCTCAAGTCTAATAACATTTTTCAACACAAAGATGAGTGACTCTCGTCTGGCCACAGTGAAGACAGAGTGAAGCAGGGCCCAGCCCTTGGAGAAGCCTTCAGGTTCTGTTTTGTGGATCGCAGCTGACCTGAACCCCTTCAGCTTCCAGTCGGACGTCTATGCCAGTGTGGCTGTGCTCTAAAATCTCACGACTGGCTCACTGCCTTACAGCCACATTGGCAGCTGTGACCAGATTATCTTTATGGTGGGCTGTGACTCTTCATCCCTGGACCTCAGAAAAATCTCCAGCAACTGCCCGAAGCCATGTGGTGCCTGCTGTCTGACTGCCTCATGTTCCAGCAAAAGGAGTGGCTCCATTTGCCCCAGACTCTCACCACAATTTTTCTGCTGCAAGGGTCGCTCCCCAAGATGGAGGGGAATACCTCTAAATCGTCCTTTTATCAAACCCAAGCTGATGAGTTTCCTTCCTGACTACTCAACACAGGCTGTCTTGAGCCTGACCTTACTCCCAGCCACTAGGGAGCCAATCTGAGCCCGCCATGCCAAGGAGCCCTGCCCACCAACGAATCAATGTTTTATCTCTGTCCTGAAGTTGCATCAGGATCTCATATCCCCCACCCTGTTAGATGAGGGGGTCCTGATGTGCTTTCCCAGTTCCTCTAAAATTGGAAAACTCTTAAAGATTGAGCCCCTGCCCCCCTCCATCATTTTATTTTTTGGCTTAGAAGATACCTCTAAATTGGGGGAACTCCTTCATCTCTCATGGCTAAAATTTGTAGCAGGGATTTCACTCAGAACCTCTATGGGATTTGTGCCTGATGTGACTTCCACTGGACTTTGGGGTTCTCAACACATCATGTATTTTGGGGGTTCCCTTTTTGTCCTCTCCTCCATTCAAGGACTACTGTCTTACTTCATTAAAATACAGAGAATTTTGCTGAAAAAAAATAAAGTGTTTCAAATAAAACCTTCCCAACCTTTGCCTCTGGGGAAAACATAATTTTATTAAATTATTTATGTATGTATTTGACCTCTGCTCTAAAAAGAGACACTACTCACTTCACACAAGGCTGTTAGTTATTTAAAAACATCCTTGAAAAGATTGTCCAAATGGAAGCTTATATAAGATGTAAAACAAATTAACCAACAGGTCTATAAAAATTGGCTCCCAACAGAGTACAACATACACTTAAAAATACAGAAATATTGGTACAACCATTACAGAAACACTGTGAAGCTTTCTCAAATAATTAAAATAGAATTGCCATATTATCCAGCAATTTCACTTCCAGATATATAACCAAAGAAAATAAAATTAGTATCTAAAAGAGACACCTGCCCTTCTGTATTCATAGCAGAATTATTTACAATGACAGAGACATGCAAACAATCTAGGTATCCATTAATAGATGAACGGGTAAAGAAATTATGGAATATTTATATAATGGAATATTATTCAGCCATAAAAAAGAGAATTCTGCCATTTGCTACAATACGAATGAACCTAGAGGACATTAGGTTAAATGAAATAAGCTAGACACAGAATGACAAATACTGTTTGATTTCACTCATATATGAAGCCAAAAATGTCAAAGTCATAGAAACAGAGAGTCCACAGTGGTTGCTAGGGGGTGGTGGCTGGCAGAAATGAAGACACGGTGATCAAAACTTTTAGATATAAAATAAACAAGTTCCGGTGATTTAGTGCACAGCATGGATGTTCACGAATGTTGTCTTAGGCTATCCCTATTTCTGTAATAAAATACTTTAGAACAGGTAATTTATATAGAGTCTAAACTTACTTCTCACAGTTACAGAGGCTGAGAAGTCCAAGACCAGGGCACTAGCAGATACACATAATATAGTACCTGCTAATTACATTAATTTGATAATTGCACCATATATATGTATGTAGGTAGGTATTGGAGCTTCACATTTTAACCTTATATTCATTTTATGAAAACGTTGCTCCTGTACAACTTTATTCTGTCTTTCCCTCCTAGTTTGGGTACTAATGTTTAAATCTACATATGTTACAAACACAACAGTTTGTAGTTATCTGCTTACATAATTTTATTTTTTTAAATAAGCTGAAATAAGAAAAAAGAGCACTTGTGTATTTACAGGTTTGTTTTGTTAAACTTCTTATTATTCATTATGTTATTGTAATCCTTCACTTTTTCTGACGTACTTTTTTAAATCTTTGTAGATACAAGTTATTATCTGGAAAGATTTTCTTAGCCCAATATATCTTTTCTTGAACCCACTTTCTCTGTGCTGTAATTGGCAAATAAATTAAATTTCTTTATGTTATAGCACTGAAGATCCCATTACAAACAATATTACACAGTTGCTTTTGACAATCAGATAATATGAGAAAAAAATTTCTTATATTGCCTTAAATATTTGTTACATTTACTAGTCCTCTTTGTCTTTTGGGGGCATTAAAATTATCTGGGATTACTTGCATTCAGCCTGAAAACTTATTTTTATTCTTTCTCAAATGATCTGTCTGCTATCAAAAAATTGCCTCAGCTTTTATTTACCTGAAATGTCTTTTTTATTTATTTTTAATTGATAGTTTTTCTGAGGATAAAATTTTTAGTGGACATTTTTTCATCTTTGAGCATTGAAATATGTATATATTCTTAGAAGTTGAAAAGCTTTTAAGAAGAAAAAAAGTTTTGATCTGAGAATGTTCAGTGATTTGAGGAATTCAGAAGGGAAGGAAATGCTTTCTGATGAGTGAGCCACAAGTACTCTATGAGTATAGATAATGTGCACCCTACATGGGTGTGATTGTGGATGTATGGAAGTTTCAGATACGTATAACTTATTTGTTGTAAGATAAAATGCTTAGGCTACATTTTAAAGAATTTATATGAGATAGTCCAGGTTAATCAGGATAAATGGGTAAAATTAAAATGATAATATTGGTAATAATTTTGACCGTGCAATAAATAATACTGATGATAGGATATCTATTGCTTTTTCAGATATATAAAATATGATCCCTCTTCACCATTAAGACGACCATAGTCCACTTATGACACTATTAAAAATTGCCCTTTTTTCCCAAGCTGGTATTGGACTCACAGCCAACACCTTCCTCCTTTTCTTCTGTATCTGCACACTCCCTCTGGACTGCAGGCCTAAGCCCACTGACCTCATCACCTGTCACCTGGCCCTTGTCCACTTAGTGATGCTCCTCACTGTGAGCTTCTTGGCATCTCTGGACCTCTTTGAGTCACAGTATTTTCAGAATGACTTCAAGTGTAAGGTATTCTTCTACATGCATAGAGGGATGAGGGCTCTCCATCTGCACCACCTGCCTCCGGAGTGTGCTCCAGGCTGTCACCATTACCCCCGGCACCTCCTGGTTGGCAAGAATTAAACAGAAATTCACACATTGCATCTTTCACTTCTTGGGGTTCTCAGTTTCTTTCTCAGTAGTAACCTGCCTTCCTCCACTGTGGCCTCTTCTAATGTGACCGACAGCAATGTGCCAAGTATCAGTAAATACTGTTCACTTTCTTACATAAGCTACATCATCAGGAGTCTGTCTTTCATGCTGCCACTACTTGCAGATGTCTTCTTTGTAGCAGTCATGTTGCTCTCAAGGGCATACATGGTAATTCTTTTGTCCAGGCATCAGAGACAACCCCAGTACCTTCCCAGCACCAACCTGTCTGCAAAAGCCTCCCCAGAGAAAAGGGCCACCTAGACCATTCCGATGCTGGTGAGTTGCTTTGTGCTCATGTATTGGGTGGGCCTCATCATCTCATCCTCCTCAACCCTGTTATGGGCTTATGACTCATTCATCATGGGTGTCCAGATGCTTATGGGCAATTTCTATCTGTTAGCCCTTTTATGCTAATTAGTTCTGATAATAGAATAATCAAAATTTTGCATAATGTGTTATATAAATATCATAGATGATAATAAATTATGAAAATAATTATCTGAAAAACAGATTTGGACATCAAATAATTCAAGAAGCAGGTGATTTTATATATTATTTTATTACACTTTTATTTCATCTAAATACTTTTGAAAACTATGCTGCCAAGAACTTGGTGGTTTCTTTAAAGTCCACCGTCATAGTCCCCTGTGTCCACAAGTTTCTTATATTTAATTTTGATCCCTTAAGTTTTATATAAGACAACTTTTCTATCTTCTTGAAGTGTACACTTAAGATGCTCCTGTTGGTAGATAAAATTTCTCTTTGTGTGTGTGTGTGTGTTTTACTTCTGAAGGTTATTTAGTTTACCCTTATTTATTAAATATATGCTAGCTATGTATTCAGTTACTGGTTGAACAATAATTTTTCAGCACTCTTAATATTTCCTTCTCAGTTTTCTGGCTCTGCCTGGGCTGTGGAGATTTCACTCTCACATGTGTAGATTCTCTCTCTCTCTCTCATGGCTTTGAAGTTTCTTCATTCTCTTTGGTGTTATGCAGTTTGACTTATGGTGTTGGATATCTTTCTTTATTGCTTTTTCTTTTTTTAATTTGGTGACGGAATCTTGCTCTGTCACCCAGGCTGGAGTCTTGGCTCGCTGCAACCTCCGCCTCTCGGGTTCAAGGGATTCTCCTGCCTCAACCTCCGGAGTAGCTGGGATCACAGGCAGCTGACACCATGCCCGGCTAAGTTTTTTGTATTTTTTTGTATTTTTAGTAGACACGGGGTTTCACCTGGTTGGCCAGGTTGGTCTTCAACTCCTGACCTCAAGTGACCCGCCCTCCTTGGCCTCGCAAAGTGCTGTGATTACAGATGTGAGCCACTACACCCAGCCTCTTTATTGCTTGCTTTCAGGCACAGTGTCTCTTTTAGGCACATGTCTGGTTTTTACTTTTAGAAATTTGTAAATAATTATTTATTAGTATGACTTATTATTTGTATGAATTCAAGTGAAATAATTGTGCTTTATTCTTTGTCATTCTATTCTTCACATATGTATAATTACATTCATATTACTATTATTTTGTTTCTCTTTCTTTTATTTGGTTATATTCGTTCTGCTCAAAATTTCAGTTCATTAATCCAGTTCACTAATTCTCTCATCAACGTAGTCTAATTTTATAATTAACTCACATATCGTATATTAAATTTCTTTATGTTTAAATTATTCCATTTCTATTTGACTCTTTTCCAAATTTCCTCATTCAGTTTATAGTTTCCTGCTCTTTCAAAAATTATTTGGATATCATCTTTTCCTCAATTGTTTTTACCTAAACATTTAAAATATTTAAATTTAATATTTTATATTAATATGTACAAATATAAATATATTTATAATACTTTTAAAATTTAAAATATTACAAATATATTTCCAGTATGCAAAGTTTATGTGATATCAAATTTCTTCCAACCGGGCCAGGCACAGTGGCTCATGCCTGTATTGGGAGGGAGAGGCAATCCCATCACTTGAGGCCAGGAGTTCCAGACCAGCCTGGTGAACATGGTGAAACCCCATCTCTACTAAAAACACAAAAATTAGCTGGGCATGGTGAGGCATGCCTGTAACCCCAGCTACTCGGGAGGCTGAGGCAGGAGAATCACTTGAACCCGGAAGGCGGAGGTTGCATTGAGCCTAGATCGGGCCACTGCACTCCAGCCTGTATAACAGAGCAAGACTCTGTCTCAAAAAGAAAAATCTTCTAACCCTTTTTCCTCGTAGCTTATTTTCTTCTGTGCTTCATACTTTTTATTTATTTTTTATTTTTTACAATAGGATCCGGTTTATTCTGCCTTGGCAGGGTGATCCTGAGAGTGGTGGGTGTCACCCTCTCCTGGGCAGAGGGAGGGGCCGTGGGCCAGTCAAGCCAATGGTAGGAGAAGCGCTGGTGAGGGGTGGAATTTGGGGTTCAGGGGTGTAACCCCAAGAATGCAGTGAAACCAGGCCGAGGCCCAGAGGCAGCTGTGGTAGGCCAGGGCAGGGTGGAAGGCAGTGGACTGGGCCCGGGCCGGGATGACAGGGCCAAGGACTCAGGCCACACTGGCACCCCGGGAGGCGGGGCGCAGTGTCGCATGACGTAGAAAATGAATCACAGGCCCAGGGCTCACAATAAGCACATGGACAAGTGGGCACAGACTCACAGGCCAGATGGACCTCCAGCCACGGCCGGGCCAGACTCGTGGACACAGGCGCAGTGTCACGTACAGACCACGGGGAGACATGGCACTAGGGGACAAATGGACGTGACACCACAATGCACAGGGCAGGCCACAGAGCTCGAGGGACGTGGGCAGGGGCCTTTTGGCATTTCTGCGCTGGAATCATGTGAGACAAGGGTGGTGGCCGCTCTGGAGGTGCCTGGGGGGTTCCCTCATTACCCCTCTGGGCTTAGTCCATCCTCCACACTGTTGTGCAGCTTCTCCACCTCCTGGTAGAGGATAAATACTGTTACCCTTATCCCTGGTCACATCCAGGGAGACGCGGTCCAGCGGCCCAGGCGGGGGACAGTGCCGTTCTAGAGGTCCTTGAGCCCCTCCTTCCTCAGGATCTGCAGCCATAGGCCGGTGTGTTCCGCGTTTGTGCTGCTCCAGGCCCCGCATCCGGTCTCGATCCCATCCAGAGGAGCGTTTCCCAAGACACTGGCTGCGCCCACAATGGCTCCGAAGACCCCAGCGACCAGCGGGTCCATGGGCTTGCTGGGGTTGTCCCCTCGGTACCAGCTGTGCAGGGAGGTCAGGAGGAGAAGCAGACGGCCTGGTTCCAGCCCTGCTTTAGCGTGGGTGCCATGAGGCCCCGGTGAGTCCCCTTGTTCTCGCACAATCTCTCTAACCTGGTGGGAGACTCCTCTGCACTGGAGGTCTGGGAAGGTCTGGCCGTGGATGAACTTCACCTTGATGGTGTCCATGGAACATACGACCACCATGGCCTCGGCCACGCCAGCGCCCTGGCCGCACCGCAGCCAGCGCTGCCGTCAGGCCGTCCCTGGGCATCCCGCGTCTGGCTGCTGTGGAACTGGAACATTCAGAACCCAACGCCGCCCTGGAGACAAGAGCCGCAGAGCAGGGAGCCGAGGCCGCGGTGCCGGCCCGGGACGCCATGACCGCGACAGTGCGCACGCGGGATCCATGCGCGGTGCCCGGCTGGTGCCAGCGCTCGTCCGGCTGCAGCTACGACCTCCCGCGCTCCGTGGGGAGCGGACGCCCATTTCAATGCCGCCGGCCAGGCCGCCTGCTGGTGTCGCCTTCCCCGGAGCCTCCGCTGGGCCTTCCCGGACGCGGCGCGGCGTGGCCACGGCGGGCGGGAGGCGGGCGCCCGCTGTGATCTGAAGTCCCAGCCTCCTAAACTCCGCACTGGGACCTTAATTTGGTTTTAACACAAATGAAGATCTCACTAAAGATAAAAAGGGATGTCTTGGCTTCTAATTTTTGTTAAAAGCAATAGCATATGTTGTATAGGATAGTGCATTGGGGTAAATCTTTTTTTTATTATTTTTATTTTTTCATCAGCCCACTGACATTGAAAGGGGATAGGTTTTAGGTTATTGACGAGCAGTTTTCTCTCAGATAACTGCCTTAGTATAGGGGTTTGTGGTCATGTTGATGAGAGGGTAGGCTGGGGTTAAAAGTCGTTATGGCAGTAACAACCTTCTGAGGACCAGGAAATTCAAATCCCTCTCATGATACTTTGCTAATATCTCCCGAGTTTGCTGTGCCTTCCCTTTGTGCCTCTTCCCACACGTGGTTTCTTGCACTTGGCCCAGCTATATTCCACTGTTTTGACTCCATGCTTCTTAGCCTGGTGGCAGTGGTGAGGGAGTGAGGAGATCTCTAATGTTCTGAGGAAGCCTCAGACTTAGCACTGTGAACTGGGGTGTGGGGTTACTGACCGTTGAAGAGTTTCCTGCCCATCCTGTACATGCAATGCCAGGACAAGAGCACATTCCTGTCCCTCCTTGTCCATGGTAGGGGAAACGTGCTCCTTCTCCATGCTCTTAACTCCCAGTTGAAGTGGGCCTTGAACAGTGCCCTGTAAATTAATGGTTTCTTTTCTTTATGGGAGATGCATCTGTGCAGAAATGCGGGTGTTGGCCTTGTTCCTTCACCCTCAGTTCCATGAGCTTTTCCCCAGTGCCCTTTGGCTCAGGTTTGGATGCTCTTTCTCTGCAGATTAGGCCTCATGTTATATAGGAGAGATGTGAGGGCTGTGTCTCCAGAGTTGCAGTAGTGGATGGGATAGTGGTCCCTCCCCATCAGCACTGTGGGGTAAGCATCCTCAGGATTCTAACCCCATCTTCCCTGACAGGCCTTGTAGGGTTCCTAGAAAAATTATACACAACGGTATAAACCCTACGTCTGTAGACTCCAGGGTTTCTCATTCTCCTCACCCACCCACACACAGCCACCAGGAACTAGTTCAAAAGTTCTGGCTTAATTTTACCAGTTTACATGGTCTTCAGGGTACACATAAAAGCCTGGAGCCTGTGTGACCTGCAGGCTTTCTGCATCCCCTGATGTTGGGTTTGTAGTCTGCCCTGTGACCTCAGTTCTTTAAAGGGCTCAGGAGAAACCATCCATTCATTTGAAGTTTCTCCAGCATTTTTGTTTGTTTGTTTAATGTGTAGGAGCAACTCTTTGTCAGGTCTCTATATCTACAAACTTAACTCAGAAACTAATATTTTTAAATATATTTCTTTTCTATCATACTTTTAGTGCTCCTCTACCTATGCTAATTGTTCTTCAGTATTTTTTATATTTGTATGTCTTTATCTATTTTAAAATCAGGTTTAATTCCTTCTTAATCAAATTAATAACTTTTCATTTATTTCCCTACGTAACTTTCTTTTCAGACGTTTAAAGTATTGCTGTGTGTTTCAAGTGGAGGAGGTCATATTACAACTGACATTTGTCCTTGACTACTGGACATATCACACCAGCCCTGATTGCAGTTATACTTGAAGCCAGATCTACCCTTAACGTATATTCATTTTACTATTCAATAAATATTAACTTATCATGAATGGTATATATTGTTACAGTTGTAGGTTTATGGACCTGAATAGACAATAAAATAAATAAAACCCAAATTACATGGCTTCAGGGGGGGTATAACTTTTTATTAAGTTTTTAGTTAAAACATTTTTGCCTTTCTGTGATTTGCAACTTTGAGTGATTGCCTTGAAAAAGGAACCAGAGTTGAAACTGAAGTAGTAGGTGTTGGTGAGATTTTGATGGCTAAGAGCATCGGGCTCATTTTGTAACTGAAGGGGAAATTAGAACAGGTCACCAGTTCCATCTGACCACAATGCAGTTGGAATAATCACCATGGCAACCCATGACTTGTATTTTAGGGGAGAAGAATTGGAAATAAAATGACCAAGCATAAAGCTGACCCAGTCTACATGGATCTTTGTCTTTAAAACATATCTGCAATACTCATGTAGGCAGTGTATAAATAACTTGTCAGAAATATCGTTTATGCCAAGGTTCTTCTTGAATTTTCAGGATTTTGCTTCTCCAGTAGTGAGTGTGTTACTGAGCAAAAGGGGCTTTCTATCCAAAACACTAGAACCCAAAACTGTGGCACTGGGTTTTTCTTTTTAAGAAAAAAAAAAAAAAGCTGCTCCTTATTATAATTTTTGTTTATATTATAATTATGTAAGTATAATTTTAATTTTATTATAAATTTGCTTTATTATAATTTTTATTTCAGTATCACTTACAGTACAAGTGGTTTTTGGTTACGTGGATGAATTATATAGCAGTGAATTCTGAGATTTTAGTGCACCTGTCACCTGAGTAGTTTATATTGTACCAAATAGGTAGTTTTTTCATCCCTCATCCACCTCCCACTCTCTGCTTCTGAGTCTCCAAAGTCCATTACATCACTCTGTATGCCTTTGCATACGCATAGCTTAACTCCCACTTATAAGTGAAAAATAATAGTATTTTATTTTCCATTCTTGAGTTATTTCACTTAAAATAATGGCCTCATATCCCTTGCCCTGAAATTAACAGCCAGCAGGGGTGTCCTCAGTATCAAAACAAGTCGACCACACAAAGCCGTCAAAGACTCCAGGAACCCAGGTCCATGGGGTGCAGCCCTGCAAGGTGGAAAAGCTGACCAAGTCTTCCTTCCAGCCAAATCTGGAAGAAAGGCCCCTTGCCTGGAGCAGTGTTCCTGGTACCCAGGCCTCTGTGGGCATCCCTCAGCACAAAGACCCTCTCCAAGGGGCATGGGCCGGCCCTTCCAGGACCACCAGCCCAGCTCCAGAAGCCCATGGGTCATCCCCACCCTCACCTGACTGAGCTGTCCCTGAGGCTAAGGCCCAGCAGCATGAAGAGACTTCCACAGAAACCAGGGCAATAGGCTGCTCTCTGGCGGCACTGGGGGCTCAGGGTCTGGCTAGCCTGTCCCTGGCTCAAGTCACATGCCTGGAAATTAGGGTTTTCTCCTCTGCTCTTAGCATCTCCTGGGTAAACCAATAATTACCCTCCTTCATGTCTCAAAATTCACATCCATGTAAAAGGCTCTGGTGAGGGTGACATTTCCAGGAAGCCACAGCCCATGTCAACCCCCTGCAAAGCTGTGACCTTGTCCGCGGGCAGGTGAGGCGGCGGAGTTCTCCCAAAAGCCGGTGAACTGGCGCTCTGGCTGGAGAGCGCGGAGGGCGGCAGCACAATGGACAGCGTCTGGGACCTCAGGCCAGTTCCACAGCAGCCTAGGAAAGCAGGCGGCTCCTGTGCTGGAGGAGGCGTGATGCTCTGGAGGGAAACCGAGCTGAGCAGCGAGAGGTGGGGTGAGGCTGAGACCCGCCCGATTTAGGCAAAGATGAGGTGCACTTCGCAGCGTCACACTCTTCTCACTGCCCAGCCCCGACTTGCCCCTTAAGTCCCTCTCTGGACTCACTCCCCTTAGCCAGGGATGGCACAGAATCAGTGGCCAGCATAGGTTTGGAAGCAGAGAGGTCCACACGGCTTGCGCCTCCCTCCGGGACTGCTCACCACCCCGCAGCCCGGCGCTTGCTGGGACTGTAGGCCGGTAGCCCTGCGACCAACAGCCGAAAGCGGTTAAGAAACTACTCCCAGAATGCCTGGCGAGGCGCGCACCACGCGGCCCCTTCCTCCAGGCATTCGCACCACCCCCCACTCCCGTTGCATGCTGGGATTGTAGTTGATCGCCTGCGATCAACGGCCGGAAGCGGCTAAAACTACTCCTGCCTGCATACCCCGCAGGAGCAAACCGCGCCATGTCTCCCTCCAGGGATCCGCACCGCTCACAATCCTGTTTAGTGCTGGGATTGTAGTCCTGCGAGCCTACGACTAATAGCTGGGTGCGGATAAGAGACTACAGCTCCCCCCATTCCCAGCAAAGGTCCCTCCTCCACCGAGCTCCTCCAGGCTTCCAGTGCAGTTCCGCCGTGCGGAGGGAAGCTTGGCTGTTCACAAACCTCTCCTGCCCGCGAGGAGACAGCTTGGCCAGGGCGGCTGATCTCACCTTGTCATTGTGACACGGTGTCTCCCCAACGTGCTGGCTTCATGACTTGTGCCCAGAGTTTGATTTTCCACAGACCAGGTAGAGGCCAAGAGCCTCTCACAGACTCTGCAGCAGGGTTGCTATGGTAACGCTTGCGCCCCCGCCCCCCCCAGCAGCCGGCTCGACACCGCCCTTTCCCTCTGAAGGGCCACTCGTTTTAGCCACGTCCTCTTATTGTCCCTCCCCTGGCCACACCCCTTCAGACATGCGTAGTGCTCCCCTTGGTCCAGCGCGGGAAGCTCCCTCGTGAGTGTCCGAAACTATTAGCTCACTCACTGCCTCATGTGAAGGTACCCAGTCTCTGGTAACCTGGCACTTCCCTTTTGAAAACCACCTTTTTCTCTCTCTCTGGGCTGCCACGAATCCCCCTGTACTCCCCAGATGCACCTGTTGGACCCCGGGCTGGCTGCATGGCCCACACCTGGGTCAGGCCTCGCACAGGGGCGCTCCTGCCACTATAATAACGATGAGAAAATGTCCCAGGGGAAAGGCCTGACCCTGCTGCATCCAGTCAGGAAACTGCCACGGGGAAGGGACCACCTAAACTACTTTGCGAGCCACATCCACCACTTCTTTGTCCCCCACCCAGGCTGGTTCCCAGGCCTTGGGGTCCTAGTGTAGACCTCCCGGCCATAACTAACACAGGTGCAGGACCAGAGAGCGCCTTGGTTCCTCCCAACACATGAGGAAGTTTGTGTGGTGAGGTTTGGACAGTGTCTTTGTTTTTGCTCTGAATAGGGTGCCCTGGAAAAATCTTTACCTCTTATTAAATACTCCCTTTGGAACCACTTTTAAGACTTTGCCGATGGAACTTAACAGTGATCATTTATTGAATCCATTTTTCTATTCGCTTTTTTAGATTAACTCTTAAGTACTCCACAACTACACGCTTTTGAAACTGGCGTTGGCATAGCGTTAGTTCTGTGCAGGGCGGACGCAGCAGGACAGAATCTCCCTGGGCATCTTTTCGGAGCATCAATTTTACTGCAAAATTTTGAAAAAACAAATTTAATTGATTTCCAAGGTAAGAAATTAAACCTTGAAAAATAGACTAAAGAGTCATCTGCACCTGACATATCAGACTTTCTGCAGGAAGAAAACTCTAAGGAGAGCATATTGTCCATTATTATAAATAGTGAAAATGAGAAATCATAGCAAGTCCCTTGAAAACCCTGCCCTGCCAGTTTTCTAATAGGGCCTTGGTATGGTTTTATGTGTATTTTCTTTTGAAGTGTGCTCATCTTTTGAATATACAAATTTGAGGTTTTGACCAAATTTTGCAAGTTTTCAGCTATGAGTTGTTTATTTGCTCTTGTATCATATTTAATTTTTCTGTCTCTCCCTCTCCTTCTCGGACTCAGTCATTCCACAGGTCTCTAAGGAGCTTTTCATTTTCTTCAAACTTGTTTCACTCTTCAGATTGGATGATGATGATTTCTATTGCTGTCTTCTGTTTCTACTCTGTTTATAAACTCAAAGGTCTTTTTAATTTTTCATTTCATTATCTCTGTATCCCATTCTTTTTATAATTTTCATTTCTCTGTAATGGAGTCTCGCCGTGTCACCCAGGCTGGAGTGCAGTGGCTGATCTCAGCTCACTGCGCCCTCCTCCTCCCAGGTTCAAGTGATTCTCCTGCCTCAGCCTCCCAAGTAGCTGGGACTACAGGCACACGCTGCCACACTCAGCTAATTTTTGTATTTCTAGTAGAGATGGGGTTTCACCATGTTGGCCAGGATGGTCTCAATCTACTGACCTCATGATCCACCCACCTCGGCCTCCCAAAGTGCTGGGATTACAGGTATGAGCCACCGCCCCCAGCGTTTCTGGTGTTTTATCAGAGGAGCAAAACCTGAGGTAATTCAGATTCTGCTCTTTGTTATCTTCTAGGAGTTTTGTGAGTTTTCCTCCTATATAGGTCTATGATCCATTCTTAGTAATTTCTGTGAAAGTTGTCAGGTCTGGGTTTAGGGTTTTTTTTTTTCTTCTTTTCTCTTGTATGTGGATGTCCAGTTGTTCCAGTACTGTTTGTTGAAAAAGTATTGTTTCTCAATTGAATTTCCTTTGCTTTTTCCTCAAAGATAAGCTGACTATATTTCATGGGTCAATTTATGAGCTTTATCTTTTGTTTGATTGATCTGTTTCTCTATTATTTTTTACCAGTACCGTGTTTTGATTACTGTAGCTTTATAGTAGTGCTTACAGTTGGGTAGTGTCATTCCTATAACTGTTCTTTTAAAATATTTTCTTGGTTATTCTGAGTCTTTTACCTTTCCATATAAACTTTAGAATCAGTTTGTCAATATCCACAAACTAGCTTTGTGGAATTTTGATTGGGATTGCACTGAATATGTAGATCTAGTTGGGAAGTACTGACGTTTTAACAACGTTGAATCCCTCTTTACTTGAATGTGGATTATCTCTCCATTTATTTAGATCTTCTTTGATGTTTTCACAGTTTTGTAGTTTTCTTCATATGGTTTCTATATTTATATTTATTTTCTTATATTTGTACCTAAAGAATTTCATTGTTATTGGTGCTAGCATAAATGTCACTGAATTTTTAAATTTCAAATTCTAATTACATTACTGATATATAGGACAGTAATTGACATTTGTATATTAATCTTATATTGTGCAAAGTTGCTATAATTGCTCATTAAAATTGGTTATTCTAAGATTTTGTTTTGTGATCTTTTTGTATTTCTCCATAGGCAATTATATCATCTGTGTAAAAAGACTGTTTTATTTCTTCCTTCCCAGTCTATGTACCTTTTCTATTCTTGTCTTATTGCATTACCTAGGGCTTATAGTATAATATCATATAGGAATGGTGAGAGGAGACATCTTTGCCTTGCTCCTGATCTTAGCAGGAAGGAATCTAGTGTTTCTACATTCAGTATGAGGTTAGATGCAGGTTTTTTTTTTTTTCTTGAGATGTCGTCTCGCTCTGTCACCAGGCTAGAGTGCAGTGGTGTGACCTCAGCTCGTTGCAACCTCCGCCTCCCGGGTTCAAGCAATTCCTTGCCTCAGCCTCCCAAGTAGCTGGGACAACAGGCACGCACCAGCATGCCCGGCTACTTTTTTGTATTTTAGTAGAGACGGGGTTTCACCATGTTGGCCAGGATGGTCTCAATCTCCTGACCTCATGATGCACCCACCTCAGCCTCCCAAAGTGCTGGGATTACAGGCGTGAGGCACTGTGCCCGGCCAGGTGCAGGTTTTTTTAATAGACATTATTTATGAAATTGAGGAAGTTTTCCTCTATTTCTAGTCTGCGGAGAGTTTTTCTCATGAATGGGTTTTGGATATTGTCAAATGATTTTTCTGAATGTACTGATGAAATCTTATCTTTTTAAAACTTAATATGATGAACTAATTTTTTTTAAAGACAGAGTCTTGCTATGTTGCCCAGGCTTAGTTTGAACTCCTGGCCTCAAGTGATCCTCCCTCCTTGGCTTCCTACTGCATTAGGATTACAGGTATAAGCCACCACACTTAGCCTAATTTATTTTCAAATGTTGAACCAGCCTGGCATGCCTGTAATAAATCTCACTGGGTTGCAGTATATAATTATTTTTTACATTTTTGGACTTGATTTCTTAATATTTTGGTGAGGATTTTTGCATCTTTCTTCATGTGAGATATTGTCCTGCATTTTTTTCTTGTAACGTCTCTGTCTGAATTTGACACTATGGTAATCCTGGCCCCATTGAATAGTTTGAAAGTATTCACTCTGCTTCTGTTTTCTGGAGGAGATTGTAGAGGGTTGGAATAATTTCTCTTAAATGTTTGCATAAATATACTAGTTACCTCATCTGGGTCTGGTACTTTCTATTTGGTAAGGTTACTTATCATTGACCCAATTTCTTTAATAGATGTAGTACTATTCAAATTGTCTGTTTCTTATTGTGTGAGTTTGGGTAGGTTGTTTCTTTCAAAGAATTTGTCTGTTACATTTGGGTTACCAAATTTGTGGGCAAAGAGTGGTTTATAATGTTTCTTTATTATTCTTTAATTCTTCATGGGATCAGTAATGATAGATCCTCTTTCATTTCTGAAATTAGGACTGTGTCTTCTGTCTTTTTCAACCAAAACTAAAAAGGAACGTTTTAAAAAGTGAAAGCTATTTTTGATAAACTATCTAATTTCCCATGATCTGCAACTGTGGGTACATAGGAAGTACATGGAAACAGATGTTTGGCAGAGCTTGCCAACAAATTCTTTTCTGCATCAAGAAGGCATGCCTCTCAGCATGACACTCTTAAGAGGCAGAAATGTGACAAAAGAAGGATGCGATCTGCTCCTGGTGAAGAGCCACCTGACTCTCCCTCAGCTGCACATAGTGGCCTTAACGTGCATCTTGCTAGAAGGGGCATGCAAGCCAGGGGCTGCCAGCCAAGCCATACAGGCCAAGGACAGTTTCAAGTCTGCCTTTTATTTCATCGAACTGTTGTTCTAGTAAGCAGCTAGAGTTTTATGAACACTGTAAACTCTTTATCATATTTCTTTGCTATTTCTGGAGGATTTGTTCTAGGAGTCCTCTTGGATACCAAAATGCATGGATGTATAAGTTCTTTATATATAATGGCATAGTATTTACATATAACCTATGCATATTCTCCTGCATACTTTAAATCTTCTCTAGATTACTTTTAATACCTAAATTGTTGTTATGCTGTGTTGTTTAGGGAATAGTGAAAAGAAAAATAAAATTCTGTAAATGTTCAGTACAGAAACCTTATTAAAATATTTTTGATTCACATTTGTTGAATCCAGGAATGCAGAAATAAGGAGGGACAGCTCTACCTATGTTTGGAGTCCATGAATGTGTCATCTTGCTGTGTTTGTAAATAGAAATTTATTTCACAAAATGACTCAACTGCTTCTTCACTAACATGTTCAAAAACTTGCAAGAAGCAGCCAGGCATGGTGGCTCACACCTGTAATCCCAGCACTTTGGGAGACCCAGGCAGGAAGATCACCTGAGGTTGGGAGTTCGAGACTAGCCTGACCAACATGGAGAAGAATCGTGTCTACTAAAAATACAAAATTAGCCAGGCACGGTGGCGCATGCCTGTAGTCTCAGCTACCTGGGAGGCTGAGGCAGGAGAATTGCTTGAACCCAAGAGGTGGAGGTTGTGGTGAGCCGAGATCGCACCATTGCACTCCAGCCTGGGCAACAAGAGCAAAATTCCGTCTCAAAAAAAAAAAAAAAAAAAAAAAGAGAGAGAGAGAGAAAAGAAAAGAAAAACACTTGCAAGAAGCAAAATAAGAATTGAGAAAGGGGAAAGATGATGACTGAGAGTTGGAAGGTTGCACATTTTCACAGAAAAGTAGAACGGAATTGTAACAAGCACTCTGATAGGAAATCATAGTTTATGTCTCGCAACTGTCCCTGAAAAAATACAATGGTTGGCAGAAAAGACAAGAAATGAGATAGACTATAAATTAACTGGAGAAGAGAAAAAATAATTCCCAGAAGTAAATTGTCAACGAGTTTGAAAGCAGGTAAAATGTAGGTGCATTATCCCTACTCTTTCTGAATAATTTTACAACCTTGTGCAACAGGAGCTTCTGTCACTGCAGAACCAGGGTCACCTGTGGAAAATCCTTGCTGAAGCCATCTCCCTGTCTGCCTGTCCCTCAGGCCCAGGAGTCATGAGTCCTTTCTCCAATAAGTCATTCAGTTGGCTGGCAGCAAACCCTGGTAAGATTCTTCAAGGCAGCTACTTTTTATCTTAGATTTTAACAGAAACTCATGAAGAAAAGTCTTAAGACCTAAACTCCCAAGTCCCTTACTGTATCATTTTGAGTATTAGGAAATCAGTCAGAGGTCTTTTCAGCATCTCTGAAATCACAATGCAAAAATAGCCCCAGCTTCATAAGGCCGATTCTTGGTATCTCTGTTCTGCAAAGTAGGGTAAGCAAGATGCCACAAAAGGCAGGTTGAATGCAGCATTATCCTCACTCCACCAACAGAACTATCATACTTTAAGTAACCCAGCAGGTCTTTAAAATAAAGAAATTATAAAACATAAGGAAAAACTTTCTTGAGAGGAAAAAATTTACAAATCAGAGGAAAATCTTCTAGAACTTTTACATCTTATAACAAATAAATCATATGCTTTATTGTTTTCCTCTGAGTACATCATCAGTACTTCCATAATACTTCTAATTTTTGGCTTGAAAACACCAGTTGCTTAAAAAAACACAGGGACACAAAACAAAATCCCAGAAATGTATAATTATTTTTTTTAAGCTGACAAAGGAGTAACACACCACTGACTTCTCAGGGAAAAGCTTTCAAGCAAAGCAGTCATTTCTGGTGGGGATTATAGAAGAGGGAGTTATCATGGTGAGATGGTGGAACTAATCCAGAACAAGCCAGATTTTTAGTATTGACAAAGGGATTTAATCAGTTGCCCAGGAATACTCACTCACTTGGAAATCAAACTTCCATCATTATTCTTGGAAGAATTTCTGGAACTTCCCCTTTGGAAACAAATTTTTATCTTCAAAAATACCAGACAATAGAAGAAAAGAAATGAAAAAGGAGGCAGAGGAAGATGAATCTTGCTTAGGCAGGGACTGAAAGGGAATTCGTGGCCATAGGCCACATTTTTCAGCGCCCACTGTGTGACGGCTTTCCCCAGGACCACACGTGTGCCACTGAACAAGAAGAGTCCACAGGGACCTTCACCTTATTCCTCCCCAACATCAAAACCAAAATGGAACAACCTACCATGAGAATATGAGTATATATCACAACTTCCATTACATTTAAAGCATGCAGAGTATCTAATTGCAAATTCAAACAGTGGAAAAACAAATCTACTTGCCTCCTGGCCACAGCCTTACTCTTTTAAGAGAATGTGGTCTATGCTTTCTAATCCCATCACCAGGGATAAATAACCACAGGTTTGTGTGACATAGAACCACCTCCATGCAGAGGTAAATATGCATTTATTTTTTATAAAATAAGAATTATACTCTGTACTTTTATACCATACTTTTAGAATATAACAGTTCTTATGATCATTTTATAATTATTTGAAACAACCTCCGTAGCTATATAACATTAAATCAAAAGAACATTTCATAATTTTACCATTTTCCTATTGGACATTGAGTTTGCTCTCATGAAGTTTATATTTGTGTGATGATTTGGGGGAAGTTTCTCGGCCTCACTAGATTGAACACCTTGTGATGGTGGTCACTGTTATATTCTTTTTTATTTTTATTTTTTGAGACAGAGTCTTTCTCTGTTGCCCAGGCCGGAGTGCAGTGGCATGATCTCGGCTCACTGCAACCTCCACCTCCCAGGTTCAAGCGATTCTCCTGTCTCAGCTTCCTGAGAAGCTGGGATTACAGGTGCACGCCACTATGCCCAGCTAATTTTTGTATTTTTAGTAGAGACGAGGTTTTGCCATGTTGACCAGGCTGGTCTTGAACTCCTGACCTCAGGTGATCCCCCCGCCTCGGCCTCCCAAAGTTCTGGGATTACAGGCGTGAGCCACCATGCCCAGCCCTATTCTTATTTCATTAAAATACCTGAAACATATCAGGTATATTGCAGCATCTGTTGAATGAATGAATGAATCTCTCCTTCAAATCTTGGCTAAAGTCTGCCTCATCCACAAAAGTTCCTGACCCTCACTTCAATCATAAACCTCTTTCTCTTCTATAATTTCCCATGTAGCTGTTTGTTTGTTTTTTTTTAACTCCCTGGCAGGAAAAAGAGGAAACATGCTATTTATTGAGCACTATTCTGAGTCAGGGACTGTGGTAAATACATTCAAGAAGAAAGCATCAAAAGGGCTATACGTCAGCCTAGACAGTGTGCCCCAGAGGGTCCTTGACTGAACATTTGGTGACGAGCATGTTGGGCATGTGCTCTAGGCTGAGGTGCAGCTCTTATGCCACAGACTGACCCTGGATCAATTATGGCTCAAGTCCCACCCTGAAATCTCTCTTTCCCATTTCTAGGTTTGTCAAGGAGGACAGAAACTCAGAGCACCCTGCACTTGGGGATCGGCACTAGGAGCTGCTCTCTGGATGGGGAGATGGGAGCTAGCAGCTCACAATGGGGTCACAAGGTAAGTTCCAAACAGCTCTGTCACAGAGAGCGTCAGCAGATCGCAAAGAAAGGGAGCATGTGAAGGAGAAAGCCCTGAGTGATGTCACAGCTCATTTCTGGGCAAAGGGAGAAGAAATTAGCACCCTGAGGCCCTTCCGCCTTATTAACCCATTGCACTTATTCTCAGAGGCTCCTGCCAAAAATAGAGACATTATTCCACCTCCACCTCCTCAAATTCTAAGCCAGAAATATGTGTGTGTTATCATTCAACTTATATCATTTTTTCCTCCTTAAATGATATTTTCACCACTAATAAATTTATCAAAATTGTACTTCACATGTGTAATACAGAAGAAACAAGGCTTCCTTCAACACTGAATTAATGAAAAACAACTCAGGATATTTACTTTTCTTCACACCATAAATTTTGAAGAGCTTTTTCGTTATGCACTGTGTGTTACAACATATGTGCTTAAGCAGTCAAGCAAGTATCTCATATCTGAATTGGAAAGCTTTAGAGTATTGACAAAGAAGATGTATGTATGTATGTGATGTTGCTGGCCTAAGACAGGCCACTGCTACTGCACACAGAGCAACTGTATGTTAACAACTGCTGTGCTAGGGGCGTGTCCCCTGAAGTTAGTGTTGCTAGCATGGAATTGAAAATATTTATGAGTCTCAGACATGGCATCACGGTGTTTGACTATTATTACATTAGTTACTTTTAGTCACTGTTTTATTACAACATTTTAATGTACATTTGTTCACAGTGTAAAGAAACTGAAGTTTTTGTTTGTTTGTTTTTTCTTTGTTTCTGTTTTTGTTTTTAACTTTTATGGTTGTGTGCCCATGGGCCCCCACAAGAGGTCTCTGTTTGATCTCATTTCTGTGCTAGTGATATTTCTAGGAGTCCAATAATATGGGGCATGTTATAATATACCTTTTAGAATGAAGAAAAAGTGGTTACGTATACATTCTCCTACATCAAAAAAAGGCGCAAGAGCTGGCAGGTTTCTTTGGGTTATGAGAAACCCATTCCTAGTTTGAGTATGATACCGTGGCCCATTCAATGAATGTAATGGAAAACTGCTACTTTTAAATTGGGCACAGAATAATAGAAGGCCTGCAAAAAGTCCAGAGTGCAATGCAAGCTACTTTGCCACTTGTGCCATATGACTGCAGATGCAATGGTTTTTGAGGTGTGACTGGGAGATAGGAATGCTGTTGTATCTTTGATAGGTTGCTATACATAAAGCCTGGTGTAGGTCCTTATAATTTTGGAGCAGAGCCTTAAAACCTTCTGCAGATAATTCTTTCTTTCTTTCTTTCTTTCTTTTTTTTCTTTCTTTTGAGGCAGTGTCTGCCTCTGTCAACTTGGCTAGAGTTCAGTGGCATAATCATGGTTCACTGCAGCCTCAACTTCCTAAGTGCAAGCAATTCTCCAGTCTCAGCCTCCTGAGACTACAGGTGCATGCCACCACATTCCATGGATTTTAAATATTTTTGTACATATGGGGGCTTGCTGTGTGTGCCCAAGCTGGTCTCGAAATCCTTGCCTCAAGCAGTCCTCCTGCCATAGCCTCCCAAAGTGGTGGGATTACAGTTGTGAGCCACCACAATCAGCCTTACCTTTTGAAACTATTGTAAATGGAATTGTTTCTTCATGTCATGTTGAGATTGTTCATTGCTAGTGTATAGAATTTTTATTAATATTTTTATATTATTTTAAATCATGCAATCTTAACTCATTTATTATAGTGGGTATTTGTGAATTTTCTTTTTTCTTTTCCTTTCTTTTCTTTTTTTTTTTTTTTTTTGAGACGGAGTTTCACTCTTGTTGCCCAAGCTGGAGTGCAATGGCGTGATCTTGGCTCACTGCAACCTCCGCCTCCTGGGTTCAAGCAATTCTCCTGCCTCAGCCTCCCGAATAGCTGGGATTACAGGCGCGCACCACCACGCCTGGCTAATTTTTTGTATTTTTAGCAGAAACGGGGTTTCACCATGTTAGCCAGGCTGGTCTCGAACTCCTGACTTCAGGTGATCCCCCCGCCTCGGCCTCCCAAAGTGCTGGGATTATAGGCGTGAGCCACCACGCCTGGCCGAATTTTCTAGAAAGTTTTATATACAGGATGTCATCTGAATAGGCTTCCGATCTTTATCTGAAGGTCATGAATTTATTTTTGTTCCATGATATTTCTGGCCAAAATCTCCAGTATACTGTTAAAATAGAAGTGGTAAAAATATATTCTTGTCTTGTTTCCAAACTAACGTTCTCAAACCCAAGATTTCAACATTATGCATGATATTAGCTGTAGGTTTTTAATAGATGTCTTATAGCAGGTGTAAAAATTTTGCTTGTGTTTCTAGTCTAGTTAGGGTTTTTTCATAAACGGGTCTAGATTTGTCAAATGTTCTGTGTTTTTCAGAATGATCATTTTGATATTTTATTGTTTTATTAAGCTGTATTATATTGACTGATTTTTGAATGTTAAATTTGTATTGTGAGATACCCCTCTTGGTAATGGTGTCCAATAATTTTCATTTGTGGCTACATTTATTTTGTTATTATTTTTGTGGATTTCTGTGTCAATATGGATAAGGGATAATAGTCTATAGTCTCGTAGTGATTTTTCCTGACTTTTGTCTGGGCAATACTGGCCTCATGGAATGAATTGGTAAGTTTCTTCTGTTATTCAGTTTTGTTTTGTTTTGTTTTTTTGTGGGGCAGTCAACTAAAAGACCTGGTTTTAACTCATTATTAAATATTTGGTCAAATTTACAAGTGAAACTATCTACTGAGCTTTTCTTCATAGAAAAAGTTTAATCTCTAATTGTTTTGGTTCTATTCATATATTCTACTTATTCTTGAACTTACTGTAATAACGTATGCATATTATCCACTAATCAATTTCTAATTTGTAGCATACTATCTTTTTATATTTTCATTGCAATAAAAAGTAAAGGGAAGAATAATGTGGAAAGACAAAGATTTTGGCAATCCATGTTTCCCTAGTGTCTCAGGGTCCTCTGTTGTAGGGAGGAGATTATTGTACTTGTTGTACTTAATACTCACATATGTTCATGAAGTAGATGGGACCCATCATCTAAAGTAAATTAGAGAACTTTGCAAAATGTAACCAAAATAAAAGTTTGTGCCTACCTCTCTTTTAATCAATATTTAGACGGGACAGGAATATAAATTTCAAGAAAAACAAATACATATTTCTTGGAGGCTTTGTTGATTTCTTTTTACTGTTTTTTTCTCTAAACTTCTCTTCTTGCTTCATTTCATTCATTTTATCTTCAATCACTGATACCCTTTCTTCCAGTTGATCGAATTGGCTACTGAAGCTTGTGCATTCGTCACATAGTTCTCGTGCCATGGGTTTCAGCTCCATCAGGTTATTTAAGGACTTCTGTTAACCGGTTATTCTAGTTAGCCATTCGTCTAATCTTTTTTCAAGGTTTTCAGCTTCTTTGCAATGGGTTCGAACTTCCTTCTTTAGCTCAGAGAAGTTTGATGGTCTGAAAACTTCTTCTCTCAACTTGTCAAAGTCATTCTCCTTCCAGCTTTGTTCTGTTGCTGGCAAGGAGCTGTGTTCCTTTGGAGGGGGAGAGGCACTCTGATTTTTAGAATTTTCAGCTTTTCTGCTCTGTTTTTTCCCCATCTTTGTGGTTTTATCTACCTTTGGTCTTTGATGATGGTAATGTACAGATGGGATTTTGGTGTGGATGTCCTTTCTGTTTGTTAGTTTTCCTTCTAACAATCAGGACCCTCAGCTGCAGGTCTGTTGAAGTTTGCTGGAGGTCCACTCCAGACCCTGTTTGCCTGGGTATCAGCAGCAGAGGCTTCAGAACAGCGAATATTGCTGAACAGCAAATGTTGCTGCCTGATTGTTCCTCTGGAAGCTTCATCTCAGAGGGGTACCCGGCCATGTGAGGTTTCAGTCTGCCCCTACTGGGGGGTGCCTCCCAGTTAGGCTACTCGGGAGGCACCCTGTCCGTTCTTGAGGAGGCAGTCTGTCCGTTCTCAGATCTCAAACTCTGTGCTGGGGGAACCAGCACTCTCTTCAAAGCTGTCAGACAGGGACATTTAAGTCTGCAGAGGTTTCTGCTGCCTTTTGTTCCATAACTATAGTTATTAATAATGTATTGTACACTTGAACTTTGATAAGAAAATAAAACTCAAATAGTCTCACCACACTAGGAAAAGGCAACTAGGTGAGGTGTGAGGGACATGTTAATTCGCTTGATTATATTAATAATTTCACAATATATAACTTTATTAGAACATATATGTAAGGTGATACAACTTATACAATTTTTATTTGTCAATCATATCCCAATTAAAATGGAAAAATTAAGTGTAACCAAACTAATGTCTAGCCACATGCAAATTTTATTTAGACCCATTTAAATAAATTCTAGATTTTCAATATAAAATCCAAACTGACATAATTTTTACAGAATCAGGAAAATTCTAATGAGGAAGCATGATATTAAAGATATAATTGAATAGTCATAATACCTAATACCCCTACATAATACCATAATATCCCTACTTATTAAAGTAGGGGTAAATTAAAATATTTTCAAAAGCTAAAATTTTGAGAGATTTGATTACCAACAGGAGCTTAAGAGTACCTTTTAAGAAAAAAGAAACATTTACTAATATGAAGTTAAAATGAAAATTAAAGAGAAAAAGATTTGATATGAGAATATCAATTTATGGTAGATATTGAACTTAGCAAGCTATAAAGTCCTTAGTAATATCAGCTTCAAAAGTATTCATATATAATTTTAAAAGGTGATCTTATACACATTGGTTAAATCAGATAAAAAATGAGCTACTTGAGCAGTTTAAATAATAGCAGATGACTATTTTTCAGAAAACGTTTTTCATCAATAGCTTGTTAAAATTGGTGGCACATCAATTACAATTCTGCAGAATACTTTTTTTTTTAATCAGAACTAATTTGTCCCAGTGGAATAACAGTGGCATATGCATTGAGCACAAGCCTCCGGAAATTCAGGACAACTGGGTCATACACCCATAACAGGATTGAGGATGTTGAAATAAGAAGGTTCATAGGATACATGACCACAAAGCAACTCATAACAGCAGGATGGTCTGGGTGGCCCTTTTCTCTGAGGAGATTCTTGGAGAGATGCTGGTGCTGTGGAGCTGGGATTGCTTCTGATTTCTGAAAAAGAGGATCCACATGAATGCACTTGAGAGCAGCATAACTCTGACAAGGAAGGCATCCCTGGATAATTTCACTCCCTGATGATGAGGTTCATGGGGAAAAGTGAGCAGTGTTTACTGACATTCAATAGATCAGTCTGAGTCACATTTGAAAAATACACAGTGAAGAAGATTAGGCTGCTACTAAAAGACAAATTGAAGAACCAAAAAAGAAGAAAAACATTGGTAATGTAATTTGTAAATTTATGTTTAAACCTTGCCAACCATGAGTTTCTGGGACTGACGGTGATGGCCTGGAGCACACTCAAGAGCCAGGGGGGACAGAGGGAGATGCCTCTTATCACCCTTTTTGTGTAAAATAATAGCTTACATTTAAAGCCATTCCCAAATTCAGTGATTCAAACACAACTTGAGGAAAAAAATCCACTGCAGTAAGGAGCATTAGAATATGACTGAGGACCAAGTGGCAGATGATCAAGTCATGGAACTTTGGCCTGGGATCCAGAAGAAATGTAAAGATTTGAAAGAAAAAAAAAATGGTATTGATGAATAATCCAATGCCAACTCGAAAAATAAAGGCACTTGTTAATGATAACATAAGTAAAAATTGTTTTCATCTTAATGACATAGAAGAAACATTTTTGTATGTCTGGAAGAAACAATATACCTCACATCATCAATGTTCATTCTAAAGTGACATTATCCCAATCATCATTATTTTTATTTTGCTCATTTATTCATCATTAAGCTTATCTCATATGAATTCTTGACAATCTTCATTATTCATCATTAACCTTATCTCATATGAATTCTTAACAATCTACCTTCTGTGTTATTTTGTACAGTAAATAATATATACATTACATGTTGTTTTGGTTACTATAACTCTGTAGTATAATTTGAAGTCAGGTAATGTGATTCCCTTAGTTTTATTCTTTTTGTTTTATTTAGTTTTTTTCTAGGTCTTTTAAGGTTTCATATGAATTTTAGAATTTTTTTCTTATTTCTGTGAAGAATGTCATTGGTATTTTGATAGGAATTGCATTGAAACTGAGATTGCTTTGGCTAGTATAGACATTTTAACAATATTGATTCTTCTAATCTATAAAAAGCAAATTAAAAAAAAATTTTGTGTCCTCTTCAATTTTTTAAAAATCAGTGTTTTATAGTTTTCATTATACAGATATTTTACTTCTTTGATTAAGTACATTGCTAGGTATTTCATTTTATTTGTGGCTATTTTTTCTTCAGTTTCTAATGTTACTCATTTCTGTCTCATACCTCATTAGATTGGCCTTTAATGTCCATATTTTTACCAACATTGTCTTCAAAATTATTTACATATTTTCTAAGAAGATGAAAACTTCCTCTGCAGTTGTATTTTCTTCCTGAGCCCTCATCAGAATTCAGCTTGATTACATATTTTTAATATGCACTTCCAAACTCTTTGATGCCTTTATACATCATTCAGTTCCAAAGCTGCTTACACATTTAGGTGTTTATTATATCAGGACCCCACTTCTCCATATCAAAATCTGTATTAGCATCCTTTAGATGCTATAGTAGAATACCATAGACTTAGTAGCTTAAACAATAGGTATTTCTTTCTTGTAGCTCTGGAGACTGAAAAGTCCAAGATCAAGGTGCCAGCTGATTCAATTCCTCAGCGAACTATCTCTTCCTTGCTTGAAGATAGCCACCTTCCCTCTGAGTTCTTGCATGATAGATAAAAAGCATGCTCTGGCTGGGCATGGTGGCTCACACCTGTAATCCCAGCACTTTGGGAGGGCGAGGTGGGTGGATCACCTGAGGTCAGGAGTTTGGGACTAGCCTGGCTAACATGGTGAAACCCTGTCTCTACTAAAAGTACAAAAATCAGCTGAGCGTGGTGGTGTACACCTGTAATCCCAGCTACTTGGGAGGCTGAGACAGGAGAATCGCCACCATGTGCCACCATGCCTGGCTAACTTTTGTATTTTTAGTAGAGATGGGTTTTCACCATGTTAGGTAGGCTGGTCTCAAATTCCTGACCTCAGGTGGTCCTCCTGCCTCGGCCTCCCCAAGTGCTGGGATTACAGGCAAGAGGCACCATGCCAGCCAGAGTTGGTTCTTGATTTTAACATCCCAGTTGGCAAACTCTGCATGTTGATTGTTGAATACTTTTATATTTAATGTTTCTAAATTTTGTTTTCTACATGTCTCATTTTTTTCTTTCCTTAACTGCTTTCTTTTGCATTAAGTAAATACATTTTATCTTACATTTTAATATCTATATGGCTTTTTTCTTTGAGTTATTTAATTACTGTTCAGACTAGGATTTAATACATACATTTTAACTCATCAGAATCTGCTTCAGATTTCTTTTTTTACTAGAAGCATCTATTTATTGCACAGTTCCAGGTTCTTTCCAAATAAGCCACAGCCCAGTGCTTTATTCAGACATACGTACTGTCCAGCCAGTTTGGAAGAAGGAAAGAAAAGTCAGGCACAAATAAAGACACAGAAGTGTTGGGGAAGTGCACTAGAAACCATTTATTTCATTTGAAATGACAGAAGTTTGAGAGGAGGGGGCAAACAAATAAGATCTAATAAGTTAGCTGGATTTGTCAATGATAACATAGTGATAGTAGCTGATTATAGAGTGTACCGGGTTGGAGAAAGCAGGAAGACATATAATTGCAAACATTTGAAGTCTGCAGGGCAGGTGTTGAGTGTGGGAACTGTTTGCTTGAGCATTAGAGATGAAATGTGAGAGAGATACTTCAAAATGAAGCTAAACAGTTTGATCTAGTACCCAGGTAAAAAATGTATTGGTTTGTTAAAAGAAATCTTCACTTTAACACAAGATAGTGTTTGGTTAAGAAAGTGGGCCACAAATATGATAGTCATAACAATTAAGGTTAAAGTTAGAGCTAATTACACAAAGATGTGGCTAGTTGTTGTCACAAAATCAAAACTGAATAGTGTTTAAAATGTGGATGTTCTCCTGCTGGATATGTGAGATCCAGTGTCTCTTGAGTAGAAGGAACCGAGGAGACTGAAGGTTGGGGTTGACAGAACACATCACCATGGGAGGCATGGCCATTTAGAACTCCATGTCTAAATAAGCTATATTGCAAAGAACAGTGCCGATCCTAACCCTCGGTGTTGCTTAAATAGATGGAACCCTTCTGCCCTCCGTAAAGAAAATTGATGAAATAGGTGGGGGAAATAAGTGTTAAAATGCAGCCTGCATTCGAATTCCAATGCCAGGTACCCTGGAGCAAGGCTGTGTCACCTGGAGAACAGAGCATTATTTCTGGGAATGTCAGTCAGAGGAGACTTTTTTTTCTTTCTCAAAAAGGTAGTTATAGTCCAGCTGGGACCCTAAGGTCATTGGATTACAATAATTGTTTTATTTGAATGGCTATGGGTGACACAGGAGGACATTATGCTCAGTGAAAATAAACCAGGCACAGAAAGGCAAATAATGTATGATCTCACATATATGAAAGCTAAAATGTTGATCTCATAGAAACAGAGAAGAAAGGTGATCACCAGAGGCTATGGTCGGGGTGGAATGGGTATAGCAAAGATGTTGATCAAAGGGTACAGGTTTCAGTTAGGCTGGGGAAAGAAGTTTTAGTGATCTATTGTACTGAATGATGACCAGAGTTCTTAATAATAAATTGTATATTTCAGAATTGCTAAAAGAATAGATTGTTAGCAATTTGGTTAGGCGATATATTAATTAGCTTGACTGGATCTTCCTATAAATCAAAATATTACATTGTACCACATAAATATACACAATTACCTTTGCCAATTAAAAAAAGAAAATTATCAGGTGCAAGGCTTCCTACTGCTATAAGAAACTTCAGTATTTACTATGAAAACATTCTTAAGTCACCAGAGTCACACTGGGAAGACTGACATGACATTCTCATTACTTAGACAGGAGTGTTATTGGGAGAATCCTGTTTTGTTGACAAATACTGAGATCATCCAACTCACCAGGCAAAGTTGACTTGTGTAAGTGATCTTCAGATATGAAAAGTGTGGAACCCAGCTGCTCCTCCTCAGATAGGTAAGTTCACTTTTCCCTTTGGTGGCTCCTTTTTCCACCAATCTCAACATCTGCTCTTATCCTTTTTCTACAGGCGACATGACAATTGTAGGCCTGGAGGGAGATGAGTTGACAACATCCCTTCCCTATAACCACTTGTTGGATCTGATCTCACATACACAGACTCACTCCAAAGACTGACCTGGGTGTCTGCTTCTCAGCTTCATTAACAGTGGGTGCTCACAAGTCTAGGTGAGTGGTGAATCGAGATAGAATTTTATTAGCTAGTTGTTAGAATTAGCTCCTAATAATTTCAGTCTGTGGTTCATTGAATTCTAACTATCATAAGAAGGTGTTTCCAGATACAAAATAATTAATCTTATGAAGTAACAAATTTATAGATTTGTAGAAAAACATTTAGATTTTTGGAGATGTTCTACTTGAATTTGTATACATTTGACTTTTCTCAATATAATAGCTGAACTCTCAATATAATTAGCTGAACTACAACTTTCTGCATTTATGTGAAGTTTTAATTTGTAAACACAGAAATCTGAACTAATAAAATTATTTAGTCATACTTCTTGCTTCTTTAAACTTTGAAGATTGCTTTATATAATTCTGATATTTTAGAACTGTTTCAAATTAGGATGTTAAAAACACAAGATATGTCTAACATTTTACAGTAATAAGATTTTAGCAGATACCCAGATTCTTTTGTTTCATTTCATTATAGTAATTGCCAATAGAGATTTTTTTCTTGTGATATTAAAACTATCTGAAAATATAATGTTCTGCTGTTTATATAAATTTCTGTTGAGCTAACTACTACCTTGTATAAATGGGGAGGAGGTGATACTCAGTGTGCTTTGAAATCTTTTCCTAAAGTAAATTGTTTTAGTATGGTATTGTTTCTAAGTAAACCAAAACTTTAAAATACTCTGTGTATTAGTTTGGGTGAGGTTATTTCATGATGAGAACAATGGTATTAAAACAATGGTATTTTCTTATTATAAAACATCCTCTTGGTTTAGTATTTCTGCTTATACCTCTGAAGACTACCAACTGCAATGTGTTCAATAAAACACAGTCCAAAATGTGACAAGTAAATTTGGTTTTTAAAAACACAAATAATCATTGTCTGTATTCAGCAGGCATATCGTCATCAAGCATGTGTGTTTCTTTAAAGTAGAAAACAGAGAGGATGAAATCAGGATAAGTAAAACACAGAAAGGAACAAATGATGATAAAATAAATTTGTGGTCCATGTGGGCATCAAAATATTAAGGAACATACTCAGTGGACAATTGCTATATTTCTGAATATGAATGAATTTGTCTTAAAATAATTTGTGTTGAAAGCCCCTGTCTTCCATGCATAGTGGAGAGAATGTCTGAGAAGAGGAGGACCTTGACTGCTCCTGAACCGGAGACCTCAGGTACACAAGGCATGCCCTCCATTTTCCTCCAAATTCTCCAGTTGAATGCAATTGGTATGACTATGATCTTCTCATTACTGTGATGCACAGATATCTGATACTAAAACACCACATAAGCATTTTCACATAAGAATTGTATATTTCGCTGGTATCTTCTAGGTTGTGTTGATTACAAAAACACATTTCCAAACAGGTTTATAGGGTTTCCCAAAATTTATAACACAAGATTTGTGGTCAAACATTTTGTGTGTTTTTCTGTCTCCTACTTTTGCTTTTTTATTCTGTTTTCTCCTTTCCTTGGGAAAGCTGAGAATTAAATGTCTTTAAGTTATAATTTCCTTGTCAGCAGCATTGTGTTCCTAGCTGTTCCTACACTAATTTCAAATTCCAAGAAAAAATAGTAGCTGTTTTATCAGTTACTCACTACTGTCTCATGTTTATTATATTTATTCTTCACCATTTATGCATTTCATAAAGGTAATTTCATGGAATTAATCTAGATGGAAAGGTGTTTTCCTTCCTGCCACTGTCAGCTATGTTTCTCAGGTTGCCAAATATTGCCATTGGGTTAACAAACTCACCCTGGCCTTGTCACCTGAAAACTTCATTATGACTTATGCTGTCCAAGAACAGCAATAGGTTGTGCAATGCTGTTCATAGAATGTGGGAAAAATTTACAAGCAAAATAATGCCATTAATTAATACAATAATAAAGCAAAACACATACATAAAGGCAGAGTACAAAGAACTGTACTAAATAATATGATTTATAAGATGATAAAACTCTAAAATTATATTACTATAAATATGAGACAATATATTACTATAAATATGAGAAAATAGATTTTATCAAATTTTATTTTCTCCAAAATATTTTTTATGCATAATAGCACTTAGGATATTATAAGTAGCTTCTTACTTTTAACATGTTTTCCTATTACTTTGGATGTCTACATTAAAAAACTTTTGTACCTAGTCTATTTGATGGTGCTATTTTCTCCACCTTTATCTGTGCTTATGTTCCTGCTTTTGAATTTACAATATTAAGATAGCCTACAGTGAAGCCATAATACTAAGAACGAACTTTAACTGCATTATCTGAGTGCTCAGGAGCTTCACGCTTAGGCCAACAATCTGGTTGTCACTGCTAATAGTAAATGCTGAGATGTACATTCAGATTTATGTATTTTAAGGCAGCTGTTAGAGGCAAATTCTCCTTTATACTCTGACCGATATGACTTTCATGTTTTTTTCTATTTTGTTTTTATGATACTAACCATGTTATCTAAATTTCATAATTCTTTCATGGTGGGGTTTCCAGATTCACCAAATAACAATTCAAGTTGTAGTTAAGTTTGAAATTCAGAAAGATGACCGTAACTTTTTAGCATAACTATGAAATATTTTGCATACTTGAATGTAATAGTTGTATGTGATACTTTGGAGATACATACACCGAAGTAGTTATTCATTTTTTACCTGAAGTTTAAATACTATGTGTTGTGCTTTATTCTCTGAACTCTAATTCACAGAACCATGGTGCTCTCCTGTCCAGGCTGAACACTAATGCTCTTGAGAGTCACATTGAAGAAAGCCAACATTTTTAAATCTAATGGATACATTCATTTTGTGGTATGTGATGTTTAGAAAGAGGGAGCTAAAGTTAGTGGTCATGAGCTAAATACCCTGTGAGGTAAGAAATGAAAATATTAACATTATTATCTATGTTCTTTTATGTGATAAATTTTACTATTTTGGGGATATGACTTGTGATAGATGCAGTATATTAGTAAAATAATTCATATATAGTTACTAAATGATTACACATATATTAGTGGTTCGTGCCCAAATATTATTTTACTGGTACTGGACTGTGATTCTTAAAATGTGGAAATTATTGTGCCTTAATACTAATCTTACACTTGTTCCCACATAGCAGTAGAAGTCAACTGTGCTTAGCATGGTTCCATACGTTGGTAGTAATTATCAGTTATTTGGTTTTTGTATTAAAGATAAATGGATTCCTTCAGTAGATTAAGATGTAGGAAAAGTGTTATAACAATTTAACAAAATATACAATATTTTCTTTATATGTTCATACATATTAGTCAGTTTTAGAGCAATATTCTCCACCATATATGACCTTCTGACTTGAAGCCAAGAACACTAGCAGAATGTCTGCATTGAAAACATAAGTAAACATTCTTTCATCTCAGGGAAAGTATCTGAATGCCTATGCACTTTTCCATTATTTATTTATTGGTGTCATCAGCTAAACTGTTCTCAGCATTAAATTGATTTATATGGTTGAAATAGTAATGCCTGCATCTAGAAAAATAACATGATAATATCATTGCAAACTTATTCAGTGAAATTTTACAAAGGGTTCTAATGTGAAAACATCTTGATTAAACTTCAAAAAAGAATCTTTTCCATAGAAGATCTAAATATTTTTAAAGGCACAGGAGGCTATCCCTCCATTAAAATCTCAAGAATAGCATCACCATGTAAATATTTCAATACAACCTCACAGATGTCAAAATGTAAAGAAATATGGTGACTGTCTTTCCAAAAATTGAAAGCTAGATTTTAACAATTTTCTTGTGAGATGAAAATAGTTTATATAATGGATCTCTCAAATTTAAAGTAAATTAGAAGATGGCCAGAATAATATTTAATAAAAATAGTGAATAAGATCGGTGATAAACAGACTAATGCTTTTCCAACGGTGTCCACATCCTAATCCCCAGACTGCAGATATATTAGGTCATGCAGCAATGGGAAATAACATTGCAGATAGAATAAAGGTTATAGTCACTTAACTTTAAAGCAGGGAGGTTATCCTGGATTACTAGGGTGAGCTTAATATAATCACAAGGGTCCTGAAATGCGAAAGAGAAATAGAGAAGAGAAAGTGTCAGAGTGATGCTGTCTTATTAGTCCATTCAAGATACTATAACAAAATATCATAGACTGAGTAGGTTATAAACAACAGAAATTTATTATTCACAGTGCTGGAGGCTGAGAACTTCAAGATCAAAGTACTGGAAGATTTACTGTCTGGTGAGGGCCTGTATCCTAGTTCAGAGATGGCACCTTCTACATGTGTCCTCACACAACTGGAAGGGCAAGCCAGCTCCCTAGAACCTCTTATAGAAGGGCGCAGATCCCATTTATGAGGGCTTTTGTTGAAAATGTCCTAACTACTTCCCAAAGGTCCTACCTTCTAATACCATTACACTGGTGGTTTGGTTTTAACATACAAATTTGGAGAAAACAGAAACATGCAGGCTGAAATTAATGTCATGTTACAAAGACTCACTTGGACATTCTTTGTTTTCAGTTGCATGTTTTGGGGGTTCTTTTACCATTAGCATAAAATTTGCTTCAGCTCAGCCATACAAACACTTCTGCATCATATACATGCCTGTCACCATTGTGTGTGCTGAATATTAAACAGTGAAATACAGAACAGTAAAGCAAAGTTTTCTAAAGAGTAAGGCCAAGAACCGTAGGAGCATAGAAAATGAGTACATTACGTAGACATGATAGTGGATATGCTGGTGTTTTACATACACTACATCATCACTTAATATCATGATAGGTTTTAGAAATGTGCAATTTTAAGTGTAAAAGTTTGTTTTATTCCATAGAAACTTAGTACCTGTTGATATCTATTAGCCTATGGTTAAATTGGTTTCATGATACAGTATATCATTTTGATTAAAGTCAATTTTTATGAACCTAGTGATTACATTAAGTGATCACTTATGTATATGTATACATATGTTAGATATGTATGTATATATGTGTGTGTGTACATAGGCTGGGCATGGTGGCTACTTTCTGTAATTCTAGCACTTTGGGAGGCCAAGGCAGAAGGATTACTTGAGCCCATGGACTTGAGACCAGCCTGGGCAACAGAGTAAGATCCTGTCCCTACAAAACAAAACAAAACGATTATGCACAAACACATTATATATATGTTACTTGGCATAAAATTAATGCTGACTATATATATGTGTAATGCTGACATATACATTTACATATAGTGTCTCTCACACACACTGAAGCATTGTGCAAATAAATACATGTAATGCCGAAGGAGTATTTTCTAATAATTTATATTACATTGTAAGTCTTAATAATTGGGAGAAATAAACATAATCATAGTTGTGATAATTTTAACTATAGAACAGCACTGAAGATGTCTAAACTTGTTTTTTCAGATATACAAATATGTTTCCTCTTTGCCACTACAATGTACATATATATCATGTATGTTATTAAAAAGCTGCTTTGTTTTACAAGTTGCTGTTGGAATCTCAGTCAATACTTTTCTGTTCCTCTTCAGCATCTTCACTCTCCTTCTGTATCACAGACTAAAACCCACTGACTTGATCATCTGTCCCTTGCCCCTCGTCCACATAGTGAACTTCTTCATTGCACTGTTATTGCAGTCTCCAAATCTGTTTGCATCATTGAACTTCAGAATGACTTCAAGTGTAAGGCACTTTTCCACCTGAGCAGGGTGTTGTGGGGCCTCTCTATCTGCACCACCTGCCCCCTGAGTGTGTTCCAGGCCACCACCATCAGCCCCAGCACCTCCTGATTGGCAAGGTTTAAACATAAATCTTCAAATTACATTATCCATGTTTTCTTCTTCTTATGGTTCCTCAACTTGTCTTTCAGTAGTAACAGGATCTTCTACACTGTAGCTGCTTCCAGTGTGAGCCAGACAAATGTACTGAATATAGGTAAGTACTGCTCAGTTTTCTCCATGAGCTTCATCCTCAGGGCCACGTTTCTTATTCTGACAACACTTAGGGATGCTTTCCTGGTAGGAATACTGCTGTTCTTAATTGCATACATGGTGACTCTCTTATTCAGGCCTCAGAGGTGATCCCACCACCTTCACAGCAATGGTCCTTCCCCAGGAGCTTCCCCTGAGAAACGGGCCATCCAGACCATACTGCTGCTGGTAAGTTTCTCTGTGGTCCTCTGTTGGGTGGATTTCATCATCTCCTTCTCCTCAGCAATGTTGTGGGCATATGGCCCAATCAACCAGCAAGTTCAGAGTCTTGTAGTCAATGTCTATGCCGTGATCAGTCCTCTGGTGCTCCTCACTTCAGATAAAAGAAGAACCAATATTCTGAAAAATACACAACAGAAGTGTCATAGATTTAATATCAATTAATAATAAAAATAATTCTTGGAAAAATGAGTTCTTCTGCCATCAGTTAAATCATTCCAGTAGCAGATAACTTACTTTAATTAATTAAAATATGTAAAAGTATACTTTTATTATATCTAAATAATTTTGAAACTGATGCTGCCAAGAACTTGGGTGATTTTTTAAGTTTGATGTGTATGTTGACTGAAGTCCCATATGTCTTAGAAGTTTCTTACATTTCATTTTGATTTTGTAAAGTTTATACAAGGAAACTTTTCTGTCTTCTTGAGTTACATCGTTAAGAAGCTCACTGTTGGCCAGGCGTGGTGGCTCACACCTGTAATCCCAGCACTTTGGGAGGCAGAGGCTGGTGGATCACCTGAGGTCAGGAGTTCAAGATTAGCCTGACCAACACAGTGAAGCCCCGTTTCTACTAAAAATACAAAAGTTAGCCGGACGTGGTAGCAGGCACCTGTAATCCCAGCTACTTGGGAGGCGGAGGCAGGAGAATTGCTTGAACCCGGGAGGCAGAGGTTGCAGTGAGGCAAGATTGTGCCAGTGCACTCCAGCCTGGGTCACAAAAGCAAAACTCCATCTCAAAAAAAAAAAAAAAAAAGAAGAAGTTCTTATTGTTTATAAAAGTGTTTTACTTTATAAATTTGTTTAGGCTACCCTCATTCATAAAAGATATTTTAGCCAGGTATCCAGTATAAGAACAATAATAATTTTTCTCGGCACTACTTCTCTGCTCTCTGACTCTACACAGGCTTTGGACATTTTGCTCTTATATTTATAGGTGGTTTCACTTTTCTTTCTCACACTTCTTTTAGTTTTCTGCTTATCTTTAGTATTTTATAGTTTGTTACATTGAGTTGTATTTTTATATCTTTTTGGTATAGTACAATTACACATTTAAATATTTGTATATCTGATTTACAACTTTAGAAATTAGTAAATTGTTTTACTACTGTGATTCATTATTTTATGTATTCTAGTGAATTGTTTTTATTCTATTTCAATACACATAATTATACTCATATTTTTATTTATTTTTATTTTTATTTTTGAGATTTACTGACTTTTTTTTATTATTATACTTTAAGTTTTAGGGTACATGTGCACAGTGTGCAGGTTAGTTACATATGTATACATGTGCCATGCTGGTGTGCTGCACCCATTAACTCGTCATTCAGCATTAGGTATATCTCCTAATGCTATCCCTCCCCCCTCCCCCCACCCCACAACAGTCCCCAGAGTGTGATGTTCCCCTTCCTGTGTCCATGTGTTCTCATTGTTCAATTCCCACCTATGAGTGAGAACATGCGGTGTTTGGTTTTTTGTCCTTGCGATAGTTTACTGAGGATGATGATTTCCAATTTCATCCATGTCCCTACAAAGGACATGAACTCATCATTTTTTATGGCTGCATAGTATTCCATGGTGTATATGTGCCACATTTTCTTAATCCAGTCTATCATTGTTGGACATTTGGATTGGTTCCAAGTCTTTGCTATTGTGAATAGTGCCGCAATAAACATATGTGTGCATGTGTCTTTGTAGCAGCATGATTTATAGTCCTTTGGGTATATACCCAGTAATGGGATGGCTGGGTCAAATGGTATTTCTAGTTCTAGATCCCTGAGGAATCGCCACACTGACTTCCACAATGGTTGAACTAGTTTACAGTCCCACCAACAGTGTAAAAGTGTTCCTATTTCTCCACATCCTCTCCAGCACCTGTTGTTTCCTGACTTTTTAATGATTGCCATTCTAACTGGTGTGAGATGGTATCTCATTGTGGTTTTGATTTGCATTTCTCTGATGGCCAGTGATGAATTATACTCATATTTTTATTACCTTTTGTTTATCTGGTGATATTTATTCTTCTAAATATTATAATTCACTATTATTTTTGTCAGTTCAGCCTAATGCCAAACACTGTGCATTGAATTTATTTATTTTTCAATTGTTCAACTTCTTTGTGGTTCTTTTCCAAATATGCTTGTTAAGTTTATAGTTTCTTGCTTTGCCAAAATATTTTCATTTTCTATTTTTTACCATTTACTTCACTTAAGCATTTTAAACACATTTTCAATATCTGAATTTTATGTGATGTCTAGTTTCTTCTAATTCTTCATCTTGGTAGCTTCTTTTGTACTTCATAGTATGTGAGAAATTATAATTTAAAAATAATTTTGGTTTTGTATTTGAGAGATTTTGTACAAAATAACTTTAGTCAGTACTTTTTTTGTTGTTTATTCCAAGAAGGTAGTTGAATAATCCCCAAAGCCTGAGGTCCCTGTGATCATCCAGTACCTGGAGGCGGCACTGGCTTCTCACTTTGATTACTCCTCTGGGTTGTTCTTTTAATTTACTTCTTGTCCTGGAAGGTTCCATGTTTTCTATTAGCTTTGGTGGGTATTTTATGAATTCTTGTAACTTCTGAGTATTTTCAGATGTCTGCATCAAATGAGATTTGTAAATACATTTTTGTTCTAAAACATCAAATATTCACCATGCATCTGTAAGTAAAATATTTCACATTGATATTTGTTGCAGAATAATGTCTCATTGGAAATCTCAACATTCTTCATTTAGAACACCACCGCCAATATCTACCATATGCCGGGATTATTGTGCAGGGTAATTTTTATTATTACTTGAATGTATATTTATATACTGCAGGAACTATACATGTTTATGGCTAGAATTACTGTTTTTCCTTAATATTAAGATAGTATTGGTAGATTTAATTATCTGAATTTAGTCATTTGGCTCCAGTCAAAATGGTTTCTCCTTAGCAGTACTCTGACTTTGTAAAAGTAATCACATTTGGATTCTGTTTCCTCCAGTAGTTTTTAAAATGATTTTTTTGATTATTCATATAACTTTTTTTTAATGATCTTTTAAAAACTAGTATGTGGTTATATATTACTTGTTACACTTTTTGTTTTCTTTATTTTTTGGTTGGTTACACCTTAAATGATTATTTCTATTGCCTTTTAATGTTACTTAGAAAATATCACATGTAAGACTTTTGCTTTTATAAAGTTAGTAATACATTTTCAAGCCTAAACTCTTGAAATTTTAATAATTTCTATGATATTTGAAAATTATTTTTATCTTCTTTTGAGTGCTAAAAGATAATATTTGTCTACCTGATTAACTAGCACAACTTTTAAAAAGTTATTTAGCACTCTTTATATTCATTCATTTGTTTTCTACGAGAAAACTTCTTTCTCTGATATTTGTGTGTTTGTTTTAGAGATGGGATCTCACCCTGTCACCCAGGCTGGAGTGCAATGGTATGGTCATGGCTCACTATAACCTCAAACACCTGGGTTTAAGCAGTCCTCCCATCTCAAACTCCCAAGTAGCAAGGACGACAGGTGCATGCCACCATGTCTGGCTAATTTTTAATTTGTAGACATTGCCCAGCCTGGTTTCAAACTCCAGGCCTCAAGTTATCCTCCCACCTTGGTTTCCCAAACTGTTGGATTATAAGTATGAGCCACTGTGCCTGGCCTCTAGAATGATTTTAATGTCACCTAATATTTTTATAAAGGTATAAATTCCTCACTTACATGAAAATTTGGGTTACACATTAAACTCTTTGTTATTAAATATATACATACAAATGGCTTGGAATTGTGCCTAAAACATCATATATCCTAAGTATTAACAACTCTGGAGCTCAGTACAATGGCTCACACCTGTAATTCCAAACACTTTGAGATGCTGCTGTGGGACTGCCCACAGGAGTTCAAGACAAGGCTGGAAAACATAGTGAGACCCCATCTCTAGAAAAAAATTTAAAAATTAGCCTGGCATGGTGACAAGTGCCTGTAGCCCCAAGCTACTCAGGAGGGTGAGGTGGGAAGATCACCTGAGCTCAGAAGTTTGAGGTTGCAGTGAGCTATAATTGTGCCACTGCACTCCAGTCTGAGCAACAGAGACCCTGTCTCTAAAAAATTTTAAAACAACTCTAGGCCGTGTGTGTTGGCTCATGCCTGTAATCCCAGCACTTTGGGAGGCTGAGGTGGGCGGATCACAAGGTCAACAGTTCAAGACCAGCCTGGCCTACATAGTGAAACCCTGTCTCTACTAAAAATACAAAAAATTGGCCAGGCAAGGTGGTGGGCACCTGTAATCCTAGCTACTCAGCAGGCTGAGGCAGGAGAATCGCTTGAACCCGGGAGGTGGATGTTGCAGTGAGCCAAGATCACGCCACTGTACTAAACAACTCTGATATATTAGGTTTTTATCTTTTCATGCCATTCTTAATTTACCATGTCATTTTGTATATGTTTTTCTTGAAATTTATATTCCTGTCCCGTCTAAATATTGATTAAAAGAGAGGTAGGCACAAACTTTTATTTTGGTTACATTTTGCAAAGTTCTCTAATTTACTTTAGATGATGGGTCCCATCTACTTCATGAACATATGTGAGTATTAAGTACAACAAGTACAATAATCTCCTCCCTACAACAGAGGACCCTGAGACACTAGGGAAACATGGATTGCCAAAATCTTTGTCTTTCCACATTATTCTTCCCTTTACTTTTTATTGCAATGAAAATATAAAAAGATAGTATGCTACAAATTAGAAATTGATTAGTGGATAATATGCATACGTTATTACAGTAAGTTCAAGAATAAGTAGAATATATGAATAGAACCAAAACAATTAGAGATTAAACTTTTTCTATGAAGAAAAGCTCAGTAGATAGTTTCACTTGTAAATTTGACCAAATATTTAATAATGAGTTAAAACCAGGTCTTTTAGTTGACTGCCCCACAAAAAAACAAAACAAAACAAAACTGAATAACAGAAGAAACTTACCAATTCATTCCATGAGGCCAGTATTGCCCAGACAAAAGTCAGGAAAAATCACTACGAGACTATAGACTATTATCCCTTATCCATATTGACACAGAAATCCACAAAAATAATAACAAAATAAATGTAGCCACAAATGAAAATTATTGGACACCATTACCAAGAGGGGTATCTCACAATACAAATTTAACATTCAAAAATCAGTCAATATAATACAGCTTAATAAAACAATAAAATATCAAAATGATCATTCTGAAAAACACAGAACATTTGACAAATCTAGACCCGTTTATGAAAAAACCCTAACTAGACTAGAAACACAAGCAAAATTTTTACACCTGCTATAAGACATCTATTAAAAACCTACAGCTAATATCATGCATAATGTTGAAATCTTGGGTTTGAGAACGTTAGTTTGGAAACAAGACAAGAATATATTTTTACCACTTCTATTTTAACAGTATACTGGAGATTTTGGCCAGAAATATCATGGAACAAAAATAAATTCATGACCTTCAGATAAAGATCGGAAGCCTATTCAGATGACATCCTGTATATAAAACTTTCTAGAAAATTCGGCCAGGCGTGGTGGCTCACGCCTATAATCCCAGCACTTTGGGAGGCCGAGGCGGGGGGATCACCTGAAGTCAGGAGTTCGAGACCAGCCTGGCTAACATGGTGAAACCCCGTTTCTGCTAAAAATACAAAAAATTAGCCAGGCGTGGTGGTGCGCGCCTGTAATCCCAGCTATTCGGGAGGCTGAGGCAGGAGAATTGCTTGAACCCAGGAGGCGGAGGTTGCAGTGAGCCAAGATCACGCCATTGCACTCCAGCTTGGGCAACAAGAGTGAAACTCCGTCTCAAAAAAAAAAAAAAAAAAGAAAAGAAAGGAAAAGAAAAAAGAAAATTCACAAATACCCACTATAATAAATGAGTTAAGATTGCATGATTTAAAATAATATAAAAATATTAATAAAAATTCTATACACTAGCAATGAACAATCTCAACATGACATGAAGAAACAATTCCATTTACAATAGTTTCAAAAGGTAAGGCTGATTGTGGTGGCTCACAACTGTAATCCCACCACTTTGGGAGGCTATGGCAGGAGGACTGCTTGAGGCAAGGATTTCGAGACCAGCTTGGGCACACACAGCAAGCCCCCATATGTACAAAAATATTTAAAATCCATGGAATGTGGTGGCATGCACCTGTAGTCTCAGGAGGCTGAGACTGGAGAATTGCTTGCACTTAGGAAGTTGAGGCTGCAGTGAACCATGATTATGCCACTGAACTCTAGCCAAGTTGACAGAGGCAGACACTGCCTCAAAAGAAAGAAAAAAAAGAAAGAAAAAAGAAAGAAAGAAAGAAAGAATTATCTGCAGAAGGTTTTAAGGCTCTGCTCCAAAATTATAAGGACCTACACCAGGCTTTATGTATAGCAACCTATCAAAGATACAACAGCATTCCTATCTCCCAGTCACACCTCAAAAACCATTGCATCTGCAGTCATATGGCACAAGTGGCAAAGTAGCTTGCATTGCACTCTGGACTTTTTGCAGGCCTTCTATTATTCTGTGCCCAATTTAAAAGTAGCAGTTTTCCATTACATTCATTGAATGGGCCACGGTATCATACTCAAACTAGGAATGGGTTTCTCATAACCCAAAGAAACCTGCCAGCTCTTGCGCCTTTTTTTGATGTAGGAGAATGTATACGTAACCACTTTTTCTTCATTCTAAAAGGTATATTATAACATGCCCCATATTATTGGACTCCTAGAAATATCACTAGCACAGAAATGAGATCAAACAGAGACCTCTTGTGGGGGCCCATGGGCACACAACCATAAAAGTTAAAAACAAAAACAGAAACAAAGAAAAAACAAACAAACAAAAACTTCAGTTTCTTTACACTGTGAACAAATGTACATTAAAATGTTGTAATAAAACAGTGACTAAAAGTAACTAATGTAATAATAGTCAAACACCGTGATGCCATGTCTGAGACTCATAAATATTTTCAATTCCATGCTAGCAACACTAACTTCAGGGGACACGCCCCTAGCACAGCAGTTGTTAACATACAGTTGCTCTGTGTGCAGTAGCAGTGGCCTGTCTTAGGCCAGCAACATCACATACATACATACATCTTCTTTGTCAATACTCTAAAGCTTTCCAATTCAGATATGAGATACTTGCTTGACTGCTTAAGCACATATGTTGTAACACACAGTGCATAACGAAAAAGCTCTTCAAAATTTATGGTGTGAAGAAAAGTAAATATCCTGAGTTGTTTTTCATTAATTCAGTGTTGAAGGAAGCCTTGTTTCTTCTGTATTACACATGTGAAGTACAATTTTGATAAATTTATTAGTGGTGAAAATATCATTTAAGGAGGAAAAAATGATATAAGTTGAATGATAACACACACATATTTCTGGCTTAGAATTTGAGGAGGTGGAGGTGGAATAATGTCTCTATTTTTGGCAGGAGCCTCTGAGAATAAGTGCAATGGGTTAATAAGGCGGAAGGGCCTCAGGGTGCTAATTTCTTCTCCCTTTGCCCAGAAATGAGCTGTGACATCACTCAGGGCTTTCTCCTTCACATGCTCCCTTTCTTTGCGATCTGCTGACGCTCTCTGTGACAGAGCTGTTTGGAACTTACCTTGTGACCCCATTGTGAGCTGCTAGCTCCCATCTCCCCATCCAGAGAGCAGCTCCTAGTGCCGATCCCCAAGTGCAGGGTGCTCTGAGTTTCTGTCCTCCTTGACAAACCTAGAAATGGGAAAGAGAGATTTCAGGGTGGGACTTGAGCCATAATTGATCCAGGGTCAGTCTGTGGCATAAGAGCTGCACCTCAGCCTAGAGCACATGCCCAACATGCTCGTCACCAAATGTTCAGTCAAGGACCCTCTGGGGCACACTGTCTAGGCTGACGTATAGCCCTTTTGATGCTTTCTTCTTGAATGTATTTACCACAGTCCCTGACTCAGAATAGTGCTCAATAAATAGCATGTTTCCTCTTTTTCCTGCCAGGGAGTTAAAAAAAAACAAACAAACAGCTACATGGGAAATTATAGAAGAGAAAGAGGTTTATGATTGAAGTGAGGGTCAGGAACTTTTGTGGATGAGGCAGACTTTAGCCAAGATTTGAAGGAGAGATTCATTCATTCATTCAACAGATGCTGCAATATACCTGATATGTTTCAGGTATTTTAATGAAATAAGAATAGGGCTGGGCATGGTGGCTCACGCCTGTAATCCCAGAACTTTGGGAGGCCGAGGCGGGGGGATCACCTGAGGTCAGGAGTTCAAGACCAGCCTGGTCAACATGGCAAAACCTCGTCTCTACTAAAAATACAAAAATTAGCTGGGCATAGTGGCGTGCACCTGTAATCCCAGCTTCTCAGGAAGCTGAGACAGGAGAATCGCTTGAACCTGGGAGGTGGAGGTTGCAGTGAGCCGAGATCATGCCACTGCACTCCGGCCTGGGCAACAGAGAAAGACTCTGTCTCAAAAAATAAAAATAAAAAAGAATATAACAGTGACCACCATCACAAGGTGTTCAATCTAGTGAGGCCGAGAAACTTCCCCCAAATCATCACACAAATATAAACTTCATGAGAGCAAACTCAATGTCCAATAGGAAAATGGTAAAATTATGAAATGTTCTTTTGATTTAATGTTATATAGCTACGGAGGTTGTTTCAAATAATTATAAAATGATCATAAGAACTGTTATATTCTAAAAGTATGGTATAAAAGTACAGAGTATAATTCTTATTTTATAAAAAATAAATGCATATTTACCTCTGCATGGAGGTGGTTCTATGTCACACAAACCTGTGGTTATTTATCCCTGGTGATGGGATTAGAAAGCATAGACCACATTCTCTTAAAAGAGTAAGGCTGTGGCCAGGAGGCAAGTAGATTTGTTTTTCCACTGTTTGAATTTGCAATTAGATACTCTGCATGCTTTAAATGTAATGGAAGTTGTGATATATACTCATATTCTCATGGTAGGTTGTTCCATTTTGGTTTTGATGTTGGGGAGGAATAAGGTGAAGGTCCCTGTGGACTCTTCTTGTTCAGTGGCACACGTGTGGTCCTGGGGAAAGCCGTCACACAGTGGGCGCTGAAAAATGTGGCCTATGGCCACGAATTCCCTTTCAGTCCCTGCCTAAGCAAGATTCATCTTCCTCTGCCTCCTTTTTCATTTCTTTTCTTCTATTGTCTGGTATTTTTGAAGATAAAAATTTGTTTCCAAAGGGGAAGTTCCAGAAATTCTTCCAAGAATAATGATGGAAGTTTGATTTCCAAGTGAGTGAGTATTCCTGGGCAACTGATTAAATCCCTTTGTCAATACTAAAAATCTGGCTTGTTCTGGATTAGTTCCACCATCTCACCATGATAACTCCCTCTTCTATAATCCCCACCAGAAATGACTGCTTTGCTTGAAAGCTTTTCCCTGAGAAGTCAGTGGTGTGTTACTCCTTTGTCAGCTTAAAAAAAATAATTATACATTTCTGGGATTTTGTTTTGTGTCCCTGTGTTTTTTTAAGCAACTGGTGTTTTCAAGCCAAAAATTAGAAGTATTATGGAAGTACTGATGATGTACTCAGAGGAAAACAATAAAGCATATGATTTATTTGTTATAAGATGTAAAAGTTCTAGAAGATTTTCCTCTGATTTGTAAATTTTTTCCTCTCAAGAAAGTTTTTCCTTATGTTTTATAATTTCTTTATTTTAAAGACCTGCTGGGTTACTTAAAGTATGATAGTTCTGTTGGTGGAGTGAGGATAATGCTGCATTCAACCTGCCTTTTGTGGCATCTTGCTTACCCTACTTTGCAGAACAGAGATACCAAGAATCGGCCTTATGAAGCTGGGGCTATTTTTGCATTGTGATTTCAGAGATGCTGAAAAGACCTCTGACTGATTTCCTAATACTCAAAATGATACAGTAAGGGACTTGGGAGTTTAGGTCTTAAGACTTTTCTTCATGAGTTTCTGTTAAAATCTAAGATAAAAAGTAGCTGCCTTGAAGAATCTTACCAGGGTTTGCTGCCAGCCAACTGAATGACTTATTGGAGAAAGGACTCATGACTCCTGGGCCTGAGGGACAGGCAGACAGGGAGATGGCTTCAGCAAGGATTTTCCACAGGTGACCCTGGTTCTGCAGTGACAGAAGCTCCTGTTGCACAAGGTTGTAAAATTATTCAGAAAGAGTAGGGATAATGCACCTACATTTTACCTGCTTTCAAACTCGTTGACAATTTACTTCTGGGAATTATTTTTTCTCTTCTCCAGTTAATTTATAGTCTATCTCATTTCTTGTCTTTTCTGCCAACCATTGTATTTTTTCAGGGACAGTTGCGAGACATAAACTATGATTTCCTATCAGAGTGCTTGTTACAATTCCGTTCTACTTTTCTGTGAAAATGTGCAACCTTCCAACTCTCAGTCATCATCTTTCCCCTTTCTCAATTCTTATTTTGCTTCTTGCAAGTGTTTTTCTTTTCTTTTCTCTCTCTCTCTCTTTTTTTTTTTTTTTTTTTTTTGAGACGGAATTTTGCTCTTGTTGCCCAGGCTGGAGTGCAATGGTGCGATCTCGGCTCACCACAACCTCCACCTCTTGGGTTCAAGCAATTCTCCTGCCTCAGCCTCCCAGGTAGCTGAGACTACAGGCATGCGCCACCGTGCCTGGCTAATTTTGTATTTTTAGTAGACACGATTCTTCTCCATGTTGGTCAGGCTAGTCTCGAACTCCCAACCTCAGGTGATCTTCCTGCCTGGGTCTCCCAAAGTGCTGGGATTACAGGTGTGAGCCACCATGCCTGGCTGCTTCTTGCAAGTTTTTGAACATGTTAGTGAAGAAGCAGTTGAGTCATTTTGTGAAATAAATTTCTATTTACAAACACAGCAAGATGACACATTCATGGACTCCAAACATAGGTAGAGCTGTCCCTCCTTATTTCTGCATTCCTGGATTCAACAAATGTGAATCAAAAATATTTTAATAAGGTTTCTGTACTGAACATTTACAGAATTTTATTTTTCTTTTCACTATTCCCTAAACAACACAGCATAACAACAATTTAGGTATTAAAAGTAATCTAGAGAAGATTTAAAGTATGCAGGAGAATATGCATAGGTTATATGTAAATACTATGCCATTATATATAAAGAACTTATACATCCATGCATTTTGGTATCCAAGAGGACTCCTAGAACAAATCCTCCAGAAATAGCAAAGAAATATGATAAAGAGTTTACAGTGTTCATAAAACTCTAGCTGCTTACTAGAACAACAGTTCGATGAAATAAAAGGCAGACTTGAAACTGTCCTTGGCCTGTATGGCTTGGCTGGCAGCCCCTGGCTTGCATGCCCCTTCTAGCAAGATGCACGTTAAGGCCACTATGTGCAGCTGAGGGAGAGTCAGGTGGCTCTTCACCAGGAGCAGATCGCATCCTTCTTTTGTCACATTTCTGCCTCTTAAGAGTGTCATGCTGAGAGGCATGCCTTCTTGATGCAGAAAAGAATTTGTTGGCAAGCTCTGCCAAACATCTGTTTCCATGTACTTCCTATGTACCCACAGTTGCAGATCATGGGAAATTAGATAGTTTATCAAAAATAGCTTTCACTTTTTAAAACGTTCCTTTTTAGTTTTGGTTGAAAAAGACAGAAGACACAGTCCTAATTTCAGAAATGAAAGAGGATCTATCATTACTGATCCCATGAAGAATTAAAGAATAATAAAGAAACATTATAAACCACTCTTTGCCCACAAATTTGGTAACCCAAATGTAACAGACAAATTCTTTGAAAGAAACAACCTACCCAAACTCACACAATAAGAAACAGACAATTTGAATAGTACTACATCTATTAAAGAAATTGGGTCAATGATAAGTAACCTTACCAAATAGAAAGTACCAGACCCAGATGAGGTAACTAGTATATTTATGCAAACATTTAAGAGAAATTATTCCAACCCTCTACAATCTCCTCCAGAAAACAGAAGCAGAGTGAATACTTTCAAACTATTCAATGGGGCCAGGATTACCATAGTGTCAAATTCAGACAGAGACGTTACAAGAAAAAAATGCAGGACAATATCTCACATGAAGAAAGATGCAAAAATCCTCACCAAAATATTAAGAAATCAAGTCCAAAAATGTAAAAAATAATTATATACTGCAACCCAGTGAGATTTATTACAGGCATGCCAGGCTGGTTCAACATTTGAAAATAAATTAGGCTAAGTGTGGTGGCTTATACCTGTAATCCTAATGCAGTAGGAAGCCAAGGAGGGAGGATCACTTGAGGCCAGGAGTTCAAACTAAGCCTGGGCAACATAGCAAGACTCTGTCTTTAAAAAAAATTAGTTCATCATATTAAGTTTTAAAAAGATAAGATTTCATCAGTACATTCAGAAAAATCATTTGACAATATCCAAAACCCATTCATGAGAAAAACTCTCCGCAGACTAGAAATAGAGGAAAACTTCCTCAATTTCATAAATAATGTCTATTAAAAAAACCTGCACCTGGCCGGGCACAGTGCCTCACGCCTGTAATCCCAGCACTTTGGGAGGCTGAGGTGGGTGCATCATGAGGTCAGGAGATTGAGACCATCCTGGCCAACATGGTGAAACCCCGTCTCTACTAAAATACAAAAAAGTAGCCGGGCATGCTGGTGCGTGCCTGTTGTCCCAGCTACTTGGGAGGCTGAGGCAAGGAATTGCTTGAACCCGGGAGGCGGAGGTTGCAACGAGCTGAGGTCACACCACTGCACTCTAGCCTGGTGACAGAGCGAGACGACATCTCAAGAAAAAAAAAAAAACCTGCATCTAACCTCATACTGAATGTAGAAACACTAGATTCCTTCCTGCTAAGATCAGGAGCAAGGCAAAGATGTCTCCTCTCACCATTCCTATATGATATTATACTATAAGCCCTAGGTAATGCAATAAGACAAGAATAGAAAAGGTACATAGACTGGGAAGGAAGAAATAAAACAGTCTTTTTACACAGATGATATAATTGCCTATGGAGAAATACAAAAAGATCACAAAACAAAATCTTAGAATAACCAATTTTAATGAGCAATTATAGCAACTTTGCACAATATAAGATTAATATACAAATGTCAATTACTGTCCTATATATCAGTAATGTAATTAGAATTTGAAATTTAAAAATTCAGTGACATTTATGCTAGCACCAATAACAATGAAATTCTTTAGGTACAAATATAAGAAAATAAATATAAATATAGAAACCATATGAAGAAAACTACAAAACTGTGAAAACATCAAAGAAGATCTAAATAAATGGAGAGATAATCCACATTCAAGTAAAGAGGGATTCAACGTTGTTAAAACGTCAGTACTTCCCAACTAGATCTACATATTCAGTGCAATCCCAATCAAAATTCCACAAAGCTAGTTTGTGGATATTGACAAACTGATTCTAAAGTTTATATGGAAAGGTAAAAGACTCAGAATAACCAAGAAAATATTTTAAAAGAACAGTTATAGGAATGACACTACCCAACTGTAAGCACTACTATAAAGCTACAGTAATCAAAACACGGTACTGGTAAAAAATAATAGAGAAACAGATCAATCAAACAAAAGATAAAGCTCATAAATTGACCCATGAAATATAGTCAGCTTATCTTTGAGGAAAAAGCAAAGGAAATTCAATTGAGAAACAATACTTTTTCAACAAACAGTACTGGAACAACTGGACATCCACATACAAGAGAAAAGAAGAAAAAAAAAAACCCTAAACCCAGACCTGACAACTTTCACAGAAATTACTAAGAATGGATCATAGACCTATATAGGAGGAAAACTCACAAAACTCCTAGAAGATAACAAAGAGCAGAATCTGAATTACCTCAGGTTTTGCTCCTCTGATAAAACACCAGAAACGCTGGGGGCGGTGGCTCATACCTGTAATCCCAGCACTTTGGGAGGCCGAGGTGGGTGGATCATGAGGTCAGTAGATTGAGACCATCCTGGCCAACATGGTGAAACCCCATCTCTACTAGAAATACAAAAATTAGCTGAGTGTGGCAGCGTGTGCCTGTAGTCCCAGCTACTTGGGAGGCTGAGGCAGGAGAATCACTTGAACCTGGGAGGAGGAGGGCGCAGTGAGCTGAGATCAGCCACTGCACTCCAGCCTGGGTGACACGGCGAGACTCCATTACAGAGAAATGAAAATTATAAAAAGAATGGGATACAGAGATAATGAAATGAAAAATTAAAAAGACCTTTGAGTTTATAAACAGAGTAGAAACAGAAGACAGCAATAGAAATCATCATCATCCAATCTGAAGAGTGAAACAAGTTTGAAGAAAATGAAAAGCTCCTTAGAGACCTGTGGAATGACTGAGTCCGAGAAGGAGAGGGAGAGACAGAAAAATTAAATATGATACAAGAGCAAATAAACAACTCATAGCTGAAAACTTGCAAAATTTGGTCAAAACCTCAAATTTGTATATTCAAAAGATGAGCACACTTCAAAAGAAAATACACATAAAACCATACCAAGGCCCTATTAGAAAACTGGCAGGGCAGGGTTTTCAAGGGACTTGCTATGATTTCTCATTTTCACTATTTATAATAATGGACAATATGCTCTCCTTAGAGTTTTCTTCCTGCAGAAAGTCTGATATGTCAGGTGCAGATGACTCTTTAGTCTATTTTTCAAGGTTTAATTTCTTACCTTGGAAATCAATTAAATTTGTTTTTTCAAAATTTTGCAGTAAAATTGATGCTCCGAAAAGATGCCCAGGGAGATTCTGTCCTGCTGCGTCCGCCCTGCACAGAACTAACGCTATGCCAACGCCAGTTTCAAAAGCGTGTAGTTGTGGAGTACTTAAGAGTTAATCTAAAAAAGCGAATAGAAAAATGGATTCAATAAATGATCACTGTTAAGTTCCATCGGCAAAGTCTTAAAAGTGGTTCCAAAGGGAGTATTTAATAAGAGGTAAAGATTTTTCCAGGGCACCCTATTCAGAGCAAAAACAAAGACACTGTCCAAACCTCACCACACAAACTTCCTCATGTGTTGGGAGGAACCAAGGCGCTCTCTGGTCCTGCACCTGTGTTAGTTATGGCCGGGAGGTCTACACTAGGACCCCAAGGCCTGGGAACCAGCCTGGGTGGGGGACAAAGAAGTGGTGGATGTGGCTCGCAAAGTAGTTTAGGTGGTCCCTTCCCCGTGGCAGTTTCCTGACTGGATGCAGCAGGGTCAGGCCTTTCCCCTGGGACATTTTCTCATCGTTATTATAGTGGCAGGAGCGCCCCTGTGCGAGGCCTGACCCAGGTGTGGGCCATGCAGCCAGCCCGGGGTCCAACAGGTGCATCTGGGGAGTACAGGGGGATTCGTGGCAGCCCAGAGAGAGAGAAAAAGGTGGTTTTCAAAAGGGAAGTGCCAGGTTACCAGAGACTGGGTACCTTCACATGAGGCAGTGAGTGAGCTAATAGTTTCGGACACTCACGAGGGAGCTTCCCGCGCTGGACCAAGGGGAGCACTACGCATGTCTGAAGGGGTGTGGCCAGGGGAGGGACAATAAGAGGACGTGGCTAAAACGAGTGGCCCTTCAGAGGGAAAGGGCGGTGTCGAGCCGGCTGCTGGGGGGGGCGGGGGCGCAAGCGTTACCATAGCAACCCTGCTGCAGAGTCTGTGAGAGGCTCTTGGCCTCTACCTGGTCTGTGGAAAATCAAACTCTGGGCACAAGTCATGAAGCCAGCACGTTGGGGAGACACCGTGTCACAATGACAAGGTGAGATCAGCCGCCCTGGCCAAGCTGTCTCCTCGCGGGCAGGAGAGGTTTGTGAACAGCCAAGCTTCCCTCCGCACGGCGGAACTGCACTGGAAGCCTGGAGGAGCTCGGTGGAGGAGGGACCTTTGCTGGGAATGGGGGGAGCTGTAGTCTCTTATCCGCACCCAGCTATTAGTCGTAGGCTCGCAGGACTACAATCCCAGCACTAAACAGGATTGTGAGCGGTGCGGATCCCTGGAGGGAGACATGGCGCGGTTTGCTCCTGCGGGGTATGCAGGCAGGAGTAGTTTTAGCCGCTTCCGGCCGTTGATCGCAGGCGATCAACTACAATCCCAGCATGCAACGGGAGTGGGGGGTGGTGCGAATGCCTGGAGGAAGGGGCCGCGTGGTGCGCGCCTCGCCAGGCATTCTGGGAGTAGTTTCTTAACCGCTTTCGGCTGTTGGTCGCAGGGCTACCGGCCTACAGTCCCAGCAAGCGCCGGGCTGCGGGGTGGTGAGCAGTCCCGGAGGGAGGCGCAAGCCGTGTGGACCTCTCTGCTTCCAAACCTATGCTGGCCACTGATTCTGTGCCATCCCTGGCTAAGGGGAGTGAGTCCAGAGAGGGACTTAAGGGGCAAGTCGGGGCTGGGCAGTGAGAAGAGTGTGACGCTGCGAAGTGCACCTCATCTTTGCCTAAATCGGGCGGGTCTCAGCCTCACCCCACCTCTCGCTGCTCAGCTCGGTTTCCCTCCAGAGCATCACGCCTCCTCCAGCACAGGAGCCGCCTGCTTTCCTAGGCTGCTGTGGAACTGGCCTGAGGTCCCAGACGCTGTCCATTGTGCTGCCGCCCTCCGCGCTCTCCAGCCAGAGCGCCAGTTCACCGGCTTTTGGGAGAACTCCGCCGCCTCACCTGCCCGCGGACAAGGTCACAGCTTTGCAGGGGGTTGACATGGGCTGTGGCTTCCTGGAAATGTCACCCTCACCAGAGCCTTTTACATGGATGTGAATTTTGAGACATGAAGGAGGGTAATTATTGGTTTACCCAGGAGATGCTAAGAGCAGAGGAGAAAACCCTAATTTCCAGGCATGTGACTTGAGCCAGGGACAGGCTAGCCAGACCCTGAGCCCCCAGTGCCGCCAGAGAGCAGCCTATTGCCCTGGTTTCTGTGGAAGTCTCTTCATGCTGCTGGGCCTTAGCCTCAGGGACAGCTCAGTCAGGTGAGGGTGGGGATGACCCATGGGCTTCTGGAGCTGGGCTGGTGGTCCTGGAAGGGCCGGCCCATGCCCCTTGGAGAGGGTCTTTGTGCTGAGGGATGCCCACAGAGGCCTGGGTACCAGGAACACTGCTCCAGGCAAGGGGCCTTTCTTCCAGATTTGGCTGGAAGGAAGACTTGGTCAGCTTTTCCACCTTGCAGGGCTGCACCCCATGGACCTGGGTTCCTGGAGTCTTTGACGGCTTTGTGTGGTCGACTTGTTTTGATACTGAGGACACCCCTGCTGGCTGTTAATTTCAGGGCAAGGGATATGAGGCCATTATTTTAAGTGAAATAACTCAAGAATGGAAAATAAAATACTATTATTTTTCACTTATAAGTGGGAGTTAAGCTATGCGTATGCAAAGGCATACAGAGTGATGTAATGGACTTTGGAGACTCAGAAGCAGAGAGTGGGAGGTGGATGAGGGATGAAAAAACTACCTATTTGGTACAATATAAACTACTCAGGTGACAGGTGCACTAAAATCTCAGAATTCACTGCTATATAATTCATCCACGTAACCAAAAACCACTTGTACTGTAAGTGATACTGAAATAAAAATTATAATAAAGCAAATTTATAATAAAATTAAAATTATACTTACATAATTATAATATAAACAAAAATTATAATAAGGAGCAGCTTTTTTTTTTTTTTCTTAAAAAGAAAAACCCAGTGCCACAGTTTTGGGTTCTAGTGTTTTGGATAGAAAGCCCCTTTTGCTCAGTAACACACTCACTACTGGAGAAGCAAAATCCTGAAAATTCAAGAAGAACCTTGGCATAAACGATATTTCTGACAAGTTATTTATACACTGCCTACATGAGTATTGCAGATATGTTTTAAAGACAAAGATCCATGTAGACTGGGTCAGCTTTATGCTTGGTCATTTTATTTCCAATTCTTCTCCCCTAAAATACAAGTCATGGGTTGCCATGGTGATTATTCCAACTGCATTGTGGTCAGATGGAACTGGTGACCTGTTCTAATTTCCCCTTCAGTTACAAAATGAGCCCGATGCTCTTAGCCATCAAAATCTCACCAACACCTACTACTTCAGTTTCAACTCTGGTTCCTTTTTCAAGGCAATCACTCAAAGTTGCAAATCACAGAAAGGCAAAAATGTTTTAACTAAAAACTTAATAAAAAGTTATACCCCCCCTGAAGCCATGTAATTTGGGTTTTATTTATTTTATTGTCTATTCAGGTCCATAAACCTACAACTGTAACAATATATACCATTCATGATAAGTTAATATTTATTGAATAGTAAAATGAATATACGTTAAGGGTAGATCTGGCTTCAAGTATAACTGCAATCAGGGCTGGTGTGATATGTCCAGTAGTCAAGGACAAATGTCAGTTGTAATATGACCTCCTCCACTTGAAACACACAGCAATACTTTAAACGTCTGAAAAGAAAGTTACGTAGGGAAATAAATGAAAAGTTATTAATTTGATTAAGAAGGAATTAAACCTGATTTTAAAATAGATAAAGACATACAAATATAAAAAATACTGAAGAACAATTAGCATAGGTAGAGGAGCACTAAAAGTATGATAGAAAAGAAATATATTTAAAAATATTAGTTTCTGAGTTAAGTTTGTAGATATAGAGACCTGACAAAGAGTTGCTCCTACACATTAAACAAACAAACAAAAATGCTGGAGAAACTTCAAATGAATGGATGGTTTCTCCTGAGCCCTTTAAAGAACTGAGGTCACAGGGCAGACTACAAACCCAACATCAGGGGATGCAGAAAGCCTGCAGGTCACACAGGCTCCAGGCTTTTATGTGTACCCTGAAGACCATGTAAACTGGTAAAATTAAGCCAGAACTTTTGAACTAGTTCCTGGTGGCTGTGTGTGGGTGGGTGAGGAGAATGAGAAACCCTGGAGTCTACAGACGTAGGGTTTATACCGTTGTGTATAATTTTTCTAGGAACCCTACAAGGCCTGTCAGGGAAGATGGGGTTAGAATCCTGAGGATGCTTACCCCACAGTGCTGATGGGGAGGGACCACTATCCCATCCACTACTGCAACTCTGGAGACACAGCCCTCACATCTCTCCTATATAACATGAGGCCTAATCTGCAGAGAAAGAGCATCCAAACCTGAGCCAAAGGGCACTGGGGAAAAGCTCATGGAACTGAGGGTGAAGGAACAAGGCCAACACCCGCATTTCTGCACAGATGCATCTCCCATAAAGAAAAGAAACCATTAATTTACAGGGCACTGTTCAAGGCCCACTTCAACTGGGAGTTAAGAGCATGGAGAAGGAGCACGTTTCCCCTACCATGGACAAGGAGGGACAGGAATGTGCTCTTGTCCTGGCATTGCATGTACAGGATGGGCAGGAAACTCTTCAACGGTCAGTAACCCCACACCCCAGTTCACAGTGCTAAGTCTGAGGCTTCCTCAGAACATTAGAGATCTCCTCACTCCCTCACCACTGCCACCAGGCTAAGAAGCATGGAGTCAAAACAGTGGAATATAGCTGGGCCAAGTGCAAGAAACCACGTGTGGGAAGAGGCACAAAGGGAAGGCACAGCAAACTCGGGAGATATTAGCAAAGTATCATGAGAGGGATTTGAATTTCCTGGTCCTCAGAAGGTTGTTACTGCCATAACGACTTTTAACCCCAGCCTACCCTCTCATCAACATGACCACAAACCCCTATACTAAGGCAGTTATCTGAGAGAAAACTGCTCGTCAATAACCTAAAACCTATCCCCTTTCAATGTCAGTGGGCTGATGAAAAAATAAAAATAATAAAAAAAAGATTTACCCCAATGCACTATCCTATACAACATATGCTATTGCTTTTAACAAAAATTAGAAGCCAAGACATCCCTTTTTATCTTTAGTGAGATCTTCATTTGTGTTAAAACCAAATTAAGGTCCCAGTGCGGAGTTTAGGAGGCTGGGACTTCAGATCACAGCGGGCGCCCGCCTCCCGCCCGCCGTGGCCACGCCGCGCCGCGTCCGGGAAGGCCCAGCGGAGGCTCCGGGGAAGGCGACACCAGCAGGCGGCCTGGCCGGCGGCATTGAAATGGGCGTCCGCTCCCCACGGAGCGCGGGAGGTCGTAGCTGCAGCCGGACGAGCGCTGGCACCAGCCGGGCACCGCGCATGGATCCCGCGTGCGCACTGTCGCGGTCATGGCGTCCCGGGCCGGCACCGCGGCCTCGGCTCCCTGCTCTGCGGCTCTTGTCTCCAGGGCGGCGTTGGGTTCTGAATGTTCCAGTTCCACAGCAGCCAGACGCGGGATGCCCAGGGACGGCCTGACGGCAGCGCTGGCTGCGGTGCGGCCAGGGCGCTGGCGTGGCCGAGGCCATGGTGGTCGTATGTTCCATGGACACCATCAAGGTGAAGTTCATCCACGGCCAGACCTTCCCAGACCTCCAGTGCAGAGGAGTCTCCCACCAGGTTAGAGAGATTGTGCGAGAACAAGGGGACTCACCGGGGCCTCATGGCACCCACGCTAAAGCAGGGCTGGAACCAGGCCGTCTGCTTCTCCTCCTGACCTCCCTGCACAGCTGGTACCGAGGGGACAACCCCAGCAAGCCCATGGACCCGCTGGTCGCTGGGGTCTTCGGAGCCATTGTGGGCGCAGCCAGTGTCTTGGGAAACGCTCCTCTGGATGGGATCGAGACCGGATGCGGGGCCTGGAGCAGCACAAACGCGGAACACACCGGCCTATGGCTGCAGATCCTGAGGAAGGAGGGGCTCAAGGACCTCTAGAACGGCACTGTCCCCGCCTGGCCGCTGGACGCGTCTCCCTGGATGTGACCAGGGATAAGGGTAACAGTATTTATCCTCTACCAGGAGGTGGAGAAGCTGCACAACAGTGTGGAGGATGGACTAAGCCCAGAGGGGTAATGAGGGAACCCCCCAGGCACCTCCAGAGCGGCCACCACCCTTGTCTCACATGATTCCAGCGCAGAAATGCCAAAAGGCCCCTGCCCACGTCCCTCGAGCTCTGTGGCCTGCCCTGTGCATTGTGGTGTCACGTCCATTTGTCCCCTAGTGCCATGTCTCCCCGTGGTGTGTACGTGACACTGCGCCTGTGTCCACGAGTCTGGCCCGGCCGTGGCTGGAGGTCCATCTGGCCTGTGAGTCTGTGCCCACTTGTCCATGTGCTTATTGTGAGCCCTGGGCCTGTGATTCATTTTCTACGTCATGCGACACTGCGCCCCGCCTCCCGGGGTGCCAGTGTGGCCTGAGTCCTTGGCCCTGTCATCCCGGCCCGGGCCCAGTCCACTGCCTTCCACCCTGCCCTGGCCTACCACAGCTGCCTCTGGGCCTCGGCCTGGTTTCACTGCATTCTTGGGGTTACACCCCTGAACCCCAAATTCCACCCCTCACCAGCGCTTCTCCTACCATTGGCTTGACTGGCCCACGGCCCCTCCCTCTGCCCAGGAGAGGGTGACACCCACCACTCTCAGGATCACCCTGCCAAGGCAGAATAAACCGGATCCTATTGTAAAAAATAAAAAATAAATAAAAAGTATGAAGCACAGAAGAAAATAAGCTACGAGGAAAAAGGGTTAGAAGATTTTTCTTTTTGAGACAGAGTCTTGCTCTGTTATACAGGCTGGAGTGCAGTGGCCGGATCTAGGCTCAATGCAACCTCCGCCTTCCGGGTTCAAGTGATTCTCCTGCCTCAGCCTCCCGAGTAGCTGGGGTTACAGGCATGCCTCACCATGCCCAGCTAATTTTTGTGTTTTTAGTAGAGATGGGGTTTCACCATGTTCACCAGGCTGGTCTGGAACTCCTGGCCTCAAGTGATGGGATTGCCTCTCCCTCCCAATACAGGCATGAGCCACTGTGCCTGGCCCGGTTGGAAGAAATTTGATATCACATAAACTTTGCATACTGGAAATATATTTGTAATATTTTAAATTTTAAAAGTATTATAAATATATTTATATTTGTACATATTAATATAAAATATTAAATTTAAATATTTTAAATGTTTAGGTAAAAACAATTGAGGAAAAGATGATATCCAAATAATTTTTGAAAGAGCAGGAAACTATAAACTGAATGAGGAAATTTGGAAAAGAGTCAAATAGAAATGGAATAATTTAAACATAAAGAAATTTAATATACGATATGTGAGTTAATTATAAAATTAGACTACGTTGATGAGAGAATTAGTGAACTGGATTAATGAACTGAAATTTTGAGCAGAACGAATATAACCAAATAAAAGAAAGAGAAACAAAATAATAGTAATATGAATGTAATTATACATATGTGAAGAATAGAATGACAAAGAATAAAGCACAATTATTTCACTTGAATTCATACAAATAATAAGTCATACTAATAAATAATTATTTACAAATTTCTAAAAGTAAAAACCAGACATGTGCCTAAAAGAGACACTGTGCCTGAAAGCAAGCAATAAAGAGGCTGGGTGTAGTGGCTCACATCTGTAATCACAGCACTTTGCGAGGCCAAGGAGGGCGGGTCACTTGAGGTCAGGAGTTGAAGACCAACCTGGCCAACCAGGTGAAACCCCGTGTCTACTAAAAATACAAAAAAATACAAAAAACTTAGCCGGGCATGGTGTCAGCTGCCTGTGATCCCAGCTACTCCGGAGGTTGAGGCAGGAGAATCCCTTGAACCCGAGAGGCGGAGGTTGCAGCGAGCCAAGACTCCAGCCTGGGTGACAGAGCAAGATTCCGTCACCAAATTAAAAAAAGAAAAAGCAATAAAGAAAGATATCCAACACCATAAGTCAAACTGCATAACACCAAAGAGAATGAAGAAACTTCAAAGCCATGAGAGAGAGAGAGAGAATCTACACATGTGAGAGTGAAATCTCCACAGCCCAGGCAGAGCCAGAAAACTGAGAAGGAAATATTAAGAGTGCTGAAAAATTATTGTTCAACCAGTAACTGAATACATAGCTAGCATATATTTAATAAATAAGGGTAAACTAAATAACCTTCAGAAGTAAAACACACACACACACACAAAGAGAAATTTTATCTACCAACAGGAGCATCTTAAGTGTACACTTCAAGAAGATAGAAAAGTTGTCTTATATAAAACTTAAGGGATCAAAATTAAATATAAGAAACTTGTGGACACAGGGGACTATGACGGTGGACTTTAAAGAAACCACCAAGTTCTTGGCAGCATAGTTTTCAAAAGTATTTAGATGAAATAAAAGTGTAATAAAATAATATATAAAATCACCTGCTTCTTGAATTATTTGATGTCCAAATCTGTTTTTCAGATAATTATTTTCATAATTTATTATCATCTATGATATTTATATAACACATTATGCAAAATTTTGATTATTCTATTATCAGAACTAATTAGCATAAAAGGGCTAACAGATAGAAATTGCCCATAAGCATCTGGACACCCATGATGAATGAGTCATAAGCCCATAACAGGGTTGAGGAGGATGAGATGATGAGGCCCACCCAATACATGAGCACAAAGCAACTCACCAGCATCGGAATGGTCTAGGTGGCCCTTTTCTCTGGGGAGGCTTTTGCAGACAGGTTGGTGCTGGGAAGGTACTGGGGTTGTCTCTGATGCCTGGACAAAAGAATTACCATGTATGCCCTTGAGAGCAACATGACTGCTACAAAGAAGACATCTGCAAGTAGTGGCAGCATGAAAGACAGACTCCTGATGATGTAGCTTATGTAAGAAAGTGAACAGTATTTACTGATACTTGGCACATTGCTGTCGGTCACATTAGAAGAGGCCACAGTGGAGGAAGGCAGGTTACTACTGAGAAAGAAACTGAGAACCCCAAGAAGTGAAAGATGCAATGTGTGAATTTCTGTTTAATTCTTGCCAACCAGGAGGTGCCGGGGGTAATGGTGACAGCCTGGAGCACACTCCGGAGGCAGGTGGTGCAGATGGAGAGCCCTCATCCCTCTATGCATGTAGAAGAATACCTTACACTTGAAGTCATTCTGAAAATACTGTGACTCAAAGAGGTCCAGAGATGCCAAGAAGCTCACAGTGAGGAGCATCACTAAGTGGACAAGGGCCAGGTGACAGGTGATGAGGTCAGTGGGCTTAGGCCTGCAGTCCAGAGGGAGTGTGCAGATACAGAAGAAAAGGAGGAAGGTGTTGGCTGTGAGTCCAATACCAGCTTGGGAAAAAAGGGCAATTTTTAATAGTGTCATAAGTGGACTATGGTCGTCTTAATGGTGAAGAGGGATCATATTTTATATATCTGAAAAAGCAATAGATATCCTATCATCAGTATTATTTATTGCACGGTCAAAATTATTACCAATATTATCATTTTAATTTTACCCATTTATCCTGATTAACCTGGACTATCTCATATAAATTCTTTAAAATGTAGCCTAAGCATTTTATCTTACAACAAATAAGTTATACGTATCTGAAACTTCCATACATCCACAATCACACCCATGTAGGGTGCACATTATCTATACTCATAGAGTACTTGTGGCTCACTCATCAGAAAGCATTTCCTTCCCTTCTGAATTCCTCAAATCACTGAACATTCTCAGATCAAAACTTTTTTTCTTCTTAAAAGCTTTTCAACTTCTAAGAATATATACATATTTCAATGCTCAAAGATGAAAAAATGTCCACTAAAAATTTTATCCTCAGAAAAACTATCAATTAAAAATAAATAAAAAAGACATTTCAGGTAAATAAAAGCTGAGGCAATTTTTTGATAGCAGACAGATCATTTGAGAAAGAATAAAAATAAGTTTTCAGGCTGAATGCAAGTAATCCCAGATAATTTTAATGCCCCCAAAAGACAAAGAGGACTAGTAAATGTAACAAATATTTAAGGCAATATAAGAAATTTTTTTCTCATATTATCTGATTGTCAAAAGCAACTGTGTAATATTGTTTGTAATGGGATCTTCAGTGCTATAACATAAAGAAATTTAATTTATTTGCCAATTACAGCACAGAGAAAGTGGGTTCAAGAAAAGATATATTGGGCTAAGAAAATCTTTCCAGATAATAACTTGTATCTACAAAGATTTAAAAAAGTACGTCAGAAAAAGTGAAGGATTACAATAACATAATGAATAATAAGAAGTTTAACAAAACAAACCTGTAAATACACAAGTGCTCTTTTTTCTTATTTCAGCTTATTTAAAAAAATAAAATTATGTAAGCAGATAACTACAAACTGTTGTGTTTGTAACATATGTAGATTTAAACATTAGTACCCAAACTAGGAGGGAAAGACAGAATAAAGTTGTACAGGAGCAACGTTTTCATAAAATGAATATAAGGTTAAAATGTGAAGCTCCAATACCTACCTACATACATATATATGGTGCAATTATCAAATTAATGTAATTAGCAGGTACTATATTATGTGTATCTGCTAGTGCCCTGGTCTTGGACTTCTCAGCCTCTGTAACTGTGAGAAGTAAGTTTAGACTCTATATAAATTACCTGTTCTAAAGTATTTTATTACAGAAATAGGGATAGCCTAAGACAACATTCGTGAACATCCATGCTGTGCACTAAATCACCGGAACTTGTTTATTTTATATCTAAAAGTTTTGATCACCGTGTCTTCATTTCTGCCAGCCACCACCCCCTAGCAACCACTGTGGACTCTCTGTTTCTATGACTTTGACATTTTTGGCTTCATATATGAGTGAAATCAAACAGTATTTGTCATTCTGTGTCTAGCTTATTTCATTTAACCTAATGTCCTCTAGGTTCATTCGTATTGTAGCAAATGGCAGAATTCTCTTTTTTATGGCTGAATAATATTCCATTATATAAATATTCCATAATTTCTTTACCCGTTCATCTATTAATGGATACCTAGATTGTTTGCATGTCTCTGTCATTGTAAATAATTCTGCTATGAATACAGAAGGGCAGGTGTCTCTTTTAGATACTAATTTTATTTTCTTTGGTTATATATCTGGAAGTGAAATTGCTGGATAATATGGCAATTCTATTTTAATTATTTGAGAAAGCTTCACAGTGTTTCTGTAATGGTTGTACCAATATTTCTGTATTTTTAAGTGTATGTTGTACTCTGTTGGGAGCCAATTTTTATAGACCTGTTGGTTAATTTGTTTTACATCTTATATAAGCTTCCATTTGGACAATCTTTTCAAGGATGTTTTTAAATAACTAACAGCCTTGTGTGAAGTGAGTAGTGTCTCTTTTTAGAGCAGAGGTCAAATACATACATAAATAATTTAATAAAATTATGTTTTCCCCAGAGGCAAAGGTTGGGAAGGTTTTATTTGAAACACTTTATTTTTTTTCAGCAAAATTCTCTGTATTTTAATGAAGTAAGACAGTAGTCCTTGAATGGAGGAGAGGACAAAAAGGGAACCCCCAAAATACATGATGTGTTGAGAACCCCAAAGTCCAGTGGAAGTCACATCAGGCACAAATCCCATAGAGGTTCTGAGTGAAATCCCTGCTACAAATTTTAGCCATGAGAGATGAAGGAGTTCCCCCAATTTAGAGGTATCTTCTAAGCCAAAAAATAAAATGATGGAGGGGGGCAGGGGCTCAATCTTTAAGAGTTTTCCAATTTTAGAGGAACTGGGAAAGCACATCAGGACCCCCTCATCTAACAGGGTGGGGGATATGAGATCCTGATGCAACTTCAGGACAGAGATAAAACATTGATTCGTTGGTGGGCAGGGCTCCTTGGCATGGCGGGCTCAGATTGGCTCCCTAGTGGCTGGGAGTAAGGTCAGGCTCAAGACAGCCTGTGTTGAGTAGTCAGGAAGGAAACTCATCAGCTTGGGTTTGATAAAAGGACGATTTAGAGGTATTCCCCTCCATCTTGGGGAGCGACCCTTGCAGCAGAAAAATTGTGGTGAGAGTCTGGGGCAAATGGAGCCACTCCTTTTGCTGGAACATGAGGCAGTCAGACAGCAGGCACCACATGGCTTCGGGCAGTTGCTGGAGATTTTTCTGAGGTCCAGGGATGAAGAGTCACAGCCCACCATAAAGATAATCTGGTCACAGCTGCCAATGTGGCTGTAAGGCAGTGAGCCAGTCGTGAGATTTTAGAGCACAGCCACACTGGCATAGACGTCCGACTGGAAGCTGAAGGGGTTCAGGTCAGCTGCGATCCACAAAACAGAACCTGAAGGCTTCTCCAAGGGCTGGGCCCTGCTTCACTCTGTCTTCACTGTGGCCAGACGAGAGTCACTCATCTTTGTGTTGAAAAATGTTATTAGACTTGAGATCGCCTTGGATGATATTCTTGGCATGGAGGTAGTTCATGCCCTGGGCAGTCTGCTGGGCCATGTCAATTAGCTGGACTATATAATATAATATATAATGCAACATAATATAATATAATATAATATAATATAATATAATATAATATATTATATAATATAATATACTGTGACATAATATATGTCAGACATAATATATAATGATGTCATAATATATTGTGATATAATATCATGTATTATACATACGATATATATCATAATACATTGTGATATCATAATATAATACATGATATATAATCATATATAATATATGGTATAATACATTGTGATATCATAACATAAAATTTTGTTTTTTTGTATATGTTTTATGAAATAACAAATTATATATATGACACCGTATCTGACAAAATTTTATTATATTACATGATATTACATAATATATTGTGATATTATAACATATAAAATTTTGTCAGATAATCTTATGAGAAAACTGAGTTAAATTTTGTAACAACATTAACATATAAACTTAATAGAACCTAAGAAAATTATCTGCTCTTGTGTAAATGACCATTTTTTCGATAACTCTGAAGGCCAGCTATGGGTGTGAAAGGGGTCTGCTACTTACTTTATGAGACATTGACCTCCAAATCTTTGCTGTTATTAACCAGTGCCCTTGCAAGATAAGAGAATATTTTACTCTAAGAAAGCATTTTCATAGATACCATAATAGGAATTTTGCTCATGTTAGTTAATAAATTATTATAACTTTTTTGGTTATTAATAGTTTGTCATTAAAATATACTTCTACAGATAACCCATTGCACAGGTGTTTTGATTCATCCTTTAGCCACAGGTCAAATTTTAAAATGTTTATTCGTCAAATTTTATTTATTTTAGATAAAAGAGTCCTTGTATCTACCATGTGCTGTAAGATCTGTATGTTGTTAGAAAGACAAATTCTCAGACAAAACTCATGTCTATTTTGAAATTCTCAAACCAAGTTCAGGTCTATTTTTTTCAAAATCTAGATTTTACGTAATGTTTCTAGGTGTTTCCTTTCAATAAAAATCCAAACTAAAAGAAATAAAAAATGTATAGGTAATTCCCATGCATATCAATATTGTTAAGTGGGGTACTTTTATTTTTACGAAAGGGATTGTTTATATGGATGTATTGATGTGTCAAACAGGTACAGTTAAGATTGTACCTTTTTTTCTCAGCGTCTCAATCTGTCACTCAGGGTGGAGTGTAGTGGTGCAATTACAGCTCACTGCAGCCTTGACCTCCCAGGCTCGAGCGATCCTCCCATGTCAGCATCCCAAATAGCTGGGACTACAAGTGTGCACCATCATGCCCAAGTAATTTTTAAAAAATGTTTGTAGAGATGATGTCTCACTACGTTGCCCCAGTGAGGTCTTGTTACGTTGCTCAGGCTGGTCTCAAACTCGTGAGCTCTGGCTTCCCAAAGGGATGGAATTACAAATGCAAGCCACTATGCCTGGCCAAGATTGGTCCTTTCAATGAGCTCACATCTTATTTTAAAAAAGAAAAACTAATTAAAAGATAAAGTCTGAGTAACAAATGGGTTCACGTTAATGATTATTAACTTGGGTACTTCTATTCTTAAAAGAAAAATTGTTTATATATGTGTACTGATGTTTAAAAAGGTACAGTTAAGAGTAAACCTTTCTTTTTTTTTTTTTTTGAGACAGTCTCACTGTCACCCAGGCTTGTGTGTAGCTGCCCAATCACATCTCACTAAAGCCTCACCCTGCCAGACTCAAGGGATCCTGCTATGTCAGCATCCCAAGTAGCTAGGAATACAGGCATGCACCATCATGCCTCATTTTTTTTTTTTTTTTATTTTTAGTAGCCATGTGGTCTCACTATGTTGCCCAGGCTGCTCTTAAACTCTGACGCTCAAGTGAGCCTCCTGTCTTGTCATTCCAAAAGGATGGAATTACACAGGCTTAAGCCATTGTGCTCAGCCAAGATTTTACCTTCAATTAGCACACATCTTATTTCAGAAAAAAATAATAATAAAGTCTGGGAAGAAAATGCATTGAAGTATGGATAAAACAAACTTGGCACAGGTTGTTGAGCCTGGGTAACAGTTGTATTATACTGTTTTATTTTGTATATGTTTTAAATTTTCTGTAATAAAACATGTATACAAATACAAAGTTGATCTTCAGTGTTAGCTCTTAAGACCTTAGTGACTTTGAGGAGCAAAAAGAGAGAAAGTGGGGTTGCTTGGAACAGCTCCAGTCTGCAGCTCCCAGCAAGACCAATGCAGAAAGCGGGTGATTTCTGCATTTCCAACTGAGGTATCCAGTTCATCTCATTAGGACTGGTTAGGCAGTGGATGCAGCCCACGGAGGGCGAGCAGAAGCAGGTTGGGGCATCACCTCACCCGGGAAGTGCAAGGAGCCAGGGAACTCCCTCCTCCAGCCAAGGGAAGTGGTGAGACACTGTGCTATCCGGTCCAGATACTATGCTTTTCCCACAGTTTTTGCAATCCACAGAGCAGGAGATTCCCTTGTGTGCCTATACAAACAGGGGCCTGGGTTTCAAGCACAAAACTGGGCAGCTGTTTGGGCAGACACCGAGATAGCTGCAGGAATTTTTTCTTCATACTCCAGTAGCACCTGGAACCCCAGCGAGACAGAACTGTTCACTCCCCTGGAAAGAGGACTGAATCCAGGGCGCCAAGTGGTCTCGATAAGCGGGTCCCACTCCCATGGAGGCCACCAAGCTAAGAACCACCGGCTCGAAATTCTCACTGCCAGCACAGCAGTCTGAAGTCAACCTGGGATGATTGAGCTTGGTAAGGGAAGGGGTGTCCACCATTACTGAGGCTTCAGTAGTCAGTTTTTCTCTGACAGTGCTAAAGAGGCTGGAAAGTTTGGACTGAGCAGAACTCAACAGAGTGCAGCAAAGCGGTTGTGGCCAGACTGCCATTCTAGATTCCTCCTCACTGGGCAGGGAATCTCTGAAAGAAAGGCAGCAGCCCCAGTCAGGGGGTTATAGATAAAACTCCCATCTCCCTGGGACAGAGCACTTGGGGGAAGGGGCAGCTGTGGGCACAGCCTCAGTGGACTTAAACATTTCTGCTTGCTGGCTCTGAAGACAGCAGCAGATCCTGAAAAGGAGGATTCTCCCAGCACAGCGCTCGAGCTCTTAGACTGCCTCCTCAAGTGGGTCCCGGATCCCCATGCCTCCTGACTGGGAGAGACCTCCCAGCAGGAGTCAACAGACACCTCATAGAGGAGAGCCCCAGCTGGCATCAGGCCAGTGCCCCCTCTGGGACGAAGCTTCCAGAAGAAGGAGCAGGCAGCAATCTTTGCTGTTCTGCAGCCTCTGCTGGTGACACCCAGGCAAACAGGGTCTGGAGTGGACCTCCAGCAAACTGCAGCAGACCTGCAGAAGAGGGGCCTGACTGTTAGAAGAAAAACTCACAAACAGAAAGCAACAACATCAAAATCAACAAAAAGGACCCCCACGCAAAAACCCAAGCCAAAGGTCATCAGCCTCAAAGATCAAAGGTAACTAAATCCACAAAATGAGGAAAAACCAGTGTAACAATACTGAAAATTCCAAAAACCAGGATGCCTCTTCTCCTCTAAATGATCACAACTCCTCTCCAGCAAGGGCACAAAACTGAAAGGAGAATGAGTTTGATGAATTGACAGAAGTAGGCTTCAGAAGTTGGGTAATAACAAAACTCTTCTGAGCTAAAAGACTATGTTCTAACCCAATGCAAGGAAGCTAGGAACCTTGATAAGAGGCTACAGGAACTGCTGTAATAACCAACAGTTATTATAGAGTCACCAGCTTAGAGAATAACATAAATGACCAGATGGAGCTGAATAACACAGCATGAAAACTTTGTGAAGCATACACAAGTATCAATAGCCAAATTGATCAAGTGGAAGAAAGGATATCAGAGATTGAAGATCAACTTACTGAAATAAGGTAGGGAGACAAGATTAGAGAAAAAAGAATGAAAAGGAACAAAGCCTCCAAGAAATATAGGACTATGTGAAAAGACCAAACGTACAATTGATTGGTGTACCTGACATTGATGGGGAGAATGGAACCAAGTTGGAAAACACACTTCAGGATGTTATGCAGGAGAACTTCCCCAACCTAGCAAGACAGGCCAACATTCAAATTCAGGAAATACAGAGAACACCACTAAGATACTCCTCGAGAAGAGCAACCCCAAGACACATAATCATCAGATTATCCAAGGTTGAAACAAAGGAAAAAAAGTTAAGGGCAGCCAGAGAGAAAGGTCAGATTACCTGCAAAGAGAAGCCTGTCAGACTAACAGTGGATCTCTCTGCAGAAACCCTACAAGCCAGAAGAGAGTGGGGGCCAATATTCAACATTCTTAAAGAAAATAATTTTCAACCCAGAATTTCATATCCAGCCTAACTAAGCTTAATTAGTGAAGAAGAAATAAAATCCTTTCCAGACAAGCAAATGCTGAGGGATTTTGTCACCACCAGGCCTGCCTTACGAGAGCTTCTGAAGGAAGCACTAAATATGGAAAGGAAAAAACTGGTACCAGCCACTGCAAAAACACACCAAAATGTAAAGACCAGCGACACTATGAGGAACTGCATCAACTAATGTGTGAAATAACCAGCTAGCATCATGATGCCAGGATCAAATTCACGCATAACAATATTAACTTTAAATGTAAATGGGTTAAATGCCCCCAATTAAAAGACATGGACTGGCAAATTGGACAAAGAGTCAAGACTCATCACTGTGCTGTATTCAGGACACCCATTTTATATCCAAAGACACACATAGGCTCAAAATAAAGGGATGGAAGAATATTTACCAACCAAATGGAACACACACAAAAAAGCAGGGGTTGCAATCCTAGTCTCTGATAAAACAGACTTTAAACCAACAAAGACCAAAAAAGACAAAGAAGGGCATTATGTGGTGGTAAAGGGATCAACGCAACAAGAAGAACTAACTATCCTAAATATATATGCACCCAATACAGGAGCACCCAGATTCATAAAACAAGTTCTTAGAGACCTACAGAGAGAATTAGACTCCCACACAATAATAGTAGGAGACTTTAACACCCCACTGTCAATATTAGACAGAGCAATGAGACTGAAAACTAACAAGGATATTCAAGACTTGAACTCAGCTCTGGACCAAGCAGACCAAATAGACATCTATATAACTCCCCACCCCAAATCAACAGAATATACATATTTCTCAGCACCACATAGCACTTATTCTAAAATTGACCACATAATTGGAAGTAAAACATTCCTCAGCAAATGCAAAAAGAATGAAATCATAACAAACAGTCTCTCAGACCACAGTGCAATCAAATTAGAACTCAGGATTAAGAAACTCACTCAAAACTACAAAACTACATGGAAACTGAACAATCTGCTCCTGAATGACGACTGGGTAAATAAAAAAAATTAAGGCAGAGATAAAGAAGTTCTTTGAAACCAAAGAGAACAAAGACACAATGTGCCAAAATCTCTAGGACCTAGCTAAAGCAGTGTTAAGAGGGAAATTTATAGCACTAAATGCTCACATCAGAAAGCAGGAAAGATCTAAAATCAATGCCCTAATATCACAATTAGAAGCATTAGAGAAGCAAGAGCAAACAAATTCAAAAGCTAGCAAAAGATAAGAAATAACTAAGATCAGAGCAGAACTAAAGGAGATAGAGACATGAAAAAAGCCTTAAAAAAATCAATGAATCCAGGAGCTGGTTTTTTGAAAAGATTAACAAAATAGGTAGACCACTAGCTAGACTAATAAAAAGGAAAAGAGAGAAGAATCAAAGAGACACAATAAAAAGTGATAAATGGGATATCAACACTGATCCCACAGAAATATGAACTACCATCAGAGAATACTATAAATATTTTTACGAAAATAAGCTAGAAAATCTAGAAGAAATGGATAAATTCCTGGACACATACATCCTCCCGAGACTAAACACGGAAGAAGTTGAATCTCTAAATAGACTAATAACAAGTTCTGAAATTGAGGGAGTAATTAATAGCCTACCAACCAAAAAAAAAAAAAAAAAGCCCAGGCAGGACCAGACCAATTCAGAGTCGAATTCTACCAGAGGTACAAAGAGGAGCTAGTACCATTCCTTCTGAAACTATTCCAAACAACAGAAAAAGAAGGACTCCTCCCTAACTCATTTTATCAAGCCAGTGTCATCCTGATTCCAAAACCTGGCAGAGACACAACAAACAAAGAAAATTTCAGGCCAATATCCCTGATGAACATTGATGCAAAAATCCTCAATAAAATACTGGCAGACCAAATCCAGTGGCACATTAAAAAGCTTATCCACCACGATCAAGTCAGCTTCATTCCTGAGATGCAAGGCTGGTTTAACATATGCAAATCAATAAATGTAATCCATCACATTAACAGAACCAACCACAAAAACCACATGATTATCTCAATAAATGCAGAAAAGGCCTTCAATAAAATTCAACACCCCTTCATGCTAAAAACCCTGAATAAACTAGGTATTGAGGGAACATACTTCAAAATAATGAGAGCTATTTATGACAAACGCATAGCCAATATCATACTGAATGGGCAAAAAAGCTGGAAGCATTCCCTTTGAAAACTGGCACAAGACAAGGAAGCCCTCTTTCACCACTCCTATTCAACACAGTATTGGAAGTTCTGGCCAGGGCAGTGAGGGAAGAGAAAGAAATAAAGGGTATTCGAATAAGAAGAGAGGAAGTCAAATTGTCTGTTTGCGGGCGACAAGATTGTATATTTAGAAAACCCCATTGTCTCAGCCCCAAAACTCCTTGGGCTGATAACCAACTTCAACAAAGTCTCAGGATATGAAATCAATGTGCAAAAATCACAAGCATTCCTACACACCAATAATAGACAAGCAGAGGTCCAAATAATGAATGAAATCCCATTTACAATTGCTACAAAGAGAATAAAACACCTAGGAATACAATTCACAAGGGACACGAAGGACCTCTTCGGGGAGAACTACAAACCACTGCTCAAGGAAATAAGAGAGGACACAAACAAATGGAAAAAATATTCCATGCTTATGGATAAGAAGAATCAATATCGTGAAAATGACCACACTGCCCAAAGTAATTCATAGATTTAATGCTATTCCCATCACCCTGACACTTTTGATATCCTTCCTCTAGCAAGGCTGCATTGGGGTTGCCACCCTGATTCCTCTGTAAGAAAAAAAAAAAGCTAGCGGGTGAGGTAGGACTCAGGGGCCACGGACAGGACAGGGCACCCAGGCTGGCCTCCCCCAGGACCCTCTAAGGCCCCTGTAGGCAGGAGGGCTCAGTGGAGTTCCAGGACCCACTTCAAGGATGGTGCCTGTAGCCCCTCCCTGGACCTCCAAGAAGGGCCAACTCCCTCTGCAACCTGCACCCACACAACTCCCTCTAAAAACTGCACTCACCCAACTCCCTCTGCAACCTGCACCCACTGATCTCTTAGAGGTGAGCATCCATCCATCTTTGTGCACATGGCTTTCCGCTTTAATTCCGCTGGATAGTCTCCTTGGCAGAAACACCCAGGGAATCCTGGGCCTGTGCTGGATGTTCTGTAAGTACCAAGGAAAGAGGGGTTTGAAAACTCAAGAATATAATTAATATTATTTTCTGCACTTTAATATCTCAGGGTTACTTTCCCTCCAAAATGTGTAAAAACAAATATTGAGATTTCTGTCCTTTCTATTATGTTAATTATGTCATCATGCAAACCTTTCATTTTCCTGAAATTTATTTTTATACCAATCATTAAATTTTTGTTCTCTTCATTCAAAATGTTACCTGTTTTAGAGACAAAATTTTGAACATTATATGCTTCACAAATTATATGTTTCACAATAGGAAGCAGCATTTTATTTATGTAATGACTAATGTAATTAATAAGTTTATTAAACAAGTAAATAACTGAAGTAAACTTAGTTTGTATTACTTATATGAATTATTTTACATTTTATCTTTGATCTTAAAAAATTTTTAACTAGGGATGCAATTCAAAATTGACAGATATTTTAACTCAGAACTTTGAACATAATATCCATTGATTTGTGAATTCTATGAAGATGCCAAATATGGGTTAAAAATCTCTTGTTGCTTTGTAGTTGATTCACATTTTATATTTCAATGATTTTAAATCATTTTGGTGTTAAGCTTTTTAGTTATTATGATGTTTTTAGATATTTTTTGTACTTTCCTTGGTTGATGTTTTATTAGTTCTTCAAAATGTTTAAGCATGCCATATTTTCTCTATTTTGTTCAAAAAATCATTAGACAAGGCCAGGCGCGGTGGTTCACATTTGTAATCCTAGCGCTTTCGGAGGCCAAAGCGGGTGGATCACCTGATGTCAGGAATTCAAGACCAGACTGGCCAACATGGTGAAACCTGTCTCTACTAAAAATACAAAAATGAGCTGGGCTGTGGTGGCCGGCGCCTGTAGTCCCAGCTACTCAGGAGGCTGAGGCAGGAGAATCGCTTGAACCCGGGAGGGGGACGTTGCAGTGAGCCGAGATCGTGCCACTGCACTCCAGCCTGGGCGACAGAGTGAGACTCCACCTCAAAAACCAAACCAAACCAAAACCAAACAACAACAACAACAAACCATTAGACATAGCACTCTTATTTCATTTTTAACTTATTCTGACTTGCATATTTTCCACTCATTTTTCTCCTTGTCCTGACATCTATGTTTTTTTTTTTCTGTTTGACGGAGTCTCGCTCTGTTGCCCAGCTTGAGTGCAGTGGCGCCATGTTGGCTCACTGCAACCTCCACCTCCCGGGTTCAAGCAATTCTCCTGCCTCAGCCTCCCAAGTAGCTGGGATTACAGGCACATGCCACCGCGCCCAGCTAACTTTTTGTGTTTGTAGGAGAGATGGGATTTCATCGTGTTAGCCAGGATGGTCTCGATCTCCTGACCTCGTGATCTGCTTGCCTCGGCCTTCCAAAGTGCTGGGATTACAGGCGTGAGCCACCGCACCTGGCATTGTTAGCTCATTCTTTTTCTTATACTTTAGCTCCTATTTTTTACTTTGCTCATATCCCTTATATTTATCTAAATATTTTAACTATGTATGTATATATTTTTATTTTTGTATTTTTATAGAAATTACGTTATGCTATGTTGACCAGGCTAGCCTAAAACTCCTGGCCTCAAGTGATTCTACTGCCTTGGCCTCCCAAAATGCTGGGATTATAGGCAAGCGCCACCATGCCTAGCTTACATATTTTCTGTACGTCTGCTCGGAATTCCTTGAAGTCTACTGGTACAAGTGTTTTATGATTGTTGTTATTTTTGAACAAAATTAATTTTTGTGTCCTTTATTTTGCATATTTAAAAAAATTACGTTGTGTGATTATACTTGACAAGCCTGAACTGATAAGATTTTCAGTTTTTTGGGTTGAGGGTTTTTTCCTCAAAAAAAAAAAATTGTCTTGGAATTTTTGTTTTCTTCTCTACATGAATCTGAAAACATTTAAATTAACTTATTAAATTTTTCTCTATAAAAACTCCGGGTCAATTCAAACCCCAACATATCAGTACAGTTGGCCTTCCTTCCCAAATCAGCCAAGGCACGGACTGACTAGCTTCCCTATTTATCTCACTTTGACTGCAGGCTTCATATTCTATCTCATTTTTCTTAGATTTGCAGAACCTTGAGGCCTTTGGCTTTAGTTAGGCTGGTCAGGTTCATCTCCCTTACTTTGATTCTAGTGTGGCACCACATCTACCCCTGAGAGCTGTAAAAACCCAAGAAATGATGCCCCTATTATTATCAACCTATTGTAGGAAGCCTCACCCTGCCAGATGGACTGTCTCATCCTCCCTTCTTTCTGCTGCCTGTGCTTCTTTCTTTGTTTTATTTTTTTGAGATGGAGTCTCACTCTATTGCCCAGGCTGGAGTGCATTTGCACTATCTCGGCTCACCGCAACCTCCACTTCCCGGGTTCAAGCGATTCTCCTGCCTCAGCCTCCTGAGTAGCTGGGATTACAGGCACCCACCACCACGCCTGGCTATTTTTTTTTTTTTTTTTTTTTGTATTTTCAGGGGCAGACAGGGTTTCATCATGTTGCCCAGGCTGGTTTCGACCTCCTGAACTCAAGTAATCTGCCCACCTCAGCCTCCCAAAGTGCTTGGATTACAGGTGTGAGCCACCATGCCCAGCCCCTTTTTTTTACTTTAGCACTTAGAACTAAACTCTGCAGTTAAGCACTTGCTACATTGTCTAGGCTTTATGGTGTTTTTTTTCAATGGAACTATTTTTAGAACATGTAACTTTTCAGGATATTCCCAGAATCCCAGATAGCCACATTTACCTTTGGAGGAATTGCTTATCAGAATAATGAACACAATTATCTTTAGAAAAACCATATGTCCCCAAGGAAAGTTCTAATTTTTTGGAGTATGTATTGTGCAACATTTTTAGTAGAATGTAGTTATGACAATGTTGCCATATGTTTCAAATATAAAATACTTTCTGTTATGTATAACATAAG